>NW_016107297.1:0-362221 GCF_000001405.40 Homo sapiens | reverse complement strand
GAATTCCAGAGTGAGTTTCAAAGAGAGAAATATGAACCTTCAGATTAATTTTTAATATATAACATTATGAATATGTATATATCAATTCCTAAGTTTCAGAGAGAGTGAATAAACAAAATGCTACCCTTTACACATCCTCAATTAGCATGGATACAGGAAGAGTTTATTTATTCATCCTTTCTTAGAAGACAGACACATACATGAAGAACATACATATATCTAATCCAGACTTACCTCAGAGATATTGTGGGTTTAATTCCAGAGCACTGCAATAAAGATTATTTTACAATAAAGCGAGTCACATAATTTTTTCCCAGTGTATATGAAATTAGGTTTATACTATAATATAGCCTATCAAATGCTCAATAGCATTATATCAAAAAATACATACTATAATTAAAAAGCACTTTATTGGTAAAAAATGATAATGATCATCTAAGCCTTCAGTGAATTGTAATCTTTTTGCTGGTGGAGGGTTTTGCCTTGATGTTGATGGCTACTGACTGATCACAGTGTTGGTTGCTAGAGGCTACGGTAGCCATGGAATTTTTAAAAATAAGATAACAATGAAGTTTTCCACATAGATTGACTCTTAATTTCATGAAATGTTTCCATATAGCATGAGATGCCACTTGACAGCATTTTACCCACAGTACAACTTCTTTCAAAATTGAAGTCAATCCTCTAAAACCCAGTGTTTCTTCATCAAATATGTTTATGTAATATTCAAAGCCTTTGTTGACATTTCAACAATGTTCACAATATCTTTACCAGGAGTGTATTTCATCTCAGAAAAGCACTTTCTTTGCCCACCCATAAGAAGCAACTTTTCTTCCATTCAAATTTTATCGTAAGATTGCAGGAATTCAAATACATCTTTAGCTTTCCCTTCTAATTCTAGTGCTTCAGCTATTTCCAGCATGTCTGCAATTACTTTCTCCACTGGAGGCTTAAATTCCTAAAATCCGTGAGAGATAGAATCAACTTCTTCCAAACTCCTGTTAAGGTTGATATTTTGACCTCCTCCTGTGAATCACAAATGTCCTGAATGGCATCTAGAATGATGAATCATTTCCAGAAGGTTTTCAGTTTTCTTTGCCAGGATACATCAGAGGAATCATTATCCATGGAATCTACAGCCTTATTATTTATTACTTAAATAATAAGACTTGAAAGTTAAAATTACTCTTTGATCTGTAGGCTGCAGAATGGATGTTGTGTTAGCAGCCACAAGAACATTAATCTCCTTGCACTTTTCATCAAAGCTCTTGAGTGACTAGATCTATTATCAATATGGATATATAAGAATATATTCTTATATATATACTTACATATATTCTTATATATATTCTTACATATATATTCTTTCAAACTATTACTGCTCATTCATTAAGAGCTTTGATGAAAAGTGCAAGGAGATATATATATAAATCTATATATATAGATTAATATATAATATATGTAAATGTATATATATATAGATTAATATGTAATATATATATTCTTTCAAACTATTAGTTTTCAAACTATTACTCTCCTCATTGTCAATGAGCAGTAAATTTTATATATTTATATATTTATAAACATATATGTTTATATATATATTTATATATATATTTATATATATAAATATATATATTTATATATTGATAAATGTATATATTTATATATTGATAAATGTATATATTTATATATTGATAAATGTATATATTTATATATTGATAAATGTATATATTTATATATTGATAAATGTATATATTTATATATTGATAAATGTATATATTTATATATATATTTACATATTGATAAATGTATATATTTATATATATATTTACATATTGATAAATGTATATATTTATATATATATTTACATATTGATAAATGTATATATTTATATATATATTTACATATTGATAAATGTATATATTTATATATATATTTATATATTGATAAATGTATATATTTATATATATATTTATATATTGATAAATATATATATTTATATATATATTTATATATTGATAAATATATATATTTATATATATATTTATATATTGATAAATATATATATTTATATATATTTATATATTGATAAATATATATATTTATATATATATTTATATATTGATAAATATATATATTTATATATATATTTATATATTGATAAATATATATATTTATATATATATTTATATATTGATAAATATATATATTTATATATATATTTATATATTGATAAATATATATATTTATATATTGATAAATATATATATTTATATATTGATAAATATATATATTTATATATTGATAAATATATATATTTATATATATATTTATATATTGATAAATATATATATTTATATATTGATAAATATATATATTTATATATTGATAAATATATATATTTATATATTGATAAATATATATATTTATATATTGATAAATATATATATTTATATATTGATAAATATATATATTTATATATTGATAAATATATATATTTATATATTGATAAATATATATATTTATATATTGATAAATATATATATTTATATATTGATAAATATATATATTTATATATTGATAAATATATATATTTATATATATTTATAACTATATAAATATATATTCATATATTTATAAATATATATATTAATATATGTATTTATATATATAAATACATATATTAATATATGTATTTATATATTTATATACATATATTAATATATGTATTTATATATTAGCATCCGTCTCAACATTAGGCTTAAAATATTTGGTAAACCATGCTGTATACAGATCTGCTGTCACTCAGGTTTTGTTATTTCATTTATAGAGCATAGGTAGAGTAGATTTAGCATAATTCTGAAGGTCCTTAAGATTTTCAGAATGGTCAATGAGCGTTGGCTTCAACATAAAGTCACCAGCTGTGTTATCCCCTAATAAAAGAGTCAGCTTGTCCTTCGAACTTTGAAGCCAGGTATTGGTTTCTCCTCTGTGGCTCTGAAACTTGTAGAAGACATCTTCTTGGAATAGAAGGCTGTTTTGTCTACATTGAAAAATCTGTTGTTAATGTTGCCGCCTTCATCAGTGATCTTAGCCAGATCTTCTATGTAACTTGCCACAGCTTCTATATCAGTACTCATTGCTTCACCTTGCATTTTTATGTTTTGGAGATGGCTTCTTTCCTTAAACGTCACAAATGAACTTCTGTTAGCTTCAAATTTTGCTTCTGCAGCTTCCTCTTCACTCTTAGCCTTCAGAGAATGGAAGAGAGTTAGGGCCTTACTCTGGAATAGGTCTTGGCTTAAAGGGAATGTTGTGTCTGGTTTGATCTTCAATCCAGAACATTCCAACTTTATTCATATCAGCAATGAGACTGTTTCACTTTTTATCATTCATGTGTCCACTGGAGAATCACTTTCAATGTTTTTAAAGAACTTTTCTTTTGCATTCACAAGTTGGGTAACTCTCTGACACAAGAGGCCTTTCAGCCTATCTTGGCTTTAGGCGTACCTTCCTCACTAAGCTTAATCATTTCTAGCTTTTGATTTAAAGTGAGAGACATATGACTTTTTCATTCCATTGATCAATTAGAGGCCATTGTAGGTTTATTAACTGACCTAACTTCAGTATTGTGTCTCAGGGAATAGGGAGGCCTGAGGAGAAGGAAAGAGATGGGAGAACAGTTGGCCAGTGAAGCAGTCAGAACACACATAGAATTTATTAAATTCTGCATCTTATATGGGCACAGTTCATGGTGCCCCAAAACAATTACAGTAGTAACATCAAAGATCTCTGATCACTTGTTACCATAACAGACATAACAATAATGAAAAACTTTGAAATGTGAGAATTACCAAATGGGATGAGACACTAAGTGAGCACATGCTGTTGGAAAAATGGTGCCAGTAAACTTACTAGATGCAAGGTTGCCATAAATCTTAAATTTGTCAAAAGAATGTGATATCTGCAAAGCACAATAACACAAAGGGCAATAAAATCAGGTATGTCTGTGTGATATTTTACCACACTGTGTGCAGGCCCATTCTCTGCGTGGCCTTGAACCAACCCAGTTATCATTTGCAGTTCTCAAGAATAAGTGTAGACTATTTTGGAAATATCACATCCTGATATGAGGGGGAGATGGCCAGAACACAGCAGACTGTTCGAGTCCTTCCAAGAAACAAAATGTCTATCAATGCTTTAGCCCAGTGCGTCATGTAACCATGAGGTATATAACCGGGGCAGACTGCCTTTCAAAGTTTCTTATCTGTGGTGCAAGTGGGGTACACACGACTGAGACTCTGTCTGCTCTGAGTGGTTTTCTGAGCTTCAGAAGACCAGCTCAAAATAAATCCTAGGCTTCTGTTGTCCCTTGCTGCCCATCTGTAAATACTACATCCACTTAATGTAACTTGTTGCTTACGAGCACGTACTGTCTTTTCAAACTCAGACCTGTCTTGCGTAAGTGTGTCCTGTCTCCACCAGACTCTAACCAGAGAACAGTGAACCTCCTTCACAATATGCGGCCTAAATTTCATTTTGAAATGGTTATTTACATAAATTCTTAGTGAAGGAAATTATCAGAGGATTCTTTTTTTTTTTTTTTTTTTTTTGAGATGGAGTCTCGCTCTGTGGCCCAGGCTGGAGTGCAGTAGCGCGATCTTAGCTCACTACAAGCTCCGCCTCCCGGGTTCATGCCATTCTCCTGCCTCAGCCTCCCGAGTAGCTGGGACTACAGGCACCCGCCACCACGCCCAGCTAATTGTTTTGTATTTTTAGTTGAGACGGAGTTTCACCGTGTTAGCCAGGATGGTCTCGATCTCCTGACCTCGTGATCCAGCCGCCTCAGCCTCCCAAAGTGCTGGGATTACAGGTGTGAGCCACCACGCCCAGCCTATCAGAGGCTTGTCTTAACTCTGCCCTGTCATCTTTCTCCCTTGGGATAATTTTCATCCAAGCAAGTTTCCTTTATTCCTTTCATAATAAAATTCTAACCATACCATCTGTTTTTTCTTGATGTTTAAAACAGATAGTTCTGCACTCTAAAAGCAATACACAATAACAGCATAACAGCCCTCCAACCAGAGAGTAAAAATCATAAACTCTTGCATATACAACCAATAGAGAAAACAATTTGGAATTCTCCTTAAGTTCCCTTAAATAATAAGAATACTGTGCCAAGTTATACAATGCATCAGAATGACTGCAGTATTTAGTTCAGACAAGAGAAAGAAAATTTAACATCTTCAGTTAAATTATTGTTCTACTCTTTCTATTAATAACTATATATGTCCAGGCATTGTCAAAAAGCTTAATAATGCATAATGAAATACACTACTGCCTATAACTTAATTGAATTGTGCACTTACAATAAGTAAACATTTTATGGTATGTAGAATGTATCTCAATAAAACTGAAGATAAAGCATGACTTACTGGTTGACTTTAGAATATGTGGCATATTTATAAAGGATGGAGAGCACCTATAATGCTAAAATTGTTGGTTGGAATCTAATGACTTGTGTGCGCTTATAATGGACTATTTAACTACATATTCTAATAAGAAATAAAAAATTGCTGAAGAAATTTTCACATTCTATTCACCAGGTACTCTAAACTCTATCCTTAAATTATATAGAACAAATAGGTGACAATGCATTTTAGCATATGATCTTATCTTTAATGAGTTGGTTTTATTAGAAACTTCCCTGCGAATCTTTCACCAAATGTAAAGTAAGATTGTTGATGAGGACATTGCATGATCCAGACATTATTTTACTTAAGGTGGGATGTATGAGAACATCTTGGTATTCATCCTTAGATTAAGATTTGCTTTGTTTCAAGATTTGCTATTCTTTCTACTTTCTACTAATACACATTATGTGACTTTCCATAGAAGCAGTTAGAGTAAGAAAGGGAGATACTTAAAATTGAGATTGTGTTGTCATTGCTGTGGCTGGTAATGGCTGAGTCTAGATGGTATGAGTGAGTGGCTGAGGTAGAGTGGAGAATAAGGTTAAGGAGACGAGGTTCGGGGAAGGTAGGAACAATTGTATGAAAGTAATAGAGAAAAGGAAAAGAGACACCTACATCTCCTGCCATAGATACACAAAAGCTACTTACTAGACCCTCTGGGTTCTGCTGCTATTTTCATTTAGAACACGTATGGAGAGCTTGACTCCATTTTATTCCCTGTCTTGTCTAGACAATAATGGACTAAAGTCTGGCAGAGGCAATTTACTTGTAAATTACCTATCTCATCAGTCCAGTGATGTCTAAACACTCCATTGTGACAATGTTTACCATTTTCCAAAGCACAGACTTTTCTGTAACTTCCAGGATTATGACAAGGTATCACAGATATTGTTAAACTTAGTACTTTCAGACCACTCTATTCAATATTGTTTACATTCTAGAAAGCAAAAAGTTGGGCAGAATGGGCAGGATAAAATGCGTTTCTGTCACATACTCATTTTTCTCTGTTTTTGAAAATGTAGATTATTTGAAAACAACTAAGAAATATTTATATTTACAAAAGAGTTGATAAATGCACATTGTATATGCAGAACAAATTATAGAAGTAAAATTAGTATTGATCATAATTAAGTATAATTAATAATGAATTAATGATTATAGTGGGCAGACAAAAAATGTGTGTGACCTAAGGCTTATAAGCAGTTAGCATTTTAGAAAATGTCTTAAAATTATGGACTTTAATATACTATTCATTAATTTGCTTTTTGTTCAGTAACTATTTTTTAAGTCACTTACTATATAGGATGTACATAAGACTTATTTTTGAATTTATATTAACCTTATAATAAATAGAACTATGTTTTTATTTAGGTAAATATTTTTAAGTTAAGGAAATACATACCTTTTGTATTAAAATTGCATGCATAATTTTAAATGTAATATATAAATTTACTTTTATAGTTGTCTACTGAGAACGTCATAAAAATAGCATTTGATTCACGACCATTTTATTAATAATGATGTACTGCAAGTGACTTTATAAAGAACTTGGTTGAAGATTAAAAATTATTCTAACAGGCCGGGCGTGGTGGCTCATGCCTGCAATCCCAGCACTTTGGGAGGCTGAGGTAGGCGGATCACGAGGTCAGGATATCAAGACCATCCTGGCTAACATGGTGAAACCCCACCTCTACTAAAAAAAAAAAAAAAAAAAAAAAATTATTCTAACAAAGACCTAGAAAATCAAGATAAATTGTATTGCAATTGTTTCATTTAGTGATATATTGTGATCATTTCTATGATATTAAAAATATAAGCTTTGTTCTGCCAAATACTTTAGAAGATGATTTATTTTCCCTCTTTTGGTTATAGCATAGCTTGTTTCAGATTAGGTTGCAGCTATGTGACGAGTTGTTAAATGAAAATTTAAATTCCAGTAGGTTTAAAATAGAAAATCACTGCCTGACTTCAGGCTATCTGCCTGGTAATTGCAGAAAAAACTTCGTTAGGTCCGTGTAGAATGAATGAGCACAGGCTCTATGAAATGCTGTTCAGACAACCATCCAGCAGAGAAAAGACTTTGAAGATGATTGCCTTAGGAGTTATTGAGCACACATACTGAAGAAGTAATTCTAATTCAAAGAATGAAAACCTTCTTGATTTTTATGAAGATAACTTACTAGAACCACTGGAAAGTAACTACTGCATTCAGCACATAATTGGTATTTAAGAAACATTTTATCTGACTGAGTTAGCAATGTAGGTTGAAATGGAAACCAATTTACTCTTGTTGGAGTTTAATAACCACATCTGTGTTACACATTAAAAATAAGAAATATAAGGATGCTGTCCTGAATTGAAAGTTGAATAATAAAATAAGGAAATGATAAAAGTGCCTGGCCAATATTTTGATGTCTTTGCATATTGCAAACTAATCATTTTTTCAATTTAAATAAATCAAATGGTGATAAAAAAGAAAGTATAAATAGTAAAGATTTTAGAGACCACATTTGCTGTAGAGACATATAGTTATGAGCTGATATTCATGTTTTCCTTCTTCCTTATATAATCCTTAATTATTCTGGTGGATAAATGGCTGCCCATTGGGAAGGGAGAGCTCAGATTTAGCAAATGCTTCTGCAGTTATGCATGACCATGTGGTTAAGTTCTGGTCAAGGAAATCTTAGTTGATATGGTGAGTAAAACTTATCCTCAAAGAGAAGAACAACTGCTCGGTTGATTGCTTTCTCTTGCTGCTAATTGGAATACGGACTTAATGGTTGAGGCTCAAAAATCCTTTTGTGGGAATCCAAGCGGAAACTATATGTAAAACTGAGTGATTAAAATAAGATGCTACTACCTACCTCCTTAGCTTATCTACTTCCAGATTGCTGTATATGACAGTGAAACATCTACATTGTTTAAACCATGGTCATTTTATCACTCAAAGGCAAACTTAACCCTAATTGATTCAGCCTTGTATACCATTATAACCTGCTTATCTATTACACTGATAAACGAAATTTAAGAATCATAGTTTTGAATAGACATTACATTAAACTACCTCTCCTGTCATTTTTTCCTACTTATGGACTCAATTTCTGATCAGGGTAAATAAGATGCTTTCACATTTCTGACAATTCCATTTAAAAAGCCATCACTGAGATTCTTGGTTAGAAAACTTATGTTCAATGCCTAAAGGAAAAACTATTCAACACATAACAAGGCTTGGGATGCCAAACAAAATCATATCTCCTCCTCTGATTGGGAGCAGTATTTCATAACACGATGAACTATGATGCTGCGGGACCACATTCTAACCAGCAGAAACCGGCTAGTGTGGAGGAGAGGTAATTCAAATTGTTCTTTCCCTTAAAATGCTCAACAATCTATATTGCTGATGAGAAAGAGGAAGAGAAGTCAAACTAGACAGCCAGAATGGAAGAGGAAAATTACCTTTTGTTTGAGGTAATAGGTACTCAGCAGTTGGAAATTATATTTAAATAACTAAAATCCCAAAATTCAATGCGTTTCTCTTGTGGTTTGGTCATGACAGGTTTTCTGCATAGCAATGATGCTCAAATTGGAGCAAGCTGCAGTCATTTAGCAGGTCTTAGGAAAGCATGGGATTCTGAGTCCCACTCCACAGTTTCTTATTTGGCAAAGGTAGGTGGGGCCTGGGGATGTGCTAAATTTCTAGATAATAGCAGTAATTCAGATACAGGATTCACATTTCAGAACATTTTTTAAGTCATTGGAGATTCATGCCTATTAGCTCAAATGAAGGTAGATTACAGGGTGAAAGGGAGAGCGAACTTGGGAGAAAGCCTGTTAATTCTACCAAAAGTTATCTACCATATATGTTCTTTAAAATGTGTGGCAGCAGTGCCAGAGATGGACTGAATAGAAGTAGGCTGATTTGAAACCCCAATGATAGCCTGAGCTCAGGGCTGACATCAGACATGAAGAAGTTAGATTAACTTTAAAAATATATATTTCTAAGGCAGAAAATTACCAAGATCTGAGAGAGAAAAGCCAAGAATGATTCTGGATGCCTGGCTTCTCTGACCACCATTAATGGTACTGATAAGACTAGAAGTTAAGTTCTATGTTGGATGTGGAGTTTTAAGACTGGGCTTTCTGTAAAAGAGTGTGTTTCAAACTTAAGTGTGCGTGACAGTTACATGGGGTGCTTTGAAAATACAATTCCCAGTCATTACCCCAAACCCACTGATGAAGTTTATGGGTGTGATCAAAATTTATTTTAAAGAATTACAGGTGATTTTGATTCAAGTGGTCTGTAGCTACTGTTTGGGGAACAACAGTATGGAAAAAAATCGCTTTTAGAGGTAGCCCACATTCCTTGGCACTTGTCGCCTTCCAGCAATGGAATCACTCAGACCTCTGCTTCCTTCATCAAATCTCCCTTCTCTGACTCTGACACTCTCCCTCCCTCTGATGAGGACCCCTGTGATTAGATTGGTCCCACATGGATAATAATAAGAAAGACCAAATAAGAATATGGCAAAAATTTGTATAGTCATTTTGCCAAAGAAAATATACTAATGTCTAATAAACACACAAGAAGATTTTCAACATCATTAGTAATTAGCAAAATTCAAATTAAAACCAAAATAAAATAGCACTATGGTAGGCAAAGAATGGCTATAATAAAAAACACTGTTAATACCAAGTGTTGCTGAATATGTGAAGGAACCGGAACCCTTATACATTGCTGGTGGGAAGGTAAAAATGGTAAAGCACCTTTGGAAAAGTTTGGTAATTTCTTAAGCAGTTAAACATTTCCTTGTACATGACCCATTATTCTACCCCTAACTACCCAGCCAAGCAACATTAAAACCTATATCCACACAAAGACTTGTGCTAAGTGTTCCTAGGAGCATTATTTATAATAGCCAGAAGTTGAAAACATCTAAATAGCCATCAACTGGTAAATAAACAAATAAATTGTAGTCTATCAATACAATTGTATACTCCTCAGCAATAAAAAGAGACAAACTACTAATGCCTCTAATAACATGGATAGATCTCAAAAACATGCTAGGTGAAAAACCCAAACAGAAAAATTATGTATTACATTATTCTACTTAAATGAATTTCTAGAAAAGACAAAAAATATATGTATATATGTGTTTGTATGATTCATATTATATATAAATATATATAGAGAGATAAATCAATAATATATATTAGATCAATAGTTGGTATGAAATGTGAGAGCTGGGCTTGACTGAAAACACAAATATCAGAGTATTTTAAGGTAGTAGAGATATTTAAAAACTATATTGTGATGATCATTGCACAACAATGTACATCCATGTAGTCACAGAATTGCAGTTATGAGGATGAATGTTATGGCAAGTACTTTTTATATACCTCAAGAAAGAGACATGACAACTAAAAAAATAGATACAGAGATACACTTAAAATAAATTAAAAAGAACAATCCATAACATATGAGACAAGATCAAACCTTCACCAAATTAGTCAACATAATCTATTAACAAAGAGAAATATAACTAGGGTTAGTAATTCTTTCTCCCTCCCTCCTGTCTGTGGATTTATATACTTGTACGATTTTCCAATTGAAATGTGTTACAAGTAAGAAGGGAGGATCAAATATCAACATTTTGACTGATTATTTTCTTTATCTAAAATACTTAAAAATCATTTTAAAGGACATGTATTAAAAATTTAGATTAAAAAATCAAAACCCGTTGATATATATTAAAAGAAACTAAAGGTCATGTACTTAAAATACAATTTGAAGTAGGTTCTCCAGCTTCCCACCAAGAAAAGCTTTTTCAAGAAACACATTAAGAAGCTTAAATTTATAATCCTTCAAAACTGACTGGGTGCTTGAAATTTGAAAATGCCACAAACCAGTAAATTGAAACTAGCCCCGTATAACACAAAACCCATGGAGGGGAACCACAATTAAGAAAGAAAGTGAAAGATTTAGAAACAAGGATTAAGCATTTGAGCAGGAGCTATCAGCTTACAAACTGGCAGACAATGGAAAGAGCTAAGCAAAAAAATTGCCCTTAGGCTTTTGAGTTTCTGCACTTCTCTATTATGACAAAAAAGTACTTACAGGAATTAGTCCTTTTTAATATAGATGTTCTATGTACATTGGTAAAACTCTTTCAGTTTTGCTTCCTCTCAAATGCTTACGTGCTTATTTGCCAGTATTGGTGGTTTGATTTGGCTGGAAGCCTCAGGATGCGGGAGTTGTACAACCAAACATACCTGGGATTACATTCAGAGGCAGCTAAATGGACTAACAAAAAATTCTTGGTCAATCTCAATTTTCTCATTTATTAAAGAGAGTAATGCTATTTACTTCGACAAAGGCTTTATTTTTAAGAGTTGAGGTATTTATTTAATAGCCTTCCAAGTAATAAATGTTCATGGTAGTCAGATTCTAAAGATTCTTGAAGTATTAATTGAAACGAACATGAAACTAGGTGTTGCCATAAAGGGATTTTGCAGATGTTATTAAAGACCCAAGTCAGTAGAACTTTAAATAGTAAAATTATCCAGGTGGGCCTTACCTAATTCCTTTTACAAGCAGAAAAGTTGCCCTAGCTGGTAGCAAAAGACAAAGTCAGAAATTCAAAATATGGGAGGGGTTTGATGCACATTCAGTGTCTTAGAGATAGACAGGAACTACTGCAGAACAAGGAATGCCGATGGCCTCTAGAAGGTGAGAGTGGTTCCCAGCTTCCAGCCATCAAGGAAATGGAGATCTCAATCCTAAAACCACACACACAAAAAATTTGGCTGACAACCTGAATGAGCATGGAAGTGGATTCTTCCCCTAAATTGTCCAGTTTGTGTGACCCTAAATATAGAACTTAGTGGTTCCCACCCAGACTTCTGAACAATGTGAAATAAAAAGGGGGTGTTGTTTTAAGCCAGAAAATTTGTGCACAGCAATAGAAAATTGATACTAAATAAAATTTAGTTTTTCTCTCTCTTTCATATAGCTGGGTAGAAACAAAGCCTATTAGCTTTTTTTTAAACACAGCAGTCTACTGTGTGTGATGACTGCATGCTGATACTTACGTTTATTACAAATAATTACTAAAATGTGTAGAACCCTTTAACAGGACTCTTTTAGTCCCTAACAACTGCTATATGCAAAAGAGTTGCAACAGTTTTCAGTATCTTGTTGCACATATGAAATCATTCTTAGAATGAAAGAATTTTAATAAGGTGCTTCCCAATCCTTATATAGCCCTTTTCCACCAGATGATGCAACAGGCATATTCTGGTAAATTCATTAAAATGTTAAAGTGGAGGTGTATATTCATAATGTAAATACTTAAAACCGTGGTGAAGCAAAATTATAATTTACCTGGCAAGTTTTTTGAGCCCTTAAAATGGATGATTAGTTAAATAATTTATGTTTGTCTTAATTCAGGGACATGTACGTTATAGAGATACATTAAGCCACAATATGTCTGTCTCTAATCTGTCCCTACTGACTCTTTCTTCCAATTTGATAAATTTTCCAAGTGAGAGTCAAAGGGAGTGCTTGGATCTATGTAACAGTCTAGCTTGGTAGTAAAAGACTTGATAAGCTAGTGCACACTTTCCAGTTTTCTATAAAGATTAACGTACCCCTAAAGTAATTACAGTAATGTAGATCCAAGCCTAATCACTTTTTATATCCTTAAAAGGTTACTTTCACCCAAACCTTCCAGAGCCTGGCTGGCCACCTCCTTGGCTGACTTTGCCTTGGCTCTATCACTGCAGCCACTGTTTCTGTGACAACTATTAACATGTATTATCTCTAACCCCTGTTGGAGAGATCTTCAAGTTTAACACAATTATGGTGACTGATGACAATTAAGTGACCATATTAAGTCTTGAAGGCCAAACGATATGGCACATGTGAAGGAAGAAGGAGGGCAAGGTGGAGAAAGCAGGATATGCTGGTTGTGCTAAAGGCCATTGAACAAGCTGTGGACACTGATGATTCTGAACAGATCAATATGAGGGTGAAGAGTGGGAGAGTGGAAATGAAGGAAATGGAAGGAGGGTAAAACCCTTTGTCTGGAGTTGATTTAGAGGGATAAAAAAAAAAAGATGTCTTTTGGAATCCGTTTTGCCTCTGAACGTTTTCAATTTGTTATTAAACATTTTGCCTTTGGCCGGGTGCAGTGGCTCACACCTGTAATCCCAGCACTTTGAGAGGCCAAGGCTGGTGGATCACAAGTTCAGGAGTTCAAGACCAGCCTTGCCAAGACGGTGAAACCACGTCTGTACTAAAAGTATGAAAATTAGCTTGGCGTGGTGGTGGGCACCTATAATCCCAGCTACTCAGGAGGCTGAGGCAGAGAATTGCTTGAACCTGGGAGGTGGAGGTTGCAGTGAACAGAGATCGTGCCACTGCACTCCAGCCTGGGCTACAGAGTGAGACTCTTTCTCAAAAAAAAAAAAAAAAAAAAAAAGATTTTGCCTTTGTGAAGAACAAGGAAGAGGGTTCTGACCATGATTTCAGCACATAGCACCTGCCTGGGCAGGGAGCCCAAGCCAAGGAAACAGGGAAACTTCCAGTACTATAACGTGCCCAAAGGGAAGCCACATACCAAGTGGAAATGGTTTATCTTCAACAAAAGCATGCTGACCTTAATCAACATCAGTAAGTGGCAAAAAATTATAAGTTTAACTTAAAAGAGCACGGAAGCCCAATGTCGGAGAGAGATTTTTGGTGTTTTTAATGAAAGAGGAGAAACTTAAGGAGGATTATAAAAGTAAAGATCCCCAAGCAAGGGCTCTCAACCTCCACTGCACATTCAGATTATCCAAAGAGCTTTTTGGCATTCCAACAGACCAAACTTGTCTTAAGTTGAAGCTTTTCCCAAAAGTGATAGTAAAGTAATAATCATTATTTAGAAAGTCTGTCCCTGGTCCAGTAATAAGGAAAAGTGGTTTCTAAATCTATCACTGCTGCTAACCACCTGAGTAACTTATTGTTCTTCCAATCAGCATTTCATTTATAAAATAAAATATTTGATCTAGGTTATATATTATATCTCTAGTTTTTTTTTGTTCACAATGTCTCTATATATTACTTATTTATATATGTTGCTATACATATAACGGGTTTGGGGATCAGGTTGGCTAGGTTTAAAATGGGAATTTACTTTCGGTTGTTGTTGTAAGAACATGGTCCACTTCTCAATTTAGTCCTCTGTAAACTAGAAATAGTTAGTTTCTACTTCATAGCATGAGAAAGAAATAAGATAGTACATGCATTAATTAATTAATACTTGGAAAATACAGATTTTTTTAAACCTAAGCTCATATATTTATGTAAATTTTAAAATAAAGTGATAAAATATTTGTGTCTTGTATGCTGTCCGTGTAAATAATATATAGCCAAATTTGTATGTCATAGTATAATATCTATATAATGTTTATATAATTATTAATAATATATACATTTTTCTGACTCCCATAAACTTGCATATTTCTTATGTTAAAGTATTTTTACATGACACTAGTTCTCAGAATGTGAATTAGGAATCACAGTTTTTTCATTTTTTAGGTGATTATATTGGAAGGTGTGTTAATAACATTAACATGAACATCATGTTTACTAGTAGTCAAATCTTCCATTTTTTTTGTAAACAATTATGTTTCCATTTAAAGCCAATTCAAAACCGTTGCTAAAATTTATCTAAAGAAGGGTACCAAAAAATGAACAACGAGAAAATCCAAACGTGAACTCCACTAATAGTTTTATGTATTATAATCTATTTGACACTATTGACATAAAAAGTAAACAGCATCATTTGTATGGATTTCAAATGTAAATGCTGCTCATTTTATTTTCAAAATTGAAAAGTTTATTCACAAACTATTAATATGCTTGGTTTTTTTTTCCATCAGAGAATGTAATTGCTCTGTTTTATAAGCTATTAATGAAATAGTTATAAATATCAGCAGAAGTAAACAAAGAAGTTTTCTCTAATTCCATGAGCTATTGTTTAAAAGCTTATAATTGAGAAAAGAGATAAATGAATGACGTTTTTATTATTCGTACTCACAGCACCAAATTCTTAAGTTTTAGCCTTAATAATTCAAGTATGTGGTGCCTACATGTGCTTTTCACAAAGCTTGAATATTTATTTAAAAGCAACAAACCTACGTAGAATGATCTAATGTCAATATGTATATCTCTCAATATATATTTCCACAATATTAGAGTGGTTTATTAGAAAGTATTAAAAAATATATTTAAGGACAATGGAAACGATTATCTATGTTTGTGAAAACACTAATGTGAATGTCAATAGTAAAATTATTTTTAAAGTCATTATCTTTGCTTTAAATTAAATGTTTAATCTATTTTGCTTACCTTACATGCATTAATGTATTACTAATTGTTTTCTTCATTAAAAAGTTACCTTATTAATCAACGTGCAAAAATCACAACATTCCTATACACTAACAACAGACAAGCAGAGAGCCAAATCATGAGTGAACTTCCATTCAGAATTGCTACAAAGAGGTTAAAATACTTGGGAATACAGCTAACAAGGAATGTGAAGGACCTCTTCAAGGAGAACTACAAATCACTGCTCAAGGAAATAAGAGAGGACACATACAAATGGAAAAACATTCCATCCTCGTGGATAGGAAGAATCAATATTGTGAAAATGGCATACTGCCCAAAGTAATTTATAGATTCAATGCTACTTCCATCAAACTACAATTGATATTTTTCACAGAATTAGAAAAAAATACTTTAAAATTCATATGGAACCAAAAAAGAGCCGATTTGGTCAAGACAATCTGAAGCAAAAAGAACAAAGCTGGAGGCATCATGCCACTTGACTTCAAACTATACTACAAGGCTACAGTAACCAAAACAGCATGGTACAGATACCAAAACAGACACATAAACCAATGGAACAGAAGAGAGATCTCAGAAATAAAATTGCACATCTACAATCATCTGATCTTCGACAAACCTGACAAAAACAAGCAATGGGAAAAGGATTCCTTATTTAATAAATGGTACTGGGAAATCTGGCTAACTGTATGCAGAAAACTGAAACTGGACCCCTTCCTTACACCTTATACAAAAATTAACTCGAGACAGAATAAAGAGTTAAATGTAAAACCTAAAAACACAAAAGCCCTAGAAGAAAACCTAGGCAATACCATTCAGGAAATAAGCATGTGATTTCATGATGAAATTGCCAAAAGCAATTGCAACAAAAGCTAAAATTGACAAATGGGATTTAATTAAACTAAAGAGCTTCTGACAGCAAAAGAAACTATCAGCAGAGTGAACAGGCAACCTACAGAATGGGAGAAAATTTTTGCCACCTACCCATCTGACAAAGGTCTAATATCTGGAATCTACAAGGAACTTAAACAAATTTACAAGAAAAAAACAAACAACCCCATCAAAAAGTAGGCAAGGGGACCATGTGCAGTGGCTCAGGCCTGTAATCCTAGCACTTTGGGAGGCTGAGGCAGGCAGATCACCTGAGGTCAGGAGTTCAAGACCATCCTGGCCAACATGGTGAAACCCCATCTCTACTAAAAATATAAAAATTAGCCAGGTGTGGTGGCAGGTACCTGTAATCCCAGCTACTCAGGTGGCTGAGGCAGGAGAATTGCTTGAACCCAGGAGGTGGAGGTTGCAGTGAGTGGAGATCATACCACTGCACTCCAGCCTGGGCAACAGAGCGAGACAGTCTCAAAAAAAAAAAAAGTGAGCAAAGGATATGAACAGACACTTCTCAAAAGAAAACATTTATGCAGCCAACAAATATATGAAAAAAGTTCAACATCACTGATCATTAGAGAAATGAAAATCAAAACCACAATGAGATACAATGTCAAATCAGTCAGAATGGTGATTATTAAAAAGTCAAGAAACAACAGATGCTGGCGAGGCTGCTGAAAAATAGGAATGCTTTCACACTGTTGGTGAGAAAGTAAATTAGTTAAACCACTATGGAAGTCAGTGTAGCAATTCCTCAAGGATCTAGAACAAGAAATACCATTTGACCCAGCAACCCCATTATTGGGCATATACACAAAGGAATATTAATCATTCTATTATAAAGGTACATGCACACGTATGTTTATTGCAGCACTCTTCACAGTAGCAAAGACTTGGAACCAACCCAAATGCCCATCAATGATAGACTGGATTTTAAAATATGTGGTCCATATACACCACGGAATACTATGTAGCCATAAAAAGGAATGAGTTCATGTCCTTTTCAGGGACATGGATGAAGCTGGAAGCCATCATCCTCAGCAAACTAACAGAGGAACAGAAAACCAAACGCTGCATGTTCTTACTCGTAAGTGAGAGTTGAACAATGAGAACACATGGACACTGGGAGGGGAACAACACACACCAGGGCCTGTCAGGGGATGGGAGGTAGGGAGAGCATCAGGACTAATAGCAAATGCATGTGGGGCTTTATACCTAGGTGATGGATGGATTGATAGGTGCAGCAAACCACCTTGCCATATGTTTACCTGTGTAACACACCCGCACATTCTGCACATGTATCCCATAGCCTAATTTTTTAAGTTGCCTTATTTATCTATTTATTATAGTCAAAGTGCTATGCTTATTACATTGCAAATGGTTTGCTTCATTGAAATAACTATAATAATAGCAAAATATTTTTTTGGAAAGCTTAGTGTAAGTGTTTTGTGAAAATGAGCAAATATAAACAGAACTTAAATGGTTTAGTGAGTGTTTCAGATATAGCGAATGAAAAACAAGGACTGAAGTTTATGGTATATTGAAGGAATGTGATGGTAAAAAGATGTTCCAGGCATGTTATGAATAGCTGATTAAGGAATACAGAATTCCTTAATGGGGAGAAAGTGGAATCTGTTGAGCAAGATGGTAAACATCTCACTGCGATACTTCCAGAAAGGATAAGAAATGACATTTATTGAACTCCTCATTTTCTGAGGGTTTAAGGTCACACAGTGAATAAGTAAGTTTGGAAGGGGAACTAAGAAAAATTTCACTCCAGAGCTTGTGTTCCTTCTATTATACTGCATTGCAAGGCAATGTAGAATGAATAGAAAAAGAATCAATGTTTAGATTACTAGAAATATCCAAGTCAGTTAAAGGCCTGCTTCAGAATATAAAGTCAGGAAAGAGAGAAAATAACATTTTTGAGTTTTGTATTTTCACAGGAAAATAATGATGAAGTGTTATAGAAGCAAGGATGTCATGATCCACAGCTTGTAATTCATTTTGCTAGTGTGTGCTGGGGTGGATGGATGGTGATGGGAGGCCATAGGGCAGAGAAAATAATAAAAGCAAACCTCCTGAAAACACAGAATGGGAAGATGTTAAAAGTAGAAATTTGATTTTAAGACAGAATTAGACCCAGGACACATATGGAGTGTATTAAGATGCAGTAAACCAAGAAACATTTTTTTTAAGTGACAAAGTTGAAAAGGACAATAACTGAGAAAAGCTGCTTTATTTGTAAATTAAAAAGTCACTGTTGGCCTTTAGATAAGGAATCAAATGTCAACATAGGATCACTCAATAGAAATAAAAAAACAAGTTGCAGTGTGATGAAATGAATTGCTAGAACTAGACATTTCTTTCTCTTAACATAGTGTAGCAGCTTCATGAAATTTTGGAGCAGGGAGAGAGAATGCCAAAAGTTCCTGACACATTGAAATGACTCTATAAATATTTGTTGAATTGACTTCAATACAATTGAAATGTTAATGAAAAGTTTTAACAGCAGGTCATAACTTGTTCACTGTTTACTTCAGTGGAGGATATGAATGATCCTGACCAGACATCCTTGTAAAAATTTTAATGGCAAGGTACTATCAGAAAGAAATGGGAGTCCTTATCTGTAAGATATTTTAGAGGGATATATCTAGTCCACATAAATTGCTTAATGTCAATCTAGAAGTTATGGATTTATGAGATCTGGCTGACTGAAGAATGGAGGATAGTGATATAAGTGTAGTCCTATTGAATTAATAGAGTATACAAAGAAAAAATTTTAAAATCAGAATGACTTTGTTTTATGGTCAATGACTCAAAAAAACTATTCTATTAATAGGAAATTATAATTTGTTTCAATGAGAGATAAAGGAACATTCTAAGAAGCTGTATCAGATCCTTTTGGTTCCTCCAGAAAAAGAAGGTTTCTTTGCATCTGTTGCTTTCCTGTTTCATACGGATCATTAGTGAAGTTTAGTAGAATGTTCCTGAGACTGATTTGACAGCTAAACCTTTATAATAGCACAGGTGGTTACTGGGGGTCTTTCAAGACATTTAGTATTCATCTTTATTTATTTAGAATAAAGGCAGTGTTTGGTGTCATTAATATTACTGTTATACTGTTAAAATTATACTCGTGTCCCAAGTGAAGGCTTCTTTTTTTCTACCTCTTTCCATGCACTGAATAATTACACTTCCACTGGGATTTCTTGTTTAAAAGTGCATACCATATTTATATTTGGCTCAATTATTTTAGAATTGCCTTGTACTTCCCTTTAATTCAATAAATCTTATCCAAGATAAAACTAAGCTCCATTGAATACCTAAAGTGTCTCTGGGGACAGAGATATTTAATATGTGTGGTTATTTTACACACATTATCAGAAATGAACATCAGAGCACTCTGTTGAAGGGATGTTGGATTTTACCTAAGAGACAAATGGGATGTTAAAAAAAAACTTGAGAAAATTAATTTAAGTTACTCTCAGAAAATCTGAAACTCTTTTTTTTGCTCTGGGGTAATATCTTCACTCAGTTTTTTGCAAACGTTGGAAAATACGGCACATAAAATAACAAAACTTCTGCGTTTGAGCCAATGATCTCTCCCTTTTATTTCACTTACCCTCTTACAGTTTTCAGCATGCTTTTATTTTTATAATCTCTTCTTTTTTACTCTGTCAAATAGGTCATTTTTGTTTTCTACTTTTGTCTCACCCACCAAATATCTTTAGAAAATTGTTGATTTAATCAAATACAGATTTGATATGCCTCTAAAGGCAAAAAAAAGTAACTTCTCAGGAAATATGTGCCTGAGGTTATGTGTGTAGTTCTTTGTTTCCTCACTGATTTTGGTCCTTTTGTAAGTCAAGATAACCTAATGATCTAACTGTTATAAACACTGCACAGACTTCAAATCTCAACAATTTGGGAATTAAGCTATGAGCTTTTTCCATGACTTCTCATTCCAGGATCTATGCTTCAATCATTTTTTTTTCCCTATAAGAAAATAATGCTCACCACCGTGATATAGTTTTCCTGTGTCCCCACCCAAATCTCATCTTGAATTGTAGTTCCTATAATCCTCATGTGTGGTGAGAGGGACCCAGTTGGAGGTAATTGAATTATGGGGGAAGTTTCTTCCATATTATTCTTGTGATAGTGAGCAAATTCTAATGAGATCTAATGATTTTATAAGGGGCTTCCCCCTTTGCTCAGTTCTCATTCTTCTCTTTCCTGCTACTATGTGAAGAAGGACATATTTGCTGTCCCTTCTGCCATGACTGTAAGTTTCCTGAGGTCTCCCCAGCCCTGTGGAACTATGCGTCAATTAAATCTCTTTCTTTCATAATTAACTCAGTCTCAGGCAGTTCTTTATAGCAGCGTGATAACAGACTAATACACATTGCTTCATCAATTCAGTGATTTTCATGTAGTACGCAGTCATGTAATTAATAAGTATTTAACTATGAACGCTTTGCCAGGTTGTTTGCTATCTGTTCACAATAAAAAGGGTGTTAATTTATGTAATATTTTCCTCTAATATATTCTTATATATATAAAACAGCTCATTTTAGAAATATACATTTACTTCTGCTTTTAAAAAACTGGAGCAATTTGGGGTAAGCCAAAGCTTCCACAATTTAGGCTGCAGAATATCATTAAGTATTCTTGTTCTCAACTTTCAAACCTACATCCTCCCTCTCCTGTGGCCCATACACTCCTTTTCAATTTCTTTTTTCATTCAATTCAGAGAATAAACATGTGGCTTCTCTGGATTAAAGTTTTCCATGTATCAGATACAACTATCCAATCTACAGGCTTTCAAACTCTTTCCTTATTTGTAGCACATAGTCTACCCTTATTTTTTCTCTGGTACCTCCAAATCTTTATTCTCCTAGAAGCTTTTCTGGGTGGTTTTGATTTACTTTACATTTTTCTCCTTCTGAATACATGCAGTATTGAATATCCTCCAGTCTTTAAAATTAATATTAATTGCTGCATATATTCAGCATGGGGATTTAGTATACAAATGTAGAGTTTCTGGTTAAATATAGCCAATTGGCTATGCTTTAAAATAACTTCTTTTTTTGCAAAACTCTATACAATTGGCTTAATTCAATAAAAATTTTAAAAGATCAAGATGAAAAGAATAGGGTAAGAAATATATATATATATTTGTGTGTGTACATATATATGTGTATATATAGGTGTAAAAACATAGTTTTAAGATGAAAATTAGACTTATGATTGAATAATTAGTTATTATTAAATTTTACAAGTGTAGAAATTGCAAGGTAATATTTTTAATATTGCAGGTAGAGAAACTGGGTAATACCAAGCTTACATTACTTGCTTAAGGGTCTTCTCTTAACAAGAAAACCAAGTGGGCCTCAAAACAAAGTCTATTAACTCATATGACATTTTTTCCCAGTATAATACACAATCATGTCATTTGACTAGATAAATCTAAATCGCAAATAGCCTTATTCTTTCAGCAAGAAAGATTTTTTTATGTACTTTTTTGTGTTTCATATGCTGTGAAAAAAACAAAGAAAACATTGCTGAAGCATGTTGGGAAATATTTCAGTACCAAAACACTGAAAGAATAGACATATTATTCTTTGAGTTAAAGTATCCATAACTAGTGAATGAGAAGAATTATAAAAATATTTTGTCAAGTTCTTCTAAATCTCCAAAGAAAATGGTAAGCCTCAAGGATGAATTTTCATTGCATATTGAATTTTAAAGTAAAATAAATTTTAATCAGAGCTTTTGCTTGAGATTGGGATTGGACTAGGTGGATGGCAACAAGAAATTACTATGAAAGTTTCAAAATTATTGCTAGGAAGGTATACTATTTTCTGTTTCATTTAAAAATATTTGCTCAATAAGAATGATCTACATATCAGTAGTTCCTATGATTCTCTATTTCAGTGATATTTATGCTATTTAAAATGAGAAAAGAATTTATACAAATTTTTTCTACTCAAGTCAGGTGCTCAGAATTGAGAAAATAAGTCTAGGATCTTTACTAAAATATATTGATCATAATTAAGGAAAATGACTAGAGAGAGGAATTATGAATAAAAATGATAGATCTTGAGTTACCAAACCAAACGATGTTGTTTCCATGTTTCCAAAATTATTTGTGGTCAATTACAGAAATACACCATAGGAATCAGCAAGATAGAAATAACAGAATACTTTTAAACCAGTAAAAGCCTGAACATAGAAATGAGTGCCATGAAATTCACTACAGCTTTATAACTTGGAGAGCAAAATCAACTTGTAGCTTTCTGGCAGCCAAAGTACAATTATGCTCAGTTACAACTTTCAAAACTTATAAGTGGTGTTAGTTTTATGAACAAGTTTCAAAATTCATAACTCGTTCAAAAAATTAATATACCAGTACACTGAGGAATCATAAAGAGGGAAATGGTGCAATTCTGGCTTAAGTAAGGTGGAAATGCCAGCAGAAGGAAAAACAACACCATTGCCCAGAGATAAACAAGACAGTATTGAATTCACAAGGTTTCTCTAGAAGCCCATAAATAACTGAAATTACTTTCCCTTATAACTGAGTCGGCTCGCTCCAGGGAAAACTGCTCTTCTTGATAGTTTTCAGCAAATCAGTTTGCCAAGGGAGGGGAAAATAAAACAAAACAAATTTGTACATGTTTTTCTTTTCCATTGACTTTTTTGTTCATTTGTAACTCTCCATTTCCCTTTGAAGAAATCTACATGTGACTAATTTCTCTTATGTATGACTAATTCAGTTGTAGGTTTAACTAAATTAAACATCTATTTCTTCTTAATACTACTTGGAAAAATAAAAATTTTATTTTTTATTGTCATCTGAGAAATCAGATCTTGAATTTTTCCTTAATAAAAAGGCTCTTAGTGACTTTATAATAATCAATAGTCTTACAACATATATAATAAAAATCTCTATATGCAATTTACTATATTCCTCAAGTAGCTCATTTGTGCAACTACAAAATATATTTCCAAAAAGCAGTTCTATAGAGGAAGCAGCTACTTGTGCGGCTGTTTGATAGTCAGCATGATCTAACAATCAGATTTAGAATATCTTTACCAATAGCTCTAAAAGTTTAGTGTGAGTTAGATTCACTTTGACAGTTTTAAAGTGCAGATTATCCTCCCACAATCTCCAACCACAATTCTGCTTAGTAGGTTTGACATGTAATCAAGAAATACGACTGTTTAATAGCTAACAAGATGAACTTGATGCTTATGACCCAGGACAACACATTGAGAAACACTGATTGAGGTTTTTAAAAAAGTAGTTTGTACATCTCTAAGAAAACCTTTTGTACATGTTAGTTATCCTAACTGAAAATTTTATTAAAGTATGAATAGCATAGAATGTGTGATTATAGTCTCAAGCTTGGATTGAGGTAATCTTGGTTTGTGTAAATACATTCTATGATGTTTGCATGATTGAGTCATGAGTCCCTTAACCACATAGATGCATTCTGAGAAAAGTGTCCTTAGGCAATTTTTTCATTGTGCAAACATCATTGCATGTACAAATCTAGATGGTAGAGCCTACTATACACCTAGTGTACCAGTCTGTTTTCATGCAGCTGATAAAGACATACCCGACACTGGGAAGAAAAGAGGTTTAATTGAACTTACACTTCCACATGGCTGGGAAGGCTTCAGAATCATGGCGGGAGGCGAAAGGCCCTTCTTACATGGAGGAGGCAAGAGAAAATGAGGAAGAAGCAAAGGCAAGAACCCCTGATAAACCCATCAGATCTCATGAGACTTATTCACTATCATGAGAATAGCACGGGAAAGACCAGCCCTCATGATTCAATTACCTCCCCCTGGGTCCCTCCCACAACATGTGGGAATTCAGGAAGATACAATTCAAGTTGAGATTTGGTGGGGACACAGCCAAACCATATCACCTAGGTTATAGTGTGTAGTAGGCTATACAATTTAGGTTTGCACATGCAACGATGTCCAAAAAGAAAATCATTGTATGTTTATACATGCAATAATGGTTTAGCCTACTGTTCCCAGGCTACAACCTGTAGAGAATGTTAATGTACTGAATACTGTAGGCAACTGTAATACAATGATAGGTATTTGTGTATTTAAATATATGTAAGCATACAAAGGCACAGTAAGGATACAGTATAAAAGACAAAAAAAAAAAAAAGGTACATTTTCATAGTGCATTCTACTAAGCCAGTCTTGCTTTGCTATAAAGAAATACCGAAGACTGGGTAATTGATATAGAAAAGAGGTTTAATTGACTCACAGCTTCTTCGGGCTGTGCAAGCATGGTGCTGCCATAGCTTGGTTTCTGGGGAGGCTTTGGGGAGCTTTTATTCAGGGAAGAAGGAGAACCCGGAGCTTGTGCATTACATGGTGAAAGCAGGAGCAAGAGAGAGAGTAGTAGGTGGGGGAGGTGTCACACACTTTTAAATGACAAGATCCCATGTGAACTCAGAGCAAGAGCTCACTTACCATCACCGGGGGAATGGCACAAGCCATTCATGAGGGATCTGCCCCCACGATCCAAATACCTCCCACCAGGCCCCACCTCCAACATTGAGGATTACAATTCAACGTGAGATTTGGGTGGGGCATTCAAACCATATCAGGCACTTACCACGAAATATGCTTACAGGATTGGAAATTGCTCTGGGTAAGTCAATGAGTGAGAGGTGAGTGAATGTGAAGGCATTACTGTACACTACAGTAGACTTCATAAACACTGTACACATAGGCTATACTAAAGTTTAAAAAATAGTTTTTTCTTTCTTCAATAATAAAGTATCCTTAGCCTACTATAATTTTTTACTTTATAACTTTTTTTAATTGTGACTGTTTTATAATAACACTTAGCTTGAAACCCAAACACACTGTACTGCGGTACAAAAATGTTTTCTTTCTTCATATCCTGGTTCTATAAGCTTCGTTCTATTATTAAATTTAATTTTAAAAATTTTCAATTTGTAAATATGTTTACTAAAAACCAAGACACACATATTAACTTGGGCCTACCCACTATTGGATCATCAATATCACTATCTACCCCTCCACATCTTGTCCCATTGGAAGGTCTTCAGGTGCAATGACATACATGGAGCTGTCATCTCCTGTGATCACAATGCCTTCTTCTAGAATGTTTACTGAAGGAACTGCCTCAAGCTGTTTCACAGTTAACTTTTTAAATTTATATAAGTGGAAGTGTACATTCTAAAATAAGATAAAAAGATAGTGTAGTAAATACATAAGCTAATAACATAGTCATTTATTATGAAGTATTGTGTAAAAATATATGTACTAGGCTTTATACGACTAGCAGCACAGCAGGTTTGTTTAATCAGCATCATCAAAAACACATCAGTAATGCATTGCTCTGTGAGGTTAGCAGGGCAATAGGAATTCTTCAGCGCCATTATAATCTTACGGAACCATCTTCCTGTAAGAGGTCCCTTGCTGACTGAAACATTGTTACATGTCATATGACTGTAATTGCATTTACAATTGCATTATAACAAACACATGAAATACTCAGATATAACTTTAACAAAATTATTAAAATTTATACACACGGCTGACAGAAAGATCTAAATAAATGAAGACATATACCATGATCATGAATCATGAGAATTAACATTATTTAGTTTTTATTTTTTTGGATTTTACGTATACCATGATCATGAATCATGAGAATTAATATTATTTAGTTTTTATTTTTTTTGAATTTTATTGAGGTAAAATTGACAAGGTATATTTAAGGTGTTCTGATGAAAAGAAAAACTAAGGGTATGTTTTTCCTATTTTCAACACTCACATACTCAATACTTCTGTGACTCCAGATGTGTGATGGTTTTTCCTTATACACCAATCAATTATCCAGCAAATTATTCAGCAAACCCCAGCTGGCTGTCCTCTAATTCAATTTAATTCTGATACTTTTTACCTGGGTACAGCATCAGCTCTCTCAGGTTGAGGTCTCAGCAGCACAAGACTTTCCCCCAACTTCAGATGCTAGTTACACAGGCTGGGAGCTGTGTCTCTGGCCAACCAGCTAGAAATCAGGGTTCCCACAATCTCCTTATTGGGTTTTATTACCTTGCAACAGTACTTCAGAGAAAAATGTTGTAATTACACATATTCATTTATTATAAAGGATATCACAAAGATACAGATGGGCAGCGTGATGGAAGAGATGCATAGAATGAGGGCATGAGGTCCTCATTAGAATGAGGCAAGTGGAAAGAGGGGTGGAGCTTCCATGCCCACTTCAATTATCACCCTCCAGAAACCTCCATGTGTTCAGCTATTCAGAAGCTCTCTAAACCTTGTCCCTTTGGGGTTTTATGGAGGCTTTATTATATAAGCATAATTAATTAAATCATTGGTCTTTGGTGATCACAACTCAACCTTCAGCTCCTCCGATCTCCTTACAGGTTGGAAAATGGAGCTGAAAGTCCCTATTTTGTAATTCTGTCTTGCTCTTTCCAGTGACCAGCCCTACTCTAAAGTTATATAGAGGCTGCCAGCCACCAGTCATCTCATTAGCATACAAAAGACACCCTAATCATGTAGGAGATGCCAAGAATTCTGTGAGTCATATGCTGAAAGGGAGGAGAAAGACCAAGTGTATATCTCACACTATCACACGTGTACAACGCGATGTTTTGATATATGCATACATTTGGAAATGATCACCACAATTAATTAAATTAATGTGTCCATTACCTCACATAGTTACCATTTTTTTGTAATGAAAATGCATAAGATCTACCTTCTTAGTAAATTTCAAGTATATAATACAGTATTGTGACCTACAGTATAGTATAGTTATCAATACTGTTTAAATATCAATGTTCCCAAAATTGATCAAAAGATCAAGAAATACTAATCAAAATGTGTATAGTAAATGATTTTTCTTGCTTAAAGAGAGGTTTGATCTTTTGTTTGGCTCCTGAAAAATAACTTCTAAGCCTTTGGAATGTCCTACCCAATAAAGGTGTCTCTGTTTAGCTGCATGTTTATGGCCACACCAGATAGTCTGTGCTAACAACGTGATTTATGTTGTATAGTGGAGGATCTTGAGTCACATGTTATCAGCTTATCAGCTGGACATCTGAAGGAGTTGGAGGCTAAGGTCAGTAACATGGTGAGCAATAATTTTTATGTAATTGAATGCAATGAAAACTCTAGACATCAAAGCTGGGCTGAGCTTTCTGGTTGGTATAGTCCATGCATATTGTCACATATTCCTGCTTAGAGAAATAGATTCTCTACCCAAGACTCCACTGGGAGAGTAGAAAGGGAAGCTTCATAGCTAGGTATTTCCTGGACTTTCGTCTATGTGCTTCTTCCCTCTGCTGATTGCCATTTGTGTCTTTTTTGCTGCAATAAACCATAATCATGAGTTGAACCTGAGAGCAGTCTTGGAGATGTGGGAACCTGGACTTAAAAGTGAGAGTGTTCTTGGGGACCGTACCAAGTTAAATAATGTCCCGTAAAAATTCATGTCCACTTAGAACCTGTGAATATGGCCTTATTTGGTAATAAGGTATTGGGAAATACAATCAAGTCAAAATGAAGGAAACCTAAATCCAATGTTATTGATGACCTCATAAGAAGAGGGAAATTTTGACACAAAGATGCAAACACACAGGAATAATGCCATGTAAAAATGGAGGCAAAGACTGTAAGGATGCATTGACAAGCCCAGAAACTCCTAGGATTGCCTGTGATCACAAGAAACTAGGATAAGGCTGGGAAGCATAATTCTCTAGAGCCTACAGAAAGAGAATAGGGCTGCTGACACCTTAATTTTGCACTGATGGCCTCCAAAACTGGGAAAGAAGAAATTTCTTTTAAACCATCCAATTTGTGGTTATTTATTATGATAGCACTAGAAAACTAATATGAATCCCACATTTTGCAAAATTCTGTAAGGATTTTTGTAGAAACTGACTGATTCTAAAATATTTATGAAAAACAAATAACCTAGAATAACCCAAACAGTTTTGCAAAGGAAGACCACAGCTAGGAGAGTTATACCACTTTACTTGAAAGTATACCATAAAGCTACTTTTATCAAGACAGAATAGTATTAACATAGAGATATACATTTAGATCAATGGGACAGAACAGAATTCATGAAAAGACCCACAGATATATAATCAATTGATTTTTTTCAGCATGTTACCAAAAAAAGGTGGGGGAGAAGAGAGATAGTATTTTAACTTATAGCTCTGGAAAAACATAACAATTAGAGGGAAAAATGAATATCAATTCATTTTTTTTTTTTTTCCAGACAGAATCTCGCTCTGTCACCCAGGCTGGAGTGCAATGGCATAATCTCGGCTCGCTGCAAACTGTGCCTCCAGGGTCCATGCGATTCTCCTGCCTCAGCCTCTTGAGTAGCTGGGATTACAGATGCGCACCATCATGCCTGGCTCATTTTTGTATTTTTAGCAGAGTCGGAGTTTCACTATGTTGGTCAGGCTGGTCTCAAACTCCTGACCTCGTGATCCACCCACCTCGGCTTCTCAAAATGCTGGGGATTATAGGCGTGAGCTACCGTGCCCAGCCGTATCAATTCCTAAATAATAAACATTTACTTGACATGAATTATATATCTAAAAGTAAACTGTTAACTTATAAAACTTATGGTGAGCATAATACATAGGAGAAAATCTATGTGTCCCTAGTAGGAAAAAATACAATACAAACACATGTAAAAATAAATAGAAATGTAAAAACTGATTTTATAAGAATTGAAAACATCTACTCTTTGACTGACATCTTTTAAAACAAAAAGAAAAATCAGAAAAAAACAACTCAGTTCATGTATTTGGCAGGTTGATTTCTATCCAGAATATGCACATAATCTTTATATCACAATAATAAGATAACAAAAATTTTTTAAAATATAAATGTGTAAACTTTAATATGAAATTTCATGAAATAAATCATATGCTATATATGAATTGCTAATAAGCACATATAAAAGTGCTAAGCATTTTTTGTAATAAAAATGCAAATTAACATTGCAGTGTGATACACTATACATCTATCAGAATGTCTGAAATTATTATTATTTTTTTCTCATCCTATTTTATGGTGTGTAAAATGTCTGAAATTAAAGAGTGATAGGGTTGTCAAGGATATGGGGAAACCACAACACTCAGACTTTGCAGGTGGTAATCTAAAGTGATACATCCACTGTAAAAACTGTTTCTCATCAATTAACACATACACTAACTATATTCCCAGTCATTCTACTGTGATGTGCATGCACAAGTCTGCCCATGGATGTTCATAGCAGCTTCATTTATAATAGCCTCAAACTGGAAAGAAACCAAATGTCTATCACCAGGGAAATGGACAAACACAATGTTGCATGAACATACATTGTAATGCTAATCAGCAGTAAAAAAAAAAAAAAAAAAAAAAACTACCGCATTTTTGCAACTTAGATGAATCTCAAAAAATAATTTTCCTGAGTCAAAGAAGCCAAAAAAGTACACAGTGTGTGACCCCATTTTTATAAGATGCTAGAAAATGTAAACACATCTATAATTAACAAAGCCCATCAAGGTTTGCTTGGAGTAGAAGTTGTGGGTGGGATAGACTGCAAAGAAACATAAGCAAACTTTTGGTTGTGGTAGTGGTGTCGGGTGTAAATAGATGTTAAAGTCTATTAAATTGTACACTTTAAGTGGGTGCAATTTGTTATACATAAACTATATCTCAATAAAGCTTCTCTTTCCTAAAAAAAAGTGCCTAGTCAAAGCTTTCATTTATTAATTCTTACTTAGGAATAACAAAAGTTTTCCAGGTAAATTAGACTATAGTTATCTAAACTGGTAGCCAGAAAGCAATCAAAGTCTTATAATTCTACATAACAGAAAATGGCTTTTTAAATTTTAAAATGGAATATTTTTAAAGAAGTTATCATCAATTGCCTGGCTCTATTATCTGAAATTCATTATGAGGTATAGATTTGTTTTATACCTGTGTTACACCACGTTTACAGATAAATTATTTATATAGTTTGGGCAGGGAAACCTCTTACTTAAGATACATAAAATGGATTAAAGAAATTTATGACAAAATGTGGTTACTCTTCTCAGTTTTTAATATTCCACCAGACCAATTTGGATTTCCTGCTGGGTAGACTTACTCATAATTAAGCCCAGACCCTGATTCTTTGGGATGAAGAGTTGCAGCCTCATTCATATTTAATACTAACAGATTTCTTAGGCTACGGCAAGTGTACTAAAGAGGAATGAGTGGAACCTTAAGACACAGGATTGGGATATACAGACATACACAGAAGAGGTTGAGAAATTTGAACAAACAGATTCTCAAAATTCTCTTGCTTTAGAGACAGCTTAATGCCTTCTCCTCCAAGAAAGTCAACCTTAATATGCGTACAAAGAAATAAAGAAAGAAAAAAATAGTGAAAGAAAGAAAGAAAAAAAACAATGACAAACACTTTTATTGACTGCCCTTGGGTAATTTATAATTTTTCTCAGGACAAATCCTCATGGTGCGTCATTGCCTGGGCTTTTAAGAAGAGCTAGAGCTCTTCTTTTTTTTTTTTTTTATCTTTTATTTTCTTTTCCTTACGATTTTCTTAATAACATTGTCTTTTCCCTAGCTTACTTTATCATAAGAATATAACATACAATCCATGTAACTTATGAAATATGTGTTAACCAACTGTTCATGTTTTCAGTAAGGCTTCTGATCAGCAAAAGTGTTACAGGTTTTTCTTATCATTTATTGGTAGAAGGCTGAGGAGAATGTATGAAATTCCTAGGATGTTTTAAGAAGAATGAAATACAACGCTCGATGGGGCCAAATACCATTATAGTTACCCTCACTCTGCATTCAGGGTTTAATGCCACAGCCTAAAAAGATGGAAGTGTTGGCTGGGCACTGTGGCTCACGCCTGTAATCCCAGCACTTTGGGAGGCCAAGGCAGGTGGATCACGAGGTCAGGAGATCAAGACCATTCTGGCCAACATGGTGAAACCCCGGCTCTATTAAAAATACAAAAATTAGCTGGATGTGGTGGCATATGCCTGTAATCCTAGCTACTCGGGAGGCTGAGGCAGGAGAATCACTTGAACCAGGGAGTCAGAGGTTGCAGTGAGCTGGGATCGCGCCACTGCACTCTAGCCTGGCGACAGAGAGACTCTATCTCAAAAAAAAAAAAAAAAAAAAAGATAGAAGTGTTGTTTATAGTCTACTAGATTGGCTAATCAAATTCTGGACTTAAATGACTTTGTATTAATGAAATTGAAATACCAGCACTCTTCTGGTAAACAGTGAAGTTGCAAGTCTCTGAGAATGACCATATAGCAATGGATCTATTTTGTCAACTTGTTCAGTGACTTTTTATCCATGCCCGGGAGGACCTGGAGTCTATTACTTACATAAGACATTGCAAGTGTATTAGTAAGAGGGCATTAGTATCCTCAAAAACTCTACGGTGCTTGTCCTTTGTAGGCAGGAGTTAATGGTGATGAATGCTGTTATTAAGTAGTTTTTCCTAATTTCAAAGGAAATAATGAAATTCAGAAACTGTAGAGGCCAAGGGGTAGCAATTAACTGTTTGAAAAAAATCAGGTGCAGTGATCACAATAGGCCTCAGAAACACACTAGTAATGAGAGTATCTTATCATGCAGATATTGGAGACCTCTAACTAATCACTGGATCATAATAAATGGAAACAGCTTAGTCATTTACTAAGATGATATACAGAGGAGAGAAATTTTAGATTTTGTGTGAAGGCCCCATTCTTTGAGGAAGCCCAAATAGCCCTGTAAAAGGCTATGGCTGAGTTCCCAGTCACAGTAGCCTTAATCTGTCAGTAATGTGAGTTAATCACCTTAAAACTGGATCCCTCTGCCCCAGTTGAGTCACTCTGTCTCATGTCTTATGAGTCAGACAACATTTTCCACCCCCTGAGATTGTTCCAGATTCATGAGCAAAGTAAATTATTTTTGCTATTTTGTCATTAAGTTTTGGAGTAGCTTTTAATACAATAATAAATTATTAGAGCAGGCATATTGGAATTTTCCTCCATACTGAGATATAAGCTGCTATTCCTTGCACTGCCCACTGCAAGATAAAATGGCATAACCTCTGGTGAAACTCTTAGAATTTTAGAGATAACCTGTACGACATGGGGCTACACTGCATCAACCTATTTTGAGAAGTATGTCATGGTTTCCTACTAAGCACTCATAAGAACTAATGTCTAACCTTGAACCCTAGGTGACTGTGACTTTACCTGCTCATCATGAGCTTGCTAATATAGTATCTACCGCATAATAAGTTTGGACAGGAGTCTGCATAATAAGTATGCACCAAGAGTCCATTGTTAAATGGAAATGGTATGTGTGAGACTCATTCTATGCATCTTGTTCAATCTTTATGTGAAGCCTCATGATGAGTGCTCCATGAGCTAATAAATGAAGAACAAAAAGCATGGACCTGAATTAAGAATCGGTTTGCCCAGCATACTGCCCCAAATGCATGTGAGTACTTCCTTTGTCATAGCCCTATACAGAGGTGACCCTAAAGACAAGGTAAAGTGAAATCTTCCAAAAGGGCAGAAACATCTGCCTTGTAGACAGTACATTAGGTTGTCCACACTGCATGGAAAGGAATAAGGTCTGAGGTTTGTATTTTAACACATGGACAGTGATTGATGGCACAGATGCCTGAACAAGAGCTTGGATAGAACAAAATTATTTAATTGGTAACATAGACTCCTAGGGGAATGGTGCAAAGGGTAATTGATTCTGATTATTTTGGAGGAACTTAACTTGGTATTACAAAATGGGGACAAGAAAAGATATTTCTGGAAATCAGGGCATTCAATGAAATAACATTTAGTTCTCTCCCTTAATTAAAGCCTTGCAGCTATTCAGGGAACCCTTACTTAAGGAAAATGGATGAGGCTGGGCGCAGTGGCTCACTCCTGTAATCCCAGCACTTTGGGAGGCCAAGGTGGGTGGATCACTTGAGACCAGGAGTTTGAGAGCAGCCTAGCCAACAAGGCGAAATCCTGTCTCTACTAAAAATACAAAAATTAGCTCTGTGTCATGGCGTGTGCCTGTAATCCCAGCTACTCAGGAGGCTGAGGCAGAGAATTGCTTGAACCTGGGAGACAGAGGCTTCAGTGAGCTGACATCCCAGCACTGCACTTCAGGCTGAGCAATGAAGCAAGACTCCATCCAGAAAAAAAAAAGAAAGAAAAGAAAAAAGAAAAATGGGTGAATCTCAGTAACAACAGCAAGCATTGTGGCGTTCTAAGTGGCCCTCTTTTTATCTCCTTTTTCCCTCTTCATTGTAGCCTTAAAAACCAACAGTCTGCAAACAACTGAATAATAGCTACTGAAGAGGGGTAAGAAGTTGGGCCTCCTGAACTTACCTGTTCCCAGAGAACCATCATTGTTCAACGAGTCTGCCATATCCCCACACCCATCTTCAAAGTAGTCTTTATTATGTATGACTTGAAGCTTACCTAATGAGAATAAACTTTTCCAATGGTGCATTTTCAAGAACAATCAAAGGAAATAGTTTAAGACTGTGAGTGCCCAAGGAAGGAAATGATGGTTGGAGACAACAAGAGGTTAAAGGAAACACTTAAAATAAAAATCAAAAATCTGGTGAAATGAGATGTCTGTAGAGAACTTCAGAATGCTCCAACATATTCTTGGAAATCTAAAATGCTGTATGCATACTTAGGGCTGTACCCAGACCTGTGTGTATGCACAGGGTAGAGCTGAGAAGGCCCTAAGCTCTTGCTGACAAACCTTAGCGCTCGTTGCAAGCAGAAAGTGAAGGCTAAGTAAGACAAAGATGTAAACTGTCACCTGAGTACTGAAGGTATGCATCAATGTGCCCAGAGACCCACTCAGCAAAGACTGAGAGACTTCTTGGTTTCTGGAATTTAAGGAAAGTCTATCCACTTAGTCTAACCACTAAGCTAGACAAGCAATGACTTCAATAATCAAGTAGGACAAAGAATCCACACTTTACAGAATTATTTTATAGAAGTCACTAAACAACACCAATAAATAGCAACAAAAACAAGCCCTGGGGTGGGAGAGCCTCTGTTTTCCAGAGTTGCCACAATATGTCTGTTAAAATGTCAAATTTTCTAACAAAATTTAAGAGACACTCAAAGAAAAATGAAGATGTGACTCATAGCTACAGATGTAGGGGGCAGTTAATAGAAACTATTCTCAAGAAGTTTAGATATTAAAATGACTACACAAAAACTTTAAAATCAGCTATTTGAGTATATTCAAGAAACTGAAGGAAACTTTGTTCAAATAACTAAAGGAAAGCATAAGAACAATGCCTCACCAAACAGAGAATATCAATAAAAATGTATACATAAAAAAATCAAGTCAAAATTCTGTACTTGAAACTTACAAAAACTTCCATGAAAAGTTCAGTAGAAGAACTCAACTGCATATTTGAGACAGAAGAAAGAAATCATAAAATTGAAGCTTAGTCCATTAAGATTATGTAGTCTGAGGAAGACAGAGAATAAAGAAACGATAAAGAAAAATGAACAAAGTCTTAGGGACCTGTGTAATTCAACAAGCATACCATCATATGCATGATGGGGTGCCAGAGGAGAGTAGAAACACACAAATTTTTGATTTAAAAAAATTAATCTATACATCCAAGAACCTCAACAAACTCCAAATAGGATGAACTCAAACAGACCCACACGTGACACATCAAAATGACACTATTAAAAGGCAAAGAAAAAATCTTGAGGGTAGCAAGAGAGAAGTAGCTCATCACATACACAAAAACCCTCAATAGGATTAATAGGTAATTTCTTAGAAGACACTCTGGAGGCCTAAGTCAGTGAAAGGACATATTCAAGAGCTAGAAGAAAAAAAGTCAACCAAAGACTCTATAACCAGCAAAATTACCCTTCAGAAATGAAGAAGCATTTTAATACAGTCTTATATAAGCAATTAAGAAGTAACTTGTTACTAAGCAGACCTGCTCTATAAGAAATATGAAAGGAAGTCCTTCAGGCTGAATAGAAAGGACATTAGAGAGTAACCCAAATGTACAGAAAGATAGAAAGAGCACTGGTGAAAGTAGCTACATAGGTAAATATAAAATATATAAATATATTTTTTATTTCTATCTTTTTTCTCTTTTCTGATATAAAAAGGCAACTCTTTAAATAAATAATTATAAATCCGTGTTGATGAGAATACAATCTATAAGGAAGTAATTTGTATAATAATAGCACAAAATGAAAGGAGAAAATGGAGTAAATGTTTTGTATAATATTGAAAATAAATTAGTACTACTCTGTATTATACTGATATAAAGTAAAGGAATAATGATAATTCCCACGACAATCACTGGGGGAACAATATCAATAGGTATTTATAGATAGATAGATATGGGTAGGTAGATATAAAATTAATGATTAGGAAATGTAAGTAATTACATTGAGATATAACTTCACACACAATAAGATGGGTATTAAAACAAAGACATGCAATAACCAATATTGAAGGGCATGTGGATAAATTGAAACTTCATACATTGCTGATGGGAATGTAAAATGGTGCAGCTTCTTTGGAAAACAGTTTGATAGTCCATCAAAATATTAAGCCTAGAGTTATCATATGACACAGCAATTCCACTGTTAGGAGTGGAACCCAAGGGAAATGAAAATGAAGGACTGCATGAAAACATACACATGCATGTACATAGTAGCATTACTCACAATAACTGAAAAATAGAAACAACTGAGGCTGTATTCAATTTATTTTCTGAGTCCACGAACAAGTTCAGTGCTTTGAGGAGAGAGTAATTGTAGGAATGGTAGGGTTTGAATATGTTTCCACTTCAAAATTCATTGAAACTTGAATTCCCAATGTAATAATATTAAGAGGTAGGCCCTTTAGGAGGCAAATAGGCCATGAGGGTGAAGCCCTCATGAATAAGATTAATGTCACATGTAAAGACTGGAGGGAACTAGCTAAGCCCTTTTGCCCTTCCATCTCTGTCGTGTGATAACATAGTGTTTGTCCCCTCTGGAGGACCCAGCAACAACGTACCAACTTGGAAACAGAGATCAGGTCCTCATCAGACACAAAACTTGCTAGTGCCTTAATCTTCCATTTGCAGTCTCCAGAACTGTAAGATAGAAATGTGTCCTTTGAGAATTACCCAGCTTCAGGTATTTTGTTATAGCAGCTGGAATGGATTAAGACAATAACACCCAGCTACTCGGGAGGCTGAGGCAGGAGAATCACTTGAACCAGGGAGGCAGAGGTTGCATTGAGCTGAGATTGCACCACTGCACTCCAACCTGGGCAACAGAAAGAGACTCTGCCTCAAAAAAAAAAAAAAAAAAAAAGAACAAAGTTGCAAATGCTATTTTCATAATTAGTCTTATGAACACACAGTATAGTCTGTGCTCATTAGGATTTTTTATTTTAAAATATGTAATTGACAAAGATTGTATATGTTTAAGGTGTGCAACATGATAATTCGATATACATATACTTTGTGTAATGTTTATCACAAACACATTGATCACCAATCATGCTGTATATTACAACCTCAGAATTTGTTTTGCTTCCATAGTGTTTTTCATAATGGCTGGACTAGTTTACACTGTCATCAACGGTGTACAAGGATTACGTTTTCTCCGTACCCTCACCAACACTTGTAATCACATGTCTTTTTTATAATAGCCCTCCTACCAGGTGTGAGATGATACCTCATTGTGATTTGATTTGCATTTCTCTGAATATTAGTGATGTTGAGCATCTTTACACTTACATATTGACCATTCGCATGTCTTCTCTGGAAAAATGTCTATTCCTGTTATTTGCCCATTTTTTAATTGGGAAAATTATTTGTGATTTTTTCTTTCTTTTACTTTTTATTTTGTTATGTTTTTACTATCGAATTGTGTATATATTATAGATTATATATTTTGAATATTACCTCTTTAACAGAGAGATGGTTTGCAAATATTTTCTCTCATTTTATAGATTGACAGGCTGTGCTCTTTGATTCCCAGGTGAACAACTATTATCTAGAATGGTAGATTTGAACATTGCTTCTACTTATTTTGGGGAAAGAGAGCTTCCTGCTCTCCCTTGGCCTCTGGTGCACCAGCTGCTATATGCCATGAATCAGGACTGGAGCAACAAGCAGAATAAAATTTGTCTTTGAGTGTATCTGAAACATCCTCTGCAGATGTCCAGAAATCTCTTAGGGATGATTTGCAGAGAACCAAAATACATTTGTCAAGAAGTAGGGCTGACACATCAGCAGAATGTAAAAGTTATAAAATGCAGCCATGTATACCTAAGGATTTGAAGTATGTTTAAAATACATAGGAAAAAAAATCAGGCCAGGGGAGCTGGCTCACACCTGTAATCCCAACACTTTGGGAGGCTGAGGCAAGTGAATCCCTTGAGCCCAGGAGTTCGAGACCGGCCTGGGTAACATGGTAAAACCCCATCTTTACAGAAAATACCCACCCTCACACACACACACACAAAAATTAGCTGGCATGGTGGTGTGTGTCTGTATTCCTAGTCCCAGCTGAGGTAGGAGGATCACTTGAGCTGGGGAGGTCAAGGCTGCAGTGAGCCATGATCGTGCCATTGCACTCCAGACTGGGTGACAGAGTGAGACCCTATCTCAAAAAGAAAAGAAAAGAGAGAGAGAGAAAAAAAAGTTCACTATGATATGATGTCTCCAATGCTGACCTCAACTTGTCAAACAACATAATAATCCAAAGAGTAAACAAATGTGTTGTTCTATTTTGTAGTTACTCAATATATTCAGTCTGTTAAGAGAACACATGTGAGAGAAGTCCTCCTATTATTGTAAGTATTAAAATAGGCCCCTAACATGGAAGCTTTGTCTATATTCTGACTTTAAGTTAGGATCTATCATAAAGACATTGTAAATGTATCACAGATGCACATACTAAATGACTGAATAAGATGAATGCTTCATACATATTTATGGACAAACCCCAAAAACCTTTTGAAATTTTTCCATATCTGGAGTTAAAACAAAAACCTCAAAAAACTGTTATTCCTAAAAGCAAATTCAATGGTTACTAAAATATATCATAGTTGACTAAAATTACTGCTTGAAAGTCACCTTATGGTTTTATCTCAAGATAGACACAAAGAGCTAAGTACTTATTTCTTTTTCTTATAAAATCATGAAACTCTATCATCACTTTATTTATAATGATTTTCTGAGAGTAAAAGGCAGAAAGGAAATTGCACTATATTACCCTAATATCAGTGTTCAGGGACACTGAGAAATTTTAATAGTTATAAACAAAATTTTAGAATTAAAGAGATCAGAGGGAGCAAAGTGTTTTATACTCAACCTTATACCTCTCATTTCAAGTACCTCAGAAAATAAAACTATCTTGGAAGCGGCTATAAAATGTGAATTTTAGAAGGCATTGACACAAAATTTTATTTTTAATTTACTTAATTCAAGCAAAAATTCTCTTGCAAAAATTCAAGCAAAAAGTCTCTTCATCTATATCACCTCTTCAGTAGGTGATTAAGAAATCTAACATATATTTCACTCCTTTATAATGTTCTCATTTGCTTTATGGTTGATTATTCAAATATTTTGTCTTCTATTTATATTAAACATATTTTGATATAGTGAACATATATTTTGCTATTAAAATAGTCAATATGGTTTTAATATGAAATGTGGTAAATAAAAACAAAGGCTTTCAGCTAAATTATACATCAACCTTCAGCAATTGTTCTTAAGTAATCTATTTAGTAATGATACATAATTTAAGCTCAACTTCATTTAATCTATTTTTTCCCCAAAAACCTTCAGGAGGTCTTCAATGCTTACTATGTTAGGGACAAAGTCCTTAGGTAGGCATTTTATTTCTTCTACATTTTTCTTTCTTACTCTTTTTCTTCCTCTGTCATTCTCTCTGTACTAAGCTTTCTTGCTTGCATTTAGCTATTTTTCAAGTTTTCTCTTCCACATTAATCTCTTGTTTTGAGAAGACACATTTCAAACTTATCATAAATGTCATCTGTTTTATATATTCTATATATGAATTCCTGATTATATGACTAATATGTGCTCATTGTAAGCAATGTTAAATATTGTCATAAATGTCATCTGTTTTACATATTCTATATATAAATTCCTGATTATATGACTAATATGTGCTCATTGTAAGCAAAGTTAAATGTTCATACAAAATGAACAGGACAATCTATCATAACGTCATAATGTCAGAGAGATATAATAATTTTCTGACAGCTGAAAGGGCAAAAGAATAACATGCTATTTTGGTTTGTAATTGCTGCTATAACAAATTATTATAATATTTCTTGCTTAAAACAACAAATAAGGATTATCATACAGTTCTGGGGGTCAGAAATACAAAAATCCAAGAGGTCTTATGGGCTAAAATCAAGATGCTGGCAGGGTTGTCTTCCTTCTGGAAGCTCTAAGGAAGTAATACTTTTCCTTGCTTTTCACACATCTAGAGGCTGCCTGTGTTCCTTGGCCTGTGTCCTCTTTACATCTTCAAAGGCAGCAATCTCACTGCTTTACCTAAAGCTATGATCATAGCATCTCCTCTCTGACTCTGATTTTCCTGCTCCTCTCTTCCATCTTTTAAGGGCCTTTCTTACCTTGGGACCAGTGAGGTAATCCAGGATGACCTCCCAGTCTGGAATGTCCTTCTGCAAAATTCCTTTTGAATGTAAGGTAATATATACACAGTTTCCAGAGAGTAGGATGTGTGTATCATTAAAGACCACTATTCTGCTTACATTATGCACTAAAATGTAGCCCATGGAATTAATATAATTAGCAAAGAGCTGACAATGGAGCCTCTAATCAAATTAATTTTTGTTTTGATTGTGTTTTTAAGTCAATATTTGTTGATTTCTGTCATCTGCAGCAAAGAATCTCAACTGATTGGAGTGCTTCTTAGCCTGATATAGAATCCCATTCTTTATCCCTAATTTTTTTGTACAATTGTGTACACACCAATGTTGTATCAGTGGTGCTTAGAGAATAAAAATAAGGAGAGCTTGTAAACAATCATATGGGGAGTGGTATATAGCCAACAAGGGTGGTGATGAACAGATGTGATTAAGATTTAGGGAATAGGCCCGGTGCAGTGGCTCACACCTGTAATCCCAGCACTTTGGGAGACCGAGGAGGGTGGATCACCTCAGATCAGGAGTTTGAGACAAGCCTGGCCAATATGGTGAAACTCTGTCTCTACTAGAAATACAAAAATTAACCAGGTATGGTGACGGGCACCTGTAGTCCCAGCTATCTGGGAGGCTGAGGCATGAGAATCACTTGAACCCGGGAGGCAGAGGTGGCAGTGAGCTGAGATCGCCCCACTGCACTCCAGCCTGGGTGACAAGAGCGAAACTGCATCGCAAAACCAAACCAAAACAAAACAAAAAACAAGAAAGGGAAGAAGGAGGAATGGAGGGAGGGAGGAAGGGAGGGAGAGAGGAAGGAAGAAAAAGAGAGAAAGAGGAAGGGAGGAAGAAGAAAGATTAGGATCAAACCTTAGATCAAGAATTCTTAAAACTATTTGGTAAAAAATAGAACTCCCTGCATAAATACTTGTGGCTTGGATTGTAGTTGTTTCTCCTGCCTTCCTCTCTTTCACTCTCTCTCTCAATGTCATCTATCTATCTTTTTATCTAGTATCTGTCTCTCGTGTATATATTTATACACACAGAGACACATCTTCTTATTCAGAAATAAGACCATTCAGAAACATTCAAAGAGAAGTTTATCTGCTGCAAGTTTTCTCAAAAATACACACAAGCACAAGTGCATAAAATTTCTTCTGCCTAAAAAGCAGTAATATTAATTTGCTGCTTGAGAAAGAAAAACGTGAAAATGAGAATAAGAACATCTTTTTAAAGAAAGGATTCAATTTTAATTAAAGAATAGCTATAAAGCTATTCACTTATATGTAAAACTGTTATTTATTCATACACTGTGCTGTCAAGGAAAACAGAATTTATGGCTAGTAAAATAAATAAACAATTCTACTTGGCTCTCAAGATGAAGTAAAGGTTTTACTTGTAATATTAGTATACATTTGACCTTGTAATATTCAAATTATTTTGACCAGGTAATATTACATGGTCGCATTTTATTATAATTTGACCATCTTTTTTTTTCTAGAATAACAGGTGAAAGCATTCTTTCTTGTGTTTTCTTACCATACAATGGAAAGAAATAAACACTACTGCTATAGAACTATTTTTAATATAGATAATGTTGCCTATTAAAATTATAAATATATATGTATAGATATCAATATTTGTGAAATATGACTTGTATAATTTAAAAAAATAGTAGAAGAAAACAGTGCTGGCCAGGTGCGGTGGCTCATGCCTATAATCCCAGCATTTTGGGAGGCTGAGGCAGGCATATCACTTGAGGTCAGGAGTTCGAGAACAGCCTGATAAACATGGTGAAACTCCATCTCCACAAAAAATACAGAGGCAGAGGTTGCAGTGAGCTGAGATTGTGCCACTGCACTCCAGCCTGGGTGACTGAGCAAGTCTTTGTCCCAAAAAAGCAAAATAAAACAGGGCTGATGTAAGAGTTAATGATAATTCTTAACTACCTCCCACACAAATGAGCTTCTAAGGACTTTACTATTGAATTTGTCATGTCTTTTTGCCTTGTGTTGAAAGTTACATATATAGCATCACCATATACAGCGTATTGTTACTGTATTCCTACACTTTCCTATTTATATGTTTAAGTTGTTTATGTGTTTTGAAAATTTAGCATAACACAAATTCGAGTTATTATTTGTGCATGTGAATTTGTGTCTAAATATGTATTTGGTAGTGTTTTCTAGCAGTGATGTGGTTTCATGCACTGTATTGCAGGAATCTTTTTCAGGAGCAAGAGTGAAGGAAGCAAGACAGGCACAGTGAATAGGTACACGCTGAGAGAGAATATAGTCTCAGAGAACTCAGCCTTGGCTTCATTCACAGGAGAATCTGGAACATAAATCTCACCAAAAAGTTGCCTTCACTTTGAGGCATTGTGGCCAGACTTTTGTATTTCCATATAATTAAATATTGAAAGCAGTATGCCTGTGGCATGGGAAGGAGCTCTCCTGGGTAAGGAAGCTCTTTTCAACCAAGGATTGTGGTCCTAATGAAGGGGATGGTTGTGAGCCTATTAGCAGCCAGCACTAACAGCAGCTGCAGAGTGAGTAAGTTACCAGAAGGCATTGGCTTCAGCTCACCCATCACCCCACTGAAAATCACTTTGTTCTCAATTTATGTTCACTGGATCCAGACACAGCTACTCCAGGATTCTAAATCACCACAATTCCTAGGAAGAGTTAAAAGTGGAAGGTTAATGCGATGAACCACAGCCCCTAATGCTGCAGTCAGTCCTGAGGACTGACCTGATACTCATCTCCCTTCTCTACCACAGTTAAATGACACTGATCTTTGCTAGCACTTCTGTTGGTCTAGGTGGCTTGTGGGTGAAGATTCATAGATACTATGGCCTATCTACCATCTACTATCATAGATTCCTGGATACTGTGACCTTATTAAGTTGTGGTTGTTCCACTTTCATATTGAGAATAAGAACTGAGCATGGGATTATCAAGAAACCCTGCAGTAGACCACCTGATTGCCAAACACTGTCCATCTTATGTAGCAGCCATCACCTGCCAGGTAAGAGGCAGAGACTGCTGTGAGCCGAGATTGTGCCACTGCACTCCAGCCTAAGTGACCACATTCCTGTCCATCTTATGTAGCAGCCATCTTACCTGCCAGGACCAATTACCCTGGCTGTTTTACTAATTCCTTTTTATGCCTGCTAGGTCATTGGCATGAAGAGTTCAAGGAGAACACTTGGCAACTGTAGCTTTAAGTATAATGAGATTCTTATTGTGTTCCCTGCTGGAAAGTGAAGCATAAATTCTGCATGTAGAAATGATGGAGAGCAGTGCCTGGCTACCTCCACTCCTGGATCCTGAATCCACACATTCTACCTGCTGGAGACAGCACCTCATAACCATCGTTTTAGGACTGTATAGAAGCATGAAGCATAGCTTCCCATTAAATGTGGATATGAGTAATGTGCATATGATGGAATCCATGTATCTGCATCCTTAAAGTCTTTGACAGTGGCACTAAGTTCTGCTATTCCTCTGGGATGAAATATTGTTTCTAATTTGTTCTCTTGGCCAGGGGCTATAATGGCCCGGTGTGAAAATTTCAGGGACTTCCATTTGGCCTTTGCTATGACAATCACTCTTACTCGAAAGATCAAGGAATCAATGTGAAGAATAGATTAACTGCTAAACATACCCGTTTTGATTTTATTTTCAGTCAGAAAAATAACCACTGTGTTAGTTCCTGGCCTCAGTGAACTGTGCTGAGATGGACCTGAATCAAGACTCCGTGAATTAGCTGAGTCCATATGTCACCCCACTAAGCGAAAGGTCACGGTGGTGATTGGGGTTTCAGGATAAATTCAGAACACATGAGTAGTAGTCCCTATTATAAATTTTGCATGTTGCTTTTTTTATAGAGTATTGTTATTTGAGCAAATGATTGTGATGCTTTTGGAGAGACTGGGAAAATATCTAGTGCATATATTCGCCAGGCTATTACAATGGCCTTCTCTGAGAAACAGCTGCTCCTTCAGTAGTAGAAAGGATGATGCTCAAATGGTTTTATTGTTTTTGTTGTGGTGTTTAAAAGGAGCAACATATACACAACACACACACACTCACACAAGTGCACAAAACTTATTACCTCAAATCTTTATTAAAATGTTGCAATATGAGAAAAGCTCTAATTAGAACTCTAATCTGAAAAGTGGAAGGGAATTTAAAGATTTTTATACTGATTGGGATAATCACTGAAATTCAGGGTATTCCAGGAATAGCTCACAAATCTCATTATGCCAACACTAACTTTACAGTAATTGTCCAGAAGTCAAACCTATTTTTCAAATGTAAAATCTTTATTTGTTTTAAATCACAACATACTTATTTATACTTTAAACTGGCCAATGATTATTTACTTCTCACTTCTTACACACCAAAATTTTTTAGGCACAAGGAAGAAAGGGAAAAACAAACAAACATTTCTTTTTTTTTTTTTTTTTTTGAGATGGAGTCTCACTCTGTCACCCAGGCTGGAGTGCAGTGGCGTAAATCATAGCTCATTGCAACCTTAAACTCCTGATTTCAGGTGATCCTCCTCCCTCAGCTTCGTGAGTTGCTGGGTCTACAGGCACCTGCCACCACATTTGACTAATTGTTTTTCTTCTTTGAGAGACAGAGTCTCACTTCATTGCCTAGGGTGGTCTTGTACTCCTAGGCTCAAGTAATCCTCCCAAAGTACTAGCATTACAGGTATTAACCACTGCACCCAGCACCAAATTCTTGACCTAGAACAGTTTAATCAATATATTATATTCTTTGTGGATCCAGATGTATTATATTGAACTTATAAAAGTATCATTGCCAATTAATTTCAACAAATACTAACATAGTAGTTATATAATGTAAATTCAAAGACTATACAAGGCCAGGAAAAGAATCAGTGAACTTAAAAATAGGTCAATATAGACTTTGCATATCAAAATACAAAAAAAAACTAAAAAATACAGAACACAAAATCCAAGAATGGGACAATTTCAAAAGGTCAGCATATATGTAATAGAATGCCAGAAGGAGAAAAAAAAGCAAATGGACAAAGAGAAATATTTGAAATTATAGTGGCTTAAAATTTCCAAAATTAATGACACTCACCAAGCCACAGGTCCAGGAAACTCACAACACCAAGATAAAAACAAACAAAAAAATTTTGAAAATAAAATAAAATAAAAATACCTAGACATATCATAATCAAACTACAGAAAACCAATGACAAAAAGAAAATCTTTTTAAAAATGGAGATTCAGGACAGCTTACCTACACAGGAAAAAGGACAGGAGTTAATGTGGACTTCTCATCGGAATCACATTAGCAAGAAAAGAATACAGTAAAATATTTTAAGATGTGAGAAAAAAACCAAAACACTAATCAAGAATTCTATTTCTGGGCCAGGCGCGGTGGCTTACGCCTGTAATCTCAGCATTTTGGGAGGCCGAGGCGGGCGGCTCATGAGGTCAGGAGATCGAGACCATCCTGGCTAACACGGTGAAACCCCGTCTCTACTAAAAATACAAAAAAATTAGCCGGGCGTGGTGGCGGGAGCCTGTAGTCCCAGCTACTAGGAGGCTGAAGCAGGAGAATAGAGTGAACCCGGGAGGCGGAGCTTGCAGTGAGCCAAGATCACGCCACTGCACTCCAGCCTGGGCGACAGAGCAAGACTCCGTCTCAAAAAAAAAAAAAAAAAAAGAAGAGTTATATCTCTGGAGAAATGTCTCTTCAAAGGAGATGAATAAATAAAGATTATCTTATATAATATAAACTGAAGTTATGCATCAGTAGCAAATCAGCCCTGCAAGATGTGCTAAAAGAAGTTTTTCAGGGAAAAGCAAAATTATATAGGTCAAAAAATTAAAAAGTCATAAGGAAAGGAAGACCACTGATTATGAAATAAATGAAAGAAAAATAAAGTGTTAATTTTTTAAATTGATCAAAAATTTAACCGATTTTAAAAATTTCATTTAATTTTAAGTTCTAAGATACATGTGCAGGACGTGCACGTTTGTTACATAGGTAAATGTGTGCCATGGTGTTTTGCTGCACCTATCAGTCCATCACCTAGGTATTAAGCCCCACATGCATTAGGTATTTATCCTGATGCTCTCCCTCCTCCTCCTATCCCCTGACATGCCCCAGTGTGTGAAAAATATAACTGATTTTTGAAATAATAATTATAACAAGGTATTGGGAAGTTACATATCGTATGGATAAGTTTTATGAGTCACAGTAATATCACAAGGCATAAGAGGGGGAATTGTGTACCTTACCTTGACATGAATGAACTGGCATAGTGTTATTTAAAAGTAGACTTATTTAAAATGTATAGTGTGAACTAAAGCAACAACTGAAAAAACTTAAATGAAGAATTAATATACTAAGAGAGGAGATAAAATGGAATTATAAAATACTCAAAATCAGAAGAGGCAGGGGAAAAAAGGCAGAAAAAAATAAAAACAAATACAAAAGATAGAAAACGGTTTCAAACATATAGATATTAAAATAACTCCATCAATAAGCACATTATATTTTAATAGTCGAGTTTCTTTCACTTTTAGAGAAGAAATGTGAGGAGCTTCATGTACTTACTTCCCGGAATAGCAACACAATTGGTGAAAATTATTATAAACAAGAAAACAATCATTTGTCTGGAAATTGTCACAAGGACATCCAGCAAATGAAAAAACATTTATTCAACAAAACTTACTAAAACTCAGTAAGAAAATATCAAGTCTGTGGAATGTGAGCCATAACACTTCCCTTCTCCACCCATCTCATTCTGATGAAGGCTTTACTCCACATGGGAGTGGCTGAAACAGGATCCCTCTTCCTTGAGCTGTTAATCAAGGAATATATTGTCTCGCCAGGAAGGAAAACCTGCCAGCATATCTCATCTATCCCAACTCCATGTTAGTGTAGTAGAGAGGTTGGGGTGTCCTTGTCCTCACAGGGCAGAGTGTCTAGCCCACGTGCAGAAGACTGAGAATATTCTGGGCCCCAGTAGTGCTCATCTCAATTCATTCACGGAGTAGAAGTTACATGTGGGGAAGAAAACCTGAGAAGACCAGAGGCCACTATTGCCTCCTGAATATTCCCAGGGTTTATTTCCAAGGTGGGTGCAGCCGATCAGAATGGAGAGCTTCAAAGCTCTTCACAAAGGAATTGACTCTATTTAAACCTAGAAGTCCAAACCATGAGAATAAGATCACAAAGGAGGCAGATGGTAGTAAATCTGTATTAAGATAAGGACATAACTGTAGGTGGTAACCTGAATGCATGGGAACAAATGAAGATGACCTGTAATGATAAAGAATAATGCTAATTGTCTTTGTCCATTTGTTTTGCTACGAAGGAATACCTGAGGCTGGGTGATTTATAAAGAAAAGATGTTTATTTGGCTCACAGGTCTGCAGGTTTTATGAGAAGCATAGAGCTGCTATCTGCATTGGGTAAAGACATCAGGCTGCTTTCACTCATGGGGGAAGGCAAACAGGAGGCAGTGTATGCAGAGATCACACCGTGAGTGAATATAAGGCTGGAGGGAGGTGCCAGCCTCTTTTTAACAACCGGCTTTCATGGGAACCAATAGAGCAGGAACTCATTCATTACTGTAAGGACTGCACCAAGCCATTCAAGAGGGATCTACCCCTTCACAGGCTTTCCATTAGGCCCCACCTCCAACATGGATTATCAGATTTCAACATATGGTTTGTGGGACAAACAACCAAACTATAGCTATAATATAACACATTGATATAGTTTGGCTCCGTGTCCCCACTCAATTCTTATCTTGAATGGCACTCCCATAATTCCTTTGCATTGTGGGAGGGACCTGGTGGGAGATAATGGAATCATGGGGGCAGTTTCTCCCATACTGTTCTCATGGTAGTGACTAAGTCTTATGAGAGCTGATTATTTGATAAGGGGAAACTCATTTCACTTGATTCTTACTCTCTATCTTTCCCGCTGACTTGCCTCTCACATTCTGCCATGATTGTGAAGCCTCCCCAGCCACATGGAACTGGGCGTCAAATTAAACCTCTTTTGTAAATTACCCAGTCTCAGGTATGTCTTTATCAGCAGTGTGAAAACAGACTAATACAGTAAATTGGTACCAGTAGAGTGGGGCATTGCTGAAAAGATATCCAAAAATGTGGAAGCAACTTTGGAACTGGGTAATAGGCAGAGGTTGGAACAATTTGGAGGGCTGAGAAGAAGACAGGAAAATTTGGGAAAGTTTGGAACTCCCTAGAGACTTACTGAATGGCTTTGACCAAAATGCTGATGATGATATGGACAATGAAATCCAGGCTGAGATGGCCTCAGATAGAGTTGAGAAACTTGTTGGGAACTGGAGCAAGGGTGAATCTTGTTATGTTTTAGCCAAGAGACTGGAGGCATTTTGCCCCTGCCCTAGAGGTGTGTGGAATTATGAACTTGAGAGAGATGATTTAGGGTATCTGGTAGAAGAAATTTCTAAGCAGCAAAGCATTCAAGAGGTGACTTCAGTGCTGTGTTAGTTTTAAAAGGGAAACACAGCATAAATATTAGGAAAATTTGTAGCCTGATGATGCAATAGAAAAGAAAATTTCATTTTCTGAGGAGAAATACAAGCTGGGTGCAGAAATTTGCAAAAGTAACGAGGAGACAAATGTTAATCCCCAAGACAATGGGGAAAATGTCTCCAGGGCAGGTCAGAGGTCTTTACCGCAGCTCCTTCCATCACAGGCCCAGAAGCCTAGGAGGAAAAAGTGGTTTTGTGGGCCCAGGGGTCCTGTACTGTGTGCAGCCTAGGGACTTGGTGCCCTGTGTCCCAGCCTCTCCAGCCATGGCTGAAAGGGGCCAACATAGAGCTGGGGAGGTGGCTTCAGAGGGTGCAAGCCTCAAGCCTTGGCAGCTTCCATGTGGTGTTGAGCCTGCCAGTGCACAGAAGTCAAGAATTAGAGTTTGGTAATCTCCTCCTAATTTCAGAGGATGTATGGAAACACCTGGATGTCCAGGCAGAAGTTTGCTGCAGGGGCGGGGCTCTCATGCAGAACCTCTGCTAGGGCAGTGCAGAAGGGAATTGTGGGCTTGGAGCCCTGACATGGAGTCCCTGCTGGGGCAATGCCTAGTGGAGCTGTGAGAAGAGGGCCACTGTCCTCCAGACCCCAGAATGGTAGATCCACTGACAGTTTCCACTGTGCTCCTGGAAAAGCCGCAGACACTCAGTGCCAACCTATGAAAGCAGCCAGGAGGGGGGCTATACCCTGCAAAGCCACAGGGTGGAGCTGTCAAGGCTGTGGGAGCCGACCTCTTGCATCAGCATGACCTGGATGTGAGACATGGAGTCCAAGGAGATGATTTTGGAGCTTTAAGATCTGACTGCCACTATGGATTTCAGAGTCACATAGGGCCAGTAGCTCCTTTGTTTTTGCCAATTTTCCCCACCTGCAATGGCTGTATCTACCCAATGCCTATACCCGCATTGTATCTAGGAAGTAACAAACTTGCTTTTGATTTTACAGGCTCATAGGTGGAAGGGACTTGCCTTGTCTCAGATTAGACTTTGGAGTGTGGACTTTTGAATTAATGCTGAAATGAGTGAAGACTTTAGGGGATCTTTGGGAAGGCATGATTGGTTTTGAAATGTGAGGACATGAGATTTGGGAGTGGCCAGGGGTGGAATGATATGGTTTGGCTCTGTCCCCATTCAAATCTCATCTTGAATTGTACTCCCATAATTCCCATGCTTTGTGAGAGGGACCCAGTGGGAGATAATTGAATCACAGGGGTGGTTTCTCCCATACTCTTTTCGTGGTAGTGAATAAGTCTCATGAGATCTGATGGTTTGATAAAGGGAAACTTGTTTCACTTGATTCTCATTCTCTGTCTTGCTTGCTGCAAGGTAAAACATGCCTTCGCCTTCCAACATGATTGTGAGGCCTCCCCAGCCACATGGAACTGTAAATTGAATTAAACCTCTTTATTTTGTAAATTACCCAGTCTCAGGTATATCTTTATCAGCAGCGTGAAAATGGATGAATACACGTATTCTATAAATATATACTTGCCTTTCTATCTCTTCTCGGCTTCATTAATTTATCAACATTTATATAACGTAATACTTTTAACAATTTATTGCTGGATCTTATATAGAAAAGCAGAAAGACCTAAGATAAATAACCTGAGCTCCTACCTTAGGAAACTGTAGACAAAAGATCAGTTTAAGGCCACAACAAAGAAAGAAATTAAAAAACATTAGAGCAGAAGTCGACGAAATTGAAAACAGACTAAAAATAAAGAAAAATCGAAGAAATCAAAACTAGCTTATTTTAAAAAATCAGTAAAATTGACAAACTCTTGTTGGGTTAAATGGAAAAAAGTGAGATGACACAAATTAACAATATCAGAAATGAAAGAGGGTTCTTCCCTATTGATCCCATGATCATGGAAAGAATTATTGTTATTGTTTTATTTCAACTTCTATTTTCAATACAGGATGTACAGGTGCAGATTTGTTATATGGGAATATTGCATGATTGTGAGGTTTGGAGTAAAGATCCTGTCACCCAGGTAGTGAGCATAGTACCCGACAGGTAGTTTTTTAACCCGTGTCCCCACCTCCCTCCATGTTTTAGTAGTCCACAGTGTCTATTGTTCCTATATTTATGTCTATGTGTGCTCAGCAGTTAGCTGCCATGTATAAGTGAGAACATACAGTATTTGGTTTTCTGTTCTCGTGTTAATTTGCTTAGGATTACAGCCTTCAGCTACATCCATGAGGCTACAAAGGACATGACTTAATTCTTTTTTATGGCTGCATAGTATTCCATGGTGTATATGTACTACATTTTCTTTATCCAACCTACTCTTGATGGGCACATGGATTGATTCCATGTCTTAGCTCTTGGGAATAACAGCACTGAACATATGAGTACATACATCTTTTGGCAGAATGACTTATCTTCTTTTGGGTAGATATCCAGTAATTGGATTGCTGGGTTAAATGGTAGCTCTGTTTTAAGTTCTTTGAGACATTTCCAAACTGCTTTCCACAGTGGCTGAACTAATTTACATTCCCACAGTGTATACGTGTTTCCTTTTTTCCATAACCTCACCAGTAATTATTGTTTTTTGACTTGTTAATTATAGACATTCTGACTGGTATGAAATTGTATCTCATTGTGGTTTTTCTGTGCATTTCTCTGATAAGTAGTGATGCTAAGCATTCTTTCATATGTATGTTGGCCACTTGTACGTCATCATTTCAGAATTGTCTGTTTATGTCCCTTGCCAATTTTTTAAAAGAGGTTATTTGATTTTTTTCCTTGTTGATTTAAGTTCTCTATAGATTCTGGATATTAGGCTTTTGTCAGATGCAAAATTTGTGAATATCTTATTTCATTCTGTAGGTTGTCTGTTTGCTCTGTTGACAATTTCTTCTGCCGTGCAAAAGCTCTTTAGCTTAATTAAGTCCCACTTGTCTATTTTTGTTTTTGTTGCATTTGGTTTTGGGGACTCAGCCAAAACTTTGCCAAGGCTGATGTTGAGAAGAATATTTCCTAGGTAATCTTAATGGTATAATATGAATGTCTCAATGCCCACAAATTAAATAATTTGTCAAATTATTTTGAAGATACATAGTTCTAAAATGTACACATAAAGGAATAAGTAAATATCATGCTTATGGCATAAATAAGGTTTTGATTTAATGGGTGTGTGTTTATCTCCAAACTCATTATGATGTACACTGTGAATATGTACAGTGTTTTGCATGTTAATCACACGTCAATAAAGTGGTTCAGAAAACAATTAAAATGTACTAACACTCAGTAGAAAAATAGGAAAAAGCCATGCATGCTCTGTTAGTTTAAAAATTAAAAAATTCAAATCTCCAATAAACATGCATCCATCTCACTACAAATTTCTAAGTGCAAAATAGGGTATCTGTTTTTAATTGTTCTTATTAAAAGAATAGCAAGCCTGATGGTATCTGGTTCTAGAAACTATTTTGGAAAATGTATATTCTTTAAACTGTATGAAATATAAATAATACATATATTCTAGACGGTATATTTTCCACATGTATCAACATGCTTAAAATTTCACATGCCATTTGACAGCAAAATTCAAATTATAAGAATTTATATTAAGAAAGTTATCTTAAATGTGAGAAAGAATACACACTAAAAATGGAGAAAACCTTAAATATGTATTTATTGGATGTATTAATGATGGAGTGTTCAGCCATTAAAAAGATGATATACCATCATATGCATTTAATTTAAAAAGATATTTTATGAATAGAAAAAAATTGAACATAATAAATGATGATAGCTGACATTTGCTGACTGCTGACATTGTGTCAAACATTTTTCAGTGTTTAACATGTATTGAATTATACCATTTCTCTCTTTCTCTCTCTCACACACACACACGTGCACACACACACACACATGCAAACACAGAGTGAGATTTTATAGAGGAGCAAATTTAACTACATTTTCCAAGGACACATAGCTAGGAGTTGTGGCTGATATACTAACTCAGGCAATTCAGCAATAGACACCATTAGAATCACTATCTTAATATGATTCTAGGTAGACCAAAGATACAGAAGGTGACCCAATTTGTATTTTTTAAATTTAAGTTTCATTTTAAGTTCAGGGGTATGTGTGGTGGTTTGTTATATAGGTAAACTTGTGTCATGAGGGTTTCTGGGTCAGATTATTTTGTCACCCAGGTATTAAGCCTAGTACTCATTAGCTATTTTTCCTGATCCTCTCCCTCCTCCTACTCTCCACCTTCTGATAGGCAGCAGTGTGCATTATTCCCCTCTGTGTAACCATGTGATCTCATTATTTAGCTCCCACTTATAAGTGAGAACATGTGATATTTACTTTTATGTTCCTAAATTAGTTTGCTAAGGATAATGGCCTCCAGTTCCATCCATGTTCTTGCAAAGGACGTGATCTCATTCTTTTTTTATGGCTGCACAGTATTCCATGGTATATGATATGGTTTGGCTGTATCCTCACTCAAATCTCCCCTTGAATTGTAATAATCCCCATATGTTAAGCGGGGGGCAGGTAGAGATAATTGAATCATGAGGGTGGTTTTCTCCATACTGTTCTCATGGTAGTGAACAAGTCTCCTGAGATCTGATGGTTTTATACAAGGGAGGAACTGCACAAGCTCTCTCTTGCCTGCCGCTATGTAAGACATGACTTTGCTCCTCATTCACCTTCTGCCACGACTGTGAGGCCTCCCCAGCCATGTAGAACTGTGAGTCAGTTAAACCTCTTTCCTTTATAAATTACCCAGCTGTGGATATGTCTTTATTAGCAGTGTGAGAACAGACTAATACAGTGTGTGTATATATGTTATATACGTAATGTATATATAATATATATAATATATAATATAATTTAATACAATATATAACATGTGTATATATACATATATGTGTGTATATATATATTTTATGTATACATATATATATAAAAAACATTTTCTTTGTCCAGGCTACTATTAAAAACTAGGCAAAGGACATGAACAGACACTTGACGAAAGAAGAAATACATGCGGCTAACAATCATATGAGAAAAAAGCTCGACATCACTGATCATTAGAAAAATGCAAATCAGAACCACAATGAGATACCATTTTAGACCTGTCCAAATAGCCATTATTAAAAGTCAAAAAAGAACAGGTGCTGGCAAGGTTGTGGTGAAAACGGAATGTTTATACACTGGTGGTGGAAGAGTAAATCAGTTTAACCATCGTGGAAGATAGCATGGCAATTCCTCAATTTGTATTTTAAAATGAAGCAACACATGTAACATATACGCTGACGTCCAAGAAAAAAAAATCATCAAAGCAAAAATAACTATTCCACAATGGTTATACATACCCAAGAAAAGGTTTTCTAACTCCAGTCCAAGGAGAAACTTTTTATTAAATGATGATGAAAGCTCTGAAGTGAGTCAATGAGATGTCTTTTATCCGGACAGACAGGCAATTTTTGGTTCTAATATATCACACATCATATCACTTACCTTTATTTTTGCAACATTCATTCTTGTCTCTAAGTAAAAGGAAGCTATACTTTATCTCCTGGCTGTCTAGGAGCACTGATTGTTAGCTGAATTTCTGCCAGATACTTTCCTTCAACAAAGAAGGAAAAAAAATATTTTTCTTTTTTTATTTTATTTTATTTTATTTTATTTTATTTTATTTTATTTTTCTTTTTTTTTTTATTATACTTTAAGTTTTAGGGTACATGTGCACATTGTGCAGGTTAGTTACATATGTATACATGTGCCATGCTGGTGCGCTGCACCCACTAACTCGTCATCTAGCCTTAGGTATATCTCCCAATGCTATCCCTCCCCGCTCCCCCCACCCCACCACAGTCCCCAGAGTGTGATATTCCCCTTCATGTGTCCATGTGATCTCATTGTTCAATTCCCACCTATGAGTGAGAATATGCGGTGTTTGGTTTTTTGTTCTTGCGATAGTTTACTGAGAATGACGATTTCCAATTTCATCCATGTCCCTACAAAGGACATAAACTCATCATTTTTTATGGCTGCATAGTATTCCATGGTGTATATGTGCCACATATGTTTATTGCAGTATTATTCACAATAGCAAAGACTTGGAACCAACCCAAATGTCCAACAATGATAGACTGGATTAAGAAAAAAAATATTTTTCAAGCAAGTGCTTTGTAGTTCAGTCAGCTTGGCTTTTAGAGAATACTTTTGGGTGATGTTTCAAGAAGTATTTGGTCTAAGAATAAGGACCTTCCCCCACCTTGACCACAAAAGCACTCTGCAGCTAGACAAATACATTAATGGGAATCAATATTGAATTAAAAATCATTTAACTTGTGGAAGTGTTTGAGTTTTGGTTTTTCCTCAGTTTTACAAATCTGCATATTTATTTAAATTTGATGTATGTCTTGTAATACATTATTGACATATAATTGAACAAAACCCTAAGTAGAAAATTCAGTGTATGTCATAAGATAGTGAAACAGTCTCTAGTTATCTGTTAATATGTAAAAAGCTATCACAATAATTGGTGGCTTCAAATGATATCATTTTGCTAAATTTGAGAATTTTGTGGGTTAGGATTTTGCCTGGGTGACTGTCCAGCTCCACGAGGGGTAAACTGGGGTTCTTGGGCAGCAGCTCTGGTCAGAAAGGCCCAAGATGCTGTCTCATGCTCCCAGGACCTTGGCAGGATGGCTGGAAGGCTGGGCTCAGCTGGGCTCCTTTCTCTTGTCTGACCAGGGCCTCCACATTTTCTATTCCACAGAGTACTCAAACTTTTTACATGACCTCTTAAGACTCCAAGATTCCAAGGCAGAAACTACCCATCCTCTTAAAATGCTAGGTCCAGGACAAGAATGGAGTCACTCTGCCACACTCTAGCAGTCAAGTCAGTCACTACTAGCTGGTTCACATTCAAAGGAGGAGAAATGGCCCTACTGCTCTACAGGAATAGTGCAGAAAAACTCGCAGTGATGTCATGCAGTACAATGACTTTGCTCTCTCTACTTTTTAAAACGTTGGTGGAGTCACAGAAAGTGTATGTTATCCAAATTAGTTTGTGTTTTTTTCTTTTCATGATACTGTAACATAAAGTTAGGAGTACTTTGACCTATACACATTTAAATACATTTCAGTTGCCTTAAGATTCAGCTTTAATACAGTCTGAAAGTGGTTTTTTTTTTTAGACAAAGTCTTGCTCTGTTGCCCAGGCTGGAGTGCAGTGGCACCATCTCGGCTCACTGCAACCTCCGCCTCCTGGGTTCAAGCAATTCTCTTGCCTCAGCCTCCAGAGTAGCTGGGACTACAGGCACGCACCACCACGCCAGACTAATTTTTTGTATTTTAGTAGAAACGGGATTTCACAGTGTTGCCCAGGCTGGTCTCGAACTCCTGAGCTCAGGCAATCCACCCACCTCAGCCTCCCAAAGTGCTAGGATTACCGCGCCCCACCTGAAAGTGATTTTAATAATCAACTTTTCACAGCAAACAGCAAGTCTCGAAAATAAATTAAAGTTTCATTAGTATTAACTGGTGGAAGATCCACAAAGCTCAAACCATAAACTAATGCTATAACTGAATTCCCATTTTCAATACTAAGACTGAAGTAGCATCAATCAGTCCTTTGTGATGATTATTAAATTTTATACCCAATTGTGCCAAACTATTTCTCATTTTTCTTGTAATGCAAAGTGGTTTCATCACATATTAGGAATGTTTCTTGGCAAGCAGGCAGTAAAAGCACCATAATAATTACATATGTTGTTAGAATGTTTGCATAATTAATTCATCTGGTAAATTATGTTTTATGCTCATGCAGCTGTTATACTTACAGAACACATATTTGACCCTCTTAGAACTTTTAATAGAAGCATTTCTACCTATCAACAAAGGATAACATGTAGCAATTTTGCATTAAACAAAAGTTGAGTTTTTGATCAATTTGAATAAAATGCCTGAACAATTTTTAATTCAAGCTTTCCCTTCATGTCTGCACTTACAACCTCAGAGGAAAAAAATGCATCATATCATTGGAAACTGTAATTTTGCACTCTGTTCTACTTGTATTGTATAATCTTAGAGAGCACTTAGAAAGTTTGTTGGCAAATATTAGTTTTACTGCCAGCTTTCTTACCAATTAATCTTATGATCTTGATTAGCTCAACCTTCCATGTCTCAAATTCTTCAAATAAAATATTGATTAGATGACTTTTTCAGGTCTAGCATTAAGATATTATGTAATAACTATACACCCGTAATGCTTCTTTTATGGGTTGATTTATGTGACATAAATTTTATTTTTAAATTTAATATAAATTACTCAAATTGACATATTTGATTAAATATACTTTATTTATTTATTCCCTTATTCCCATATTATACAATTTAGAATGATAAACTAAAGGGGCTAAAGAGAAGATTTTTATTTGTTTTTGTTTCACAGAATTTATTTACCAAAGCAATGTGCCTAACTGTAAGTGAAATATAAATACAATGGACTTTAAAAGCAAACAAATCTGCACATTTGTCTGCACATGAAATTGACAGAAAAATTGACTTTATCCACTATTAATGAATTATATGCTGTCTATGCATGAAATTGACAGAGAGTTTGAGTTTATTCACTATTGATAAAAATTAATCATTGGTCTATGAATGTCTGGAATGACATAATATTGAATAATTTGATAAATATTTTAAACGAATCTCAATTTTGTACAGGCATCTTTGCATGATGTGTTGGAAATCTAATATTCTAAAAGGCTAGCCTTTAAAATCTGAATCATAGCCGGATCTTTTTAGAACAAAAAAAATGGCTTACATTAATCAAAATGACAGTATTCAACATATGGTCATGATGTGGGTCATTCTTTGTGATTACAGAATGCTTCCTAACCATGGCCGTGTGCCGATTACTGATGATACGGTTTTTCTGATTCCATAATCTAACAGATTCACTCCGATTCTCCAATTGCCCATAACCCCAAACACTATAGACAAATCACTCCCCAGTTTATCCACAACTGCCCACTATTTTTCCTAACCACAGAATAGTGAAACTGAGCAGGACTTTTATTCAACACTTAATTCCATCACAAGATAGACGAAATTTAGGCAAGTTGGGACCCTCATCTTCTTCTCTGTAAATATAAGTACAAGCTGTAAAGGATGCTGGGCTTGGAGAAGAATGTCAGGAGTTGGGGTCACTGGGTCATTCGCATAGCAACAAAGTAGAAATGGGAGCTGGGCAAAGGCTGACTTTAAGTGAATCTTTGGTGACACCTTTCCAAAGAGAGGATAACAGTTTCCTGCAGAGGTATTCCAGCTGTTCTAAACATTAAATCTTTCAGGTTCACTCAGATAAATGGGCCTTGACCCTTCCTAAAAAAACATACTAAGGCTTCTTTAGATTTGAATGTAATTCTGATTTATACATCTTGCTTCTCACTTTATTAAAATTAAATTAAATGCTGCATTTGTTCTGAGCTTCATGATGGGTCTTCAGCCCTTCGGTGTCTGTCATGCCTGGCAGTCATTAAGCCTGTGTTTTCAATTATAATTTAAGAACTTCACTGAACAAACTATGGTACCAACTGTCTAAAATCCGCTATCCACATACACACAGTGGAAAAAAAAAGTTTTAAAAAACGTTTAAAATAAAAATACGAAAGGAGTCACAAAAGACTCATATTTCATATGCTAATTTCTTTCATGTCTTTTGAAAATAATCATTATCAAATATTTATGATGGTAGTGATGTGTGTGTATCTTCTGGCCTTGTTTGTACTTTAAACTGTTTGTGAATTTACTGGGAAATCCATCTATCTTCATATAAGTGCATGACTTAAATTCCATAGCAAGAGAAGGAAAGTTATTTGTTATCTAGGGAGAAATATGACCGCATGCCAAGTTTACAGCCACATATTTTAATTAACAAGCTATTGACCTGTTAAAAATACTAAATACAAATAATGTAAAAAATTTAGTCTTCCCATTGCAAAACCTGTTATTCAAAGAAATCCACAGAATCATTAATAAGCCCTTAACACAATTAGCTTTATCAAGCAGCCGATAATTTTTCTAGAGACAAATTTTTAGATTATAAAGTTCTGTATAACTTTTAGTTACATGTCAGCACTTAATGATATTTACTTCCCAAATTTTATTAATTTTTAGATATAAATGAGTTGACAGAATTGTACAATAGACACCCATAAGTCTTCCACCTAGATTCAACAACTATTATTTTTGTATATTTGCTTTCTCTTATTCTCTCTCTCTCTCAATCTGAATTTGTGTCAGAAAAATCATGACAATTCATCTCTAAATATTTATTAAATATTTCATAAGAATAAAGAAATGCTACATCCCTACATCTATAATATAATTACCACAATTGACTAAATTAAAATAATCATCTTATCATCTAATATCAAATCCAAACTCAAATTTTTCTCAGGAATTTTGTTTTATTATCAGAAATATCTTTCATAGAGTTTGCTTTTCTAAACCAGGAACCAAAACAAACAAAAAAGCAACATGAGTTATGTTTGATTGTTTTGCTTTAAGTGACATTTTTTGTGTTTTTTTAGCCTGCAATGCAATGATTTCTTAGTGACTCTAACCTTTTTAAGCATTTTTCGTGACTGTGATATTAGAAGATTTTACATTAATTGTCAAGTTCTACATTATTTCTCAGATTATTTCTTCACGTTTAACATCTTCCCTAATGCACTATATTTTCTGTAAACTCTATTAAATTTCTGGGTTCTTGATTAAACTTAAGATTTTTTTTTTGCAAGAATACACAGGTGATGTTTGGATGATAATATTGACTATATAGTTTCCATTATCAAGCAATAATCTATTTCCCATATAGTCTCCTCAGAGAAAATAGAAAGTTTTTTTTTTCAATTCAAGATGTTTTCACAGATTGTATAAAAGAAGAATAGCTTTTGAAGGACTCTTCATGAGCTCTTAGTTTCAGAATCTCATTTTATACAAGAGAATACCAGGTAAACACTAATAGGCGTAAAGGGCGTGAGTGATTCCTATTCTCTCTCTTGCTCTTGTTCCTGATCTCCTAGTAATGGGGCTCTGCTCTCTCACCCCCATGCCTTGCAAGGAACCAAGCAGCCTATGTTCTCAGGCTATCTATTCTCCTCCCAACAAAAATGGAATTGCAACAATTTCAGGATTTTTTAAAAACATGTTAAATATGTTATTTTTAAAAAATTTAAACTGGTTTATCACTAATAATTAAATGAGAATAACAAAGAGGTTCAGCAATAAAATATTGTAATTATAGAATAATAATAACATAAGAATATTAATACAGATACTAATAATAAAAATTAAAGCTCTACAATTTATTCTCTTATCTTTGGAAAAATGTCTTATATAGATACAACTACAACACAATGGACAGCCATATTTTGTATCATGTTCAACATCAAAAGTTATGGGGAAATTTTCACAATCAGAACACATAGATGTATTTCATTTTACTAAATATGGTATGTGCAGTATTTTGTTGTAATGAATGCATCACAATTTGTATCATTGTTCTTCTCTTTATGTTCATTTTTGTTGTTAAAATTTGGTAGTATGTGTGTTTCTGTTATAAACAATGATAGACTAATAGCTATGCACATTTTTGCTGTGTTTTCACCAAGGTGAATTATTAAACATTTTTAATTAAATGTAACTAATATGATGAGCCAAAATAGCATTCTATTATTGTTTTCTGCATTTCCATAGATTTAATTTTTGGTGACTATGTTCTCATTTGTTTTATAATCACTTGTATATTCGTGTGTGTGTGTGTTTGCAAGAGAGATTTTTTTCAAGATATTTTCTCAATATTGAAAAAATTGGACCACTTTTTTTTAGCCCATTCATTTATATTTTCTAGAAATTAGAACCTAGTCTGTCATTTTGGGTTCAGTTACTTTCCTAGACTTATCATTTGCATTTACAATTTAAAGACTTCTAAAAACTGCAGTAGTTGTTCTGGTTGGTTTTACACTTTGACATCATCATCTAGTTGTCAACATTGTTATGTAATAAAGTTTATCAATGTTTACATTAATTAGTGCTTACAGTTTTTTAATTTTCATTTTTTGAAAAACATCATACTGTGAGGTTATTTATTTTTAAATGCCCTTGTATTCTTACAGCCATGAAGTTTAATTAAAAAAAATTATTTTCGGCCGGGCGCGGTGGCTCACGCCTGTAATCCCAGCACTTTGGGAGGCCGAGGCGGGCGGATCACGAGGTCAGGAGATCGAGACCATCCCGGCTAAAACGGTGAAACCCCGTCTCTACTAAAAATACAAAAAATTAGCCAGGCGTGGTGGAGGGCGCCTGTAGTCCCAGCTACTTGGGAGGCTGAGGCAGGAGAATGGCGTGAACCCAGGAGGCGGAGCTTGCAGTGAGCCGAGATCCCGCCACTGCACTCCAGCCTGGGCGACAGAGCGAGACTCCGTCTCAAAAAAAAAAAAAAAAAAAAAAAAAAAAAAAAAATTATTTTTACCCTGGGAATTACTTTGAGGAAAGAAAGTGGTAGATTTACAGTTTTATTTATCAATGTGATAGTTCTGGGACTCATATGTATTGTACATGATGGAGCCACCAATCTCATACTTAACATGTAGCTAACCACATTTCACTTAACTAAAAATGTAAGTGATGGTAGGTTAAGAACATACATGCTATTATTAAGCTTTAACTGAATTATGATTTTTATCTTTACCTTATCAATTTACTAGAAAAGTTTGTTTTCTAAAATCATATTAATTGATCATTATTCTTTTTTTAATTCTATATTTCAATGCTTTATTATGTATTTACAAATGGCATTTTTTTTCAGTACCAGAATAATTTTTTTCCACAGCTCATCAGATATTCTGAATTCTAATCCTAACTTGTACTAGGAAGAGGAAAGAAAGAAAGGAAGGAAGGAAGGAAGGAAGGAAGGAAGGAAGGAAGGAAGGAAGAAAGAAAAGAAAGAAAGAAAGAAAGAAAGAAAGAAAGAAAGAAAGAAAGAAAGAAAGAAAAGAAAAGAAAAGAAAAGAAAAGAAAAGAAAGAGAAAGAAAGAAAGAAAGAAAGGAGGGAGGGAGGGAGGGAGGGAAGGAAGGAAGGTCAAAAGGAGGAAGGAAGCGAGGGAAGGAGGGAGAGATGGAGGGAGAGAGGAAGAGAAAGAATGAAGGAGGGAAGGAAAGAAGGAGAGAAGGAAGGTAAAGAAAAGAGAAAAGCTAATTCTTTGAGTTAATGTCATAGTTTAAATATTTTTAAATTAGTTGATGGTATCCAGTTTATTTGGGTTTATTATTTAGTTTTATATTTAACACATTTTCAATATCAATATTGAAAATCCTGGGGGATATCAATATCAGAGTAAAACCTACTTTTCATTATGTTTATTCCTCAGCATTTTTACTCACTGTGGACAACTTGCCTTTAGGTGATTAGAACTTCATTATATCTAAGAAGGTATGATCAAATAAAACCAAAAGCGATGACATTAAAATGAAGATTACTACTTTGCATGACATGGATTTATGAAATGTACACAAACATTAGAAGACAACAAACATATATTTGTTTATTGCAAAAGTTTAAAATTTGTTTAATTTAAAAAATTTTTACTTTTTTCCCCTGGTGTTAGACCAATACTCATGTTTTAAAATTTAAAATGACTGCTCCTTGCTATCTTCACCTTAGGGGGTCTTATTATTCACTTGTGGATAAATGCCAATGCCAGTTCAAATAAACGATGTTGACTGTCTGATTCATTTCCCAAGATACTCGAAATACAATGCTGTATTTGGGTTGGAAGCTCATAAATCTTTGAGGTTGAGTGTAGAGAGATTCCTAGGTGCACTCTGTTCTGATAGCATTAAAGATGAGATTTGAAGCTCTCCCACTGCAGCACGATAGTTTATCTGTAGCTGATACTATTGTAAATGACAGCCTAGTGGTAATCTAATCAATAATTTAAGATTTCTACCCTGGACCAAAATATCCACGAAGGAAGGAATTCCTAAAGTAATACATTTAATGTCTGGATAAAAGAGATTTGGCATTTCAGAATAGAGGTTCACCCAAATTGAAGTGTTCTATTGCAAACTCTCCCATTCATTAATGATTTAAAGACATCTACTGTTTTTCAGCAACATGTTTTTCCATTATTTATTTCCACCAAGGTGGGGATAATTAACTACTCTTTCTCCAGTCCAGGTTGTGATTGAATAAAAATAGTTCATGGCAGGTTACAGTACATCATTGTTTTCTCATCCTATAAATTTCTCACCTGACAGGAATGTTGAAATTTGGGCTGAAAAATTAATCATTATCTACTTTTGACCAATATATTAATATTTTATCAACTAAGACCCATTCATTTATTATTTATACCTCATCTACTTCCAAACTTTGTTTCCAGTGAATTATTAACCCAGAATTACAAATTGTAAAGTTTCAAGGGAAAAATAAGTGAAATATTGGATAAAAGCACCTGTATAAAACTGTAAGTTTCTCCCTCAAAATAAAAGAAAATAAGCACTATTCAGCAATAAGTTTCAGCTTACTTTTCTGGTAGAGAAATATGAACTGAGCTAATCACATGTCATGTATTTTATATTTGCTTGTGTTTAATATCTTGAAGAGATTTTTTTTCAATCAGGGCAATAATAAATTGATTTTCATAAGACTATCAGAAATGTATTTGCACTTATTTAGTTACTTCAGTCTAAACTACGTGTTTTTCAGCTTATGTTAACTCTTTTTTATTGTCCTAAAAGTTGCAATGTGCTATGTTAGTTAATGGAAAATTTATGAACAAGTAAAAACTTTTGCAACAATGGGAGCATTATCTAATCAATTGTGACTTACATGTAAAAATGATTCATGTGGTGGAAAATAGGAAACCTAATGATGTCCTAGCCTATTTGTAAATATATATCTAAGGATGTGTTTATGTTTAAGAAAAACATTAACCTTTTTTTTTTAGAAATATTTGTTCATTTGTTCTTCTACCCAATGAAGCAAGTCTTACTAATAAAGGCACAGATATATTTAGAAATGTATTAGAAAGATGTATTAGAAATGTATTAGAAAGTAAGATCAACAGCAGGTGGTTTACTGGAGCAGTCTTTTAATAAAACAGGTATCATTATTCTATTTTTAAAACTTTTTTATCAAACTATAACATGTATAGGAAAGTGCAAATGTCTTAACTGATTTTTTCAACTAATTGTAATAAATTGATGAACACTTCATGTAATGGACATTATGGGAAAAAGATGAACATTGCCAACAATTCAATACCCCCTTGTGGTCACTACCAGACTAATGATGGGTAACAATTATCCTGACTTTTAAACTGCAAAAGTAGTTGTATTTACTGTTTTACTTTATATACGTAGAATCAGATAGCAAGTGTCTGTCTTCTTTTGCTCAACATTATAATTGGAAGGTTCCTCCCTATTCTTGCATGCTATGTACATCATTCATTCTCACTGCTATATATAATTCAATGTGAGGAGTACTTATTAGTTTGTGTGTTTATACTGTAATCATCTGATTGCTAAGACAATGAACATAAGACTATCCTCAAGCATTCCCCGTTACTTTTCAGAAAAAATACTTCCTTCTGGACCAGGCGTTTCCTTTATAAGAAGATTTTTTTAAACAACACATTCAATTTATTTAACATATATAGGAATATTTATATTATTTTTTCAGTGAGCTTTTTTAGTATTTGTGTGTTCATTTCACTAAATTATCAAATGTATTAGCATCAAGTTGTTCATGTTATTTTTATTATCCATCTAAAATAGGAATGATACATAGTGATATAACTTCTTTTATTATTAATATACTGGTAATTTTTGTCTTTTCTCTTTTTCTCTTAATCAGCCCACCTACAGGTTTATCAATTCATTTTTAATCTTCACTGAGAACCAGCTTATGATTTCTTTATTGCTTTTCTGTTTCTATTTGCATGGTTTCTTCACTGATCTTTATTATTTCATTTTTTTGTTTATTTTGGTTTTCATTTGCTCTTCTCTTTTTAGTTTTTATGGTTGAAACTGAAATATCTTTCTTCTTCTACCATAAATGCTCAGTGGTAAAAATATATAAATATTGCTTCAGTTGCATCTTAAAATTTTGATAAGCTCTTTTTCATTTTCATTAAACTCAAATACTTTCTAATTTTGCTTTTAATTTGTTATTTGACCCATGGCTTTTTTGTAATTATAACATTTTGTTCCGACATTTAGGGATTTTTCAGATATGTATTGATTTCTAATATAATTGCATTATGGTTAGAGGAAGTAATTATATGATTTGAATCTCTTAAAATTTATTGGCCCTTGTGATATGACCCAGAATATTATGTTCTTGCAAATTTCCCATGAATATTTGCAAATAATGTGCATTTTTGGAAAGTTCTCTAATGGTCAATTAAATCAAATTTGTTGATAGTTTACTTCAGTTCTTCTATGTCTTTGCTTAAGTGCTGACTTATTTTTCTATTAAGTATTGAAAAATCAGGCCGGACGTGGTGGCTCACATCTGTAATCCCAGCACTTTGGGAGGCTGAGGTGGGCGAATCACCTGAGGTCAGGAGTTCGAGACCAGCCTGGACAACATAGCAAAACCCTGTCTCTACTAAAAGTACAAAAATTAGCTGGGTGTTGTGGCGGTCGCCTGTAATCCCAGCTACTGAGGAGGCTGAGGCAGAAGAATTGCTTGAACCCGGGAAGCAGAGGTTGCAGCAAGCCGAGATTGTGCCAGTGTACTCCAGCCTGGGCAACAAGAGCAAGACTTCATCTCAAAAAAAAAAAAAAAAAAAGGAAAAACAGTGTTGAACTATTATTATACTACAAGTGTAGAGTTGTCTATTTCTCCTTGAAGTTATATTTGCTTTTGTTCATATTTTGAAGCTTTGTTATAAAGTGCACAATTGAGATTGCTGTGTATTCTTGATTAATTGACCACTTTATCATTATAATAAAAATTTTCAAATTATATAATACTGCAAAAATTAGTCATAAATTTAATTGTTAACACAATGTTTAACTGGTTACATGTGAAGGAAAATGGAAGAAGATAGACCAGGTAATATAATTGTTAATACCCAAACAAAAACAATGACAAAGCTATAGAATGTGGAATGTGTGTGTGTCTGTGTGGGCATGTGTGTGTGCACATGTGTGTGTATAGATATAAATATTCCAGTTTTCAACAACAAAAATCATATGTCATTGTAAGTCATATAAAGAAAGAGAAACAGGAAAGTGTGATTCATACAAAGGAGCCGAAGCCAAAACCCAAACCAAAACATAACAAAGGAAGAAACAGAAATTGCTTTTGAGAGGGCTCAGATGTTGGAATTAGAAGATAAACACTTCAAAGCAGCAATTATAAGCATGTTCAAAGAACTAAAGGAAACCATGTTTAAAACAGTAAAACAATATATACGACAATATATTTATGTATGTATTTCCTTTTTTGGGGGGGTACGGGGGCAGAGGCTTACTCTGTCACCCAGGCTGGAATTCAGTGGCATGATCATAGCTTATTGTTGCCTCAACCTCCTGGGCTCTAGTCATCCTCTCGCCTTAGCCCCCCAAGTAGCTGGAAGTACGGGTGTGCACCACCATGTCAGGCTATTGTTTTGTTGTTGTTGTTAGAGGCAGAGTCTCACTGTGTTGCCCAGGCTGGTCTTGACTCCTGAACTCAAGAGATCCTCATGTCTCAACATGCCAAAGTGCTAGGATTACAGGTGAGAACCGCTGCACCCGGTCAATATAAGACAATGTGTTATGAATTTCGGCATAGGAATAAAGAGATATAACTTATTCTAAAAAGTCAAAGGGGAATTCTGATAATTGAAATGAAAAATATACTACATTAGCTCAATAGCGTATTTGAACTGGCAGAAGAATCAGTCAATTGGAAGATAGATCAATAAATTATAAAATCTGAAGAACACAAAAAATAAAAATGAAGAAAAAAATGACATAGCCTCAGAGACATGAGAAAACATTAAACGCACCAATTTAAGTGTAATGGAAGTACCAGAGGGAAGCGAAAGAGAAAGGGGCAGAAAAAATATTTAAAAAAACACCAAGGATGGAAACATTTTAAACTTTGATTTAAAAAAACATTAATTGATAACTTCAAGAAGCTAAAAAAATTCTAATTAGGATAAACAGAGATCCACAATTAGACACATCATAGTAAAAATGGTGAAAGACAAAAACAAAGATAAATTATTGTAAGCTGCAAAAGAAAAAACACATGACATGCACAAGGTAACCCTCACAAATTTATCAGCTCATTTCTCAGCAGAAACAATGACATCAAGAGAAAGTGAGATGACATATTCAAAGTTTCGAAAGAAAAAATTCTAACCAACAATTTTATGTCCATCAATAATACCTTTCAAAATTGATGGTGAAATAAAACATTCCTAGATAAACAAAAACTGAACTAATATGTTGCTATCAAAACCAGCTGGAAATAAATACTAAAAAGAAGTTCTTCATGCTGAAAGCAAGTAACCTCAGACATTAATTTGAATCCACATGATAAAAAGAGCAACAAAAATAGAGATTGTTTAATTATGAATGATATTGGAAATGTACGTCCTGTCTTGATGGATTTAAATAGCAATTGCATAAAAATTTATGTAAATAATTGCACTGTTTGTGTTATAATGTATAGAAATAAAATTTGACTAACAGCACAAAGAAAACTAATAAGGAGGAAGCTGTACTGACAAAAATAAATGATAAATGACACTAGATAAGATGTTAACTCGAATCCACAAGAACAAATAATAACAGAAAAGATAAATTAAAAGGTTAATATAAAAATTACAAATATATAATTGTTCTTTTTTGTTAACTTCTTTGTCATACAAATTTGTAACGTAATAATTATAACAAAGTATTTTTTGTAACAGATGTATTTGTAATGTTTTTAACAACAACAACACACACACACAAAGAAAATAAAGAATAGAGCTATATAGCAGTCACCTTTCTATATAGTATTAGAATTACATCCATATAAATGTGAAGCATGTGAAGCATATCCCAGTAAGGTAAGATCTACATGGTAAACCCTAGAGCAACTACAACGAAAATAAATTTTTAAGACGTAGTGAAAAAATTGAAAACAAATGATTAAAATGTTTCACTGGTTTCATTCTATTGAGGGAATGAAAGTGCTACACTAGAATATATTCAAATAATGGAAATGAATGCAGTAAAGGAAGGATAAAGAAACATACGAGACAAAGAAAACAAAAGCGTAAAATAGCAGATGTAACCATATCAATTAAAGTATTAAATGAGAATGAATTAAACAACAAAGTCAAAAGGCAGAGACTCTAAGACTGGATAAATATCAAGTTCCATATACATGCTTTTTATAGGAGACATGTTTTAGAGTCAAAGTTCCAAATATTTTGAAAGTAAAAGAATATAAAAATATACATCATGCAAAGGACATCCTTAAGTAAACTGGAGTGGCTATATTAATTTGAGTCAATAGACATTACAAAAATTAATGTTACTAGAGATAAAGAAGGACATTTTAAAATAATAAATGTATCAATCCTTCAGGAAAAATAATAACAATCATAAATTTGTATCTACAGAACGACGGAGTTCTAAAATACATGAAGTAAAGCTGATATAATTGACAGAAATAAACAAGTTAACACGGACAGTTTGAACTTCACTTCCTCTTTTTCAGTAACTGACAGAAGAACTAAAAAGGTCAAGAGAAAATAACCTACTTGAACACACTATAAACCAACTATACTTAGCAGATATCTATAGAAGATGGCACTCAACAATATTAGAATATATATATAATTTTTCCCCTCAAAAACACATTAATATGATTAATGATAGAACTCTTGATAGGCTATAAAATAATTCTCAAAAAGTTTAAAGGATTGAGATAATATAATATTCTCTGATCACTTGTAGTAGAATTAGAAATCTATAATAAAAGAAAATTTGAAAAAAAAATCCCAAACATGTGAACATTACAAAACAAATTCCTAAGTAACCAATGTATTAAAGAGGAAGTCACAAGGAAAATTAGAAAATACTTTAAAATGAGAGCAAATTAAGACAAACATGCCACAAATTAATAGTGCTTAGCTAAATCAGTGCTTAGAGAGAAATATATAACTTTAAATGCCTAAATTTGAACAATCTCAAAGAAATAACCTCACCTTTCATCTTAAGACCATATAAATAGAAGAGCAAATGAAACCCAATATAAGTAGATGGGGAGAAATGGTAAATATTGAAATAAATTAATTAAATAGAGAATATAAAAACAGGGAAAATCAACTACATCAAATGTTGGCTATTTAAAAATATAAACTAAGTTGACAAGCTTTTAGACTGACCAAGAGGAAAAGAATAAAGATTCAAATTAAAGAGGGCATTACAATCAACCTTGCAGAAAGAAAAACAACAAGGAAGTGCTAAGAGTAACTGTGTGACTACTATTAGACCATTCCTAGAAATACACGAACTGTCCAAAGTAACTCAAGACAAAATAAAGTACCTGAACTTCTTTACTTATATAACAGGTGTTTTGGTTTGAGTGTGTACCCTTCAAAATTCAGATGTTAAAATTTAATGTGATGGTATTTAGAGGTGAGTCCATTAAGAGGTTCTCCTCACATGTCTGTCCCCTTTAGAGAATACAAGCCTCACCAGACAACCAAATCTACTCATGCCTTGATATTGGACTTCCTAGCCTCCAGAGCTCTGAGGAGATAAATTTCTGTTCTTTATAAATTATCTAGTCTGTGGTATTCTGTTATAGTGGTGCAAACAGACAAATAAAGAAATTGAATTAGTAAAATTAAATAAATAAATAAATTCTACCGATATAAAAAAGCCCACATGTGGATGTATCCCTGGTGAATGTTACCACACATTTAAAGAATAATTGATAGCTGTTCTTCACAAAGTCTTCCAAAAAATGGAACTCGAGGAAACATTCTGTAATTCACTCTATCATCAAAATTTATTGGATTACCCTGAAACCAAAATAACACAAAGACACAAGGAAAGGACACAGCGTGACAGCTCTTATAAATACACATACACAAATTCTTAACAAAATAATAATAAACTCATTCAGTAAATATAATAGGATTACAGACTATAACAAAATATGATTTATCCATGCAAGATTGGTTTAACATTTAAAAATCCACTAATATAATATGCTATATCAATAGAATAAAAGAAAACAAATCATTTTCTCAATGGATGCACAAAATACTATTTTAAAAACGCAGCACTGTTTCAAGAGAAAAAACACTCAGCAAACTAGAAATAAAAGGAAACTCCTCCATCTGATAAAGAACATCTCATCTACAATAAACCCACAGCTAACATAAATACTTAATTGTGTAAGACTGAAGGCTTACACAATCACTACCATTTTACTATCAAGAGCTGGACAAGGATGCCCACTTGCATTAATTGTGTAAACATTGTACTGAAAGTTCAACCTAGAGTTAATTAGTTAAGAATATGTAATAAAATATATCAATATTAATCCATGTTCCTAGTTATGTGTTAGTGTATTGGTCAAGCATCTTAGCTACAAACAGAATCCACTGTAGCTAAGTTAAGCAGGAAGTAAATTATTAAACAAAATATATCATTTGAAGATGCTATAGAAGTAGTCTCTAAGATGAGCTTTCAAGCACATTTTTATTAAAACCCTACATAGCTAGCCTGATTAAAAGTTGCAATCCCACATACACATAAACAAGTAAATTAATTGTTGTGAAGTTTCCTCATGAAAGCTTCCAAGGACATTTTGAGACAGCTCTCTTATCTTACAAGCATGTGCTTCTGCAAGGAAAAAAAATATATAAAAAGGGAAAAATAAGGAAGGAATCAAGGGTGAATGTGATGGACAGACTCAGAGGTGGTCCCTCATGATCCCAGGCTTAGTGCTATGCCACTGTGTTTCCCTTCTCCTTGAGTTTGGGCAGGATCTGTGGCTTGCTTCTAAACAATAGAACACAGCAAAGCTCTTGTGATGTTACTCACATGACAAGGTTACTTTTATACATTCAAGACTCTTTCCTGCTAACAGATTCTCATTAGAAACACTCCTTGCTGTCTTGATGAAGTAAGCAGACATGTTGGAAATCCACATGTAAAGATCTTCTAGGAACAGCAGACAGCCTCTAATAACTGAGGGTCACCTCCAGCTGACAGCCAGCAAGAAACCAGTGTTGTCAATCCTATAACTACAAGGAAATGAACGCTGCCAAGAACTCGAAGAGCCTGGAAGTGGATCCTTGACAAGTCAAGTCATGAGATGACCACAGCCTCAGTCAACACCTTGACTGTAGCTTCGTGAAACCCTAAACAGAAGACTTTGCTAAGCTGTGCCTAGAATCCTGTCTCAGAGAAACTTCAGATAATATATTTGTGTTGTTTTAAGCCACTAAATTTGTGGATATTTGTTACGTAGCAATGAAATACTAATGCAGGAAGTAAAAGAAAATCACTAAAATATACCATTTCTTAAATAAATAATGAACATAAAAGATACACTCTTAACAATCTGGAATTTAAGACAAGTAAATATTAAGCCAGGATAAATGGGAGGGTGAGGACTTATCAGAGAGAGATAAAAGTGTGCTATAATACTTATATTGCTTAGGAAGAAAATATAGATACTGGTAAGCTTTATGCATACATAGGAAAATATTACTGTGGTAATTAGTAATTTATAAGTAAATATTAAAAGAAATGTACATGTACAACTATCAATCAGTTAAAACAAAGTTAGAAACTTCTTTCAATGTAAGAAAAAAATCAGGAAAAAAATGAAGAAATAAAAGCATGAAAAATAGTATTTACAAAATAAGATGTCAGTACCTGAGTCCTAACATCAACAATTAAAACAAATATAAATGTATTAAGAGATTAAAAATGTGATAGTCTTAGGTGTTACAAAACCAACATGAAAAGACCTGGTGCTATGTTATTTTAGGAGACATGCTTAAAACTAATGAACAGAGCTAATGAAGATAGATAATGAAGGTAGATAATAGACAGACAATAGAAAAAGATAGATAATAGGAGATAGGTAATATGTGATAGATATACAAGGAATAGATGCACCAAAAGAAAGCTGGAAAAGAAATTATAATGTAAGACAAAATAATGAAAAAAATATTAAAAGGTAAAATGGATAATATCTGATGTTTGTGAAAGGAAGACTAAACTAAGTTGGCACAACCCTTCTGAACATGTGTGTCTATAACACCATAGTCCTGAAAAAGGTGAACTATCAGAAAATATAGAAAAATATTAAAATCTATAAATTGAAGATGAATGTATTTTAGTAATACAATGATATATGATATTCAAATCACATTATTAGCAAGCTTGACTAAACAGATGTAGATAGGACTTTGACGTAAAAATAAGTTAGAACAAAAATCATTTGTTATAAAGCATTCATTGGATGGTCATACATGTTGATTTGACCCGAGGTCAAATAATTCAATAAAGGATCATATGTTACATTTATGGGTCATGTCTTGCTTGTCTTGTTCAAGTCGAAAAATTCTAAGACTTTCCTTGATTTTTATAATGTTGTGATTTTCCAAGATACTCACATGTTTTGTTTTATCTGATGCTTTATCATAATTATATTCAGATTATGCATTTTTTGTCAAGAATATCATGTCATCCTTTCAAGTGATATACAATTTTGATTTCTCACATTAGTGATGTGCTAATTTTGATCACTTGATTTGGTGAAGTAAGCCAAGTTTCTCCACTGTAAAGTAATTGCCTCTTTGTAATTAAAAAGTGCTTTGTGGAAATTATTTTGAGACTATCCAGTATTCAATTTGTATGAAACTTCTACTCACAGTATATTCATTCACTGACATTTTGTACCACCAATAATCATTCCAATAGTTATCAGGTGGTGATTTTTTAATTCCAACATTTCTTCTAAATTTTTCAGTTGTCTTCTTACTTAAGAAAGAGCATTCTCTTCTACCTATTTATATATTAAGATATTTATTATATAATTTTAAATACATTGAGCTATTCTCCTAAAGAACCCTGATTGTTTCTAGTGGAGAATAAAATTAGAGTCCATGATTTCAGTGCTAATTATGTTCCTGGCTCTCTCACTTTCTCAAAGAACAGAGAGTTAGGAAACACACACATACAGATTTACAGTTATAATTATTTCTATATCTATTTATCTAATCTATTTATCCATCTATTTAAGAATTATCTATCAAAAACAAAATTCACAATATCTCAAATTTAATTTCCAATCCTACAACAGAGAGAATATTCTAGCTTTCTGTTTTCCATTTTTGTATCCTCTGACACTATAGGAGTACTATGTTGGAACTCACTGCTCTCTCTAAAATAAATTTTTCACAAATAAATACTTCATTAATTTTCAAAAGTTTGAAATTTTCACCCTCCTGATATGGGTTAGTCATCTAAACAAAATTGACTTAATTTTAAATTTGTGACGGCCTGTATTCTAACTCACTTTTAGTATCTAATGTCATTCAACTTCATGTTACCCAAAACTTACATTTTAGTTCCTATTACATTTTACTTTTTATTGAAATATTGAAAAAAAAACCTCATGTTTACTTTATGAATTATTTTTTTAAATAGAAAAATTTGAGGTAGACTATCTGAGAAATGTCAGATATAATCGCTTTACAGCTTATTATGTTCTGAGAGGCTGAACTCTATGAATACTCTTAAATGCATTAGTGGAATAACATCAGATTACCAGTAATTGTATTCTCTGTTTCTATTTTTCCTGCATAATACCACCTTATATAACCTTTTATGATTTGGTTCAAATTAGATTTGAGTTATAACTGCAAAGTTCTTGATATGGTTTGGCTGTTTGTCCCCACCCAAATCTCATCTTGAATTGTACTCCCATAATTCCCATGTGTTATGGGAGGGACCCAGTGGGAGATAATTTGAATCATGGGGACGGTTTCCCCAACTCTATTCTCATGATGGGTTTATCAGGGGTTTCCGATTTTGCATCTTCCTCATCTTCTCTTGCTGCCACCAGGTAAGAAGTGCCTCTTGCCTCTTGCCATGATTCCGAGGCCTCCCTAGCCATGTAAAACAGTACATCCAATTAAACCTTTTTGTCTTCCAATCTCGGGTATGTCTTTATCAGCAGCAGGAAAATGGACTAACACAGTTCTCATACTAAATTGATTAGGGAAGCGACCTAAGAGTTATTCTTTACCTGGATAAATAATGTAGAACACAGACTATGCAACCACACTAGATAATATGCAATTTCTATGTCTCATATATGGGAAAAATCCACAGTTGAATATGCTAATTTTCCCTACCACCAAAAAATGTGGAGGAAAACAGCAAAAATAAAACATTGTTATTTTTCAAATTCTAAATAAGAAGTAATAAAATAACTTTAAATATCAATCAACTTTTTATCACTTTTAAGAATAATTTTTTATTTTTTCAAGCATATTGAAAATCATTACCACTGTCTTTGACCTTCTATTTGCAAATAAATTTATTTTCCAAACTTTCCTAAGTTGTTTTCTTGCAACAGTAATAAAAAAAATGACCTTTGTAAAAGCTTTTCTAGAAGAGGCATCTGACACAAATTACAAAATAATACACATGCTTTCAAATGATAATTGGTATAAAATTTTGTTTAGGCCTATATCATGGATTTGAAGTTTCAATAAACCATTAATGAAGAAGATTTGGGGGGAAATAGGATAAAACTGTTTAAAATATCACTCAAAGTGTGTGTATGGAGAAAAGAGAGAAAACATTACAGATAAATAGCAAGTTTTAACTTCTTTACTGCATGGTCATAAAAGATAAAGGTGGCCCACTTTCCTCTTTCTCTGTACACACATTTTCAGATATCTGGTCTCTGCAGGAGTATAAGTTACCCAAAGTTCAAATCCTGGAATGCAACAGATTTGCCTGATTAAAGGAATAGTAAATAATTAACAATAATAACAAATGCATAAATATTATATATACTATAGATGTGTCATGAATGCTGATTTATCATTCTCTTGTAACATTTCGTTATGCCTGAGTTCCATTATAAAATCAAAATAAATGTTAAGTAATTCTAATTACTTTGTTGCCTCTATGATTCTTGAGGGATTAAAAAATAATTATCATTTAGGCAAATATTATCTTGTGAATAAGTAGAGGGTACAAAAAATAGTTATAAAAACATTCAACAGACAAATTACTATAATCTTCAAAACTGTTGCTGAGGTGATATAAATGTGGGAAAAAATAATGGAGGAAGTTAGAGTATTAAGAGTATTCTTGCTAAGACCTTTTAACATTCTATGATTTTTCTAATTTTCTGATTGTATAATTCTAAGTAATGAATGTATTTTAAAGTTAAGCAAAGTCATTTATTATGATTATATAGTTCAAATCATAAATGAATTTAGAGTGTTGATTCATATTGTATTTTGGGTGTTATGTATTATTTCCCAAAGTTAATGGACCCAAAGCCTTCATAGAATGGTTTTATCATGGTGAATCTATCATGAGCCAGAATCTGTTCTGAACTGTCACAATGCTTATATGGTGCATTCTTCTTTCTAAATCACATTCATATTAACCGTATTCACAGAGACTGGTACAAGAAAAACTTAAAGTACAGAGTTAATGATCAAATTATTTAATAATCAATACATCATGGGTACAAAACAATAAAATGGGAACCAGTATTGGTGTAAATCATTGATGACTTGCCTGCACTGAGAACCTGAAAACAAGCTTAGTAGATCCAACTTATTGTCATGGTAGGCAACCTAAAGGGGGAGCCAAATTATAATTAGAATGTTATTTGGATAGAGTGTAATAAAATAAAGGGAGTTAGCTCATCACTCAAAGATGGTTGACATTGCCAGCAGTCAACTAGTATTTCTCCCAGGATGCCGTCCACATATGCCAGTGCTCTCATGCCACCTCACTCCACCTCAGAGCAGAGAGAAGGCTTTGAGCAGAGACAATATCGTTAGGCTAAAGATGAGTCGGTTACATTCATAGAACTCACAGACAGGTTATCATAGCTTTCTCAGGTGGTCCAAACTAATTATACATACTTACATGTGGAGAATGTTTCCCAGTTTTGTTCAGAGAGTGAAGAATGTGATGATGAAAGAATGGTCAGAGAGATCCAGCTTTGCTGGTTTTGAAGAAGGCGGAAGGAGGCCATGAGAAAAGGAATGTGGGCAGCCTTTTGAAATTAGAAAATGGATTTCCTTCCAGGACCCTCAGAAAGTCTCACTGCCTTACCAACACCTCGATTTTAGTTCAATGAAACTTAGGATAGATGCATAATACCATAAAATAATGAATTTATGTTGATTTAAGTCACTAAATTTGAGTAATTTGTTACCGCGACTATAAACAACTGGTACAAATGTAAATAGTAATCATGGGTACAGATGTAAAGGCAAATGGTAAGCTCTCTATGTAGCTAAAGTGTCAATGAATTAAAATCTAAGTTCAAAAATATGTGCAGCAGGAATAAAGAAATATAAAAGGTGAAACAAAAGATGTTAGAATAGAATGTTAAAGTGAAACGTATCTTAAAATTATGGAGATGTATATATGTATTCTTCAAATTATTATATAGAACTATAAGCACTCCTTAAACTTTTTAGGTGCAAGTGACAGTGAGTAGGTAAGTTGTATAAGTTTTAATTCTCTCGTGAATAAAATGGTGATAATAGTGCTATCTCTTCAAAGTTGTCATAATGAAGAATAAATGATCTATGTCAGTACAGTAGCACATTTACTGGCACATAGATATAATATGCTAATATTGTAAACAAAATGCTTATGTGCTGTATATAATTCATTACATAGTGGTTTCCAAAGTCTCATCAGCTCTAGATAACATCAATGGAAAGTACATTTTATGTTTATAATCTCATGCCTATCTAATTAATCCCTTTAAGTATCCTGTGTCTAAGGTAGTAAACTAAACTCACCTCCAGACTCTTTAAAGCCCAAAGTTCAGAAATAATAATTTTTAAATGGGACTATAAAAACACATGTCCCCAGAATTTTAATAACAAAATTTAATTGCAACAATCACATTGGTTTAAAAAAATTATTTAAAAATATAGGTTCCTTTATATCTATAACTATATATCAACATTGTCTTCAATGAACGGAAAAATTAACCTTTGAACTCAAAATATTTCTTGTTTTACATTCTTGAATCAACCTATTCATTGGCGCAGGTCTTATTTATAGGATTAGACTATTTTATCCAACAATCCCTGTGGTCAAAGTATAACATAATAACTTCCCATTTTTAAATTCCAGGCAAAACTGCACTGTTTATCCTATTTTAGATAGCCTATTATCTTATGGTACAAGGCACAGAGTTAAAAATAAACTTGCTATCAACAATTTGACTGAGGTATTTGTTCCCTACCAGACATTATTAAAAGAAACCTTCCTACTACATGTTAAATAAAGCCTCTGCAAAGATTGAATTTTGGAAAAAAAAGAAATGACCTGATTAAAATTCCATAATGAACAATGAAAAAACTCTGCCTATATTAAACGTCAAACTCCCTGAAGGATAAGCTCGAGAAGCCACTGAGAAGTGGGTGCTCCTAGTTTACAGGAGCTATTATCTTCCCATTAATTTCAATACAAGAGAAACGTTGTTAGTCTAAAGACAAGTTCAAGTGGAAATTTTATCGTTGTTGCTTGTGTAGCTAAAACGTTCACTTTCTTAATGCCTTCAGTTGAGCTATGGCCAGGAGTACATAAAAAATTACCTCCTAGATGTAAAAACAAAGTCAGCAGAACAAGAACAACCAAAGAGCCTTTGTCTGATGTCTCTAGGAAGCATTCCGGATATCTCTCCTCTTCTTTGCTTAGTTCCCTTGTGTTACAACGCAGAATTCACAAAGAAGAGCCTACCTGCCCTTGTAAGAATAGGCTGGAAACCCCCACAATTAAGTGAACAAACCGTTAAAAGCTGAAAAACATAAATTATTAAGTTGCCATGATCACGTGAAAGTTGCAGATACCTGGGTAAAATCACTTTTGTCAGATCCCGACAAAAGAGGGACTGGAAAGCCCGAAGGAGAGGTGGCTCATGCTTACGTATCTAAGTAAGAACTATTTCCAAAGACTTTCTAAAAAGCCTTTTGAGTCCTTCACACATCTCATGCTTCGATAAGACAGTCTTTAGGACTGCAGTAATTCAGAGACATTCTCAGAACACTTGCCCAGTAACGGCATCTCCACCAATGAGCAGACAACTCTGACTTCGAACCTCTGAAACCAACGAGCTCTTTCTAAGCAGCTATGTAACTCTCTTTTCACCAATGAAAGCTCCCCTTACCTTTCCTTCCCCAAATGCACTGGTGGCTTAGCCCTTCATGCATTCCAGGTTATATTTCTTGTTTTTATTTCTGAGTAAACACAACATATTTAGAGACAATTTTCTCTAGTGTATTATTATTATTATTAGGGTGGCAACAAGACATGTAAAGAATGTAAAGAGGCTTTCACTAATTTGTCGTGTGTCCTTTAACCAGGGAGAGCCAGCACTGCTGAGGCTACTTTCCCACCAAATGCAAGTCTGCATGAGGCAAAGCCACTTTCCGCAGACACCTGTGGCTCTCTCAAAGTTTTACTTCTGGGCATGTGAGCATGTCCTTTACCTGCTTAGGATACTCTTGGAATGTTGTAGAAGTAATGGATGTTGGAGAAGTGAAAGATGTTTTTCTAATAGTTCTTCAACAGTAAGTGGAGTTTTCAGCTTGTATGGAGGTGAATGGTATTTCTAACTTATTTTTTGATGCAGAAAATCATGATGGAATACTATGCAGCCACAGAGGCCATCAACTCTTCAACTAATGGCAGATGGAGTGTGTTCCTTGACCCCATGAGGGGCTTAGGTATTTGCTACATTTCCCTGAGCTCGCTAGCAGGACCAATAGCAATAATTTGTTTGGTAACATATACTCTATTGAGTTTTTGCCTATTACATATCATTTTTACACTCTCCTCTATTGTCGCCTGCATTCCATCCAAATAAATTACTTGCACTCAAACCATTGTCTCAGTTTCTACTTCTAGAGGAACTCAGCCTAAGAAACCTGACAATAGCATTAATCCTCCTCAAATGGTTCCACTAAGATTTTCCACTAATGTTGTTTTTCCTTGAAATACTGAAAACATGACCTGTAAATTATACATAAAATTATTTAGGTGTAACTTTGCTCATTTAGTCCAAAATATGCTTTTTCTTTTTCCTTCAGCATTTAGAAGAAACCATTCCTTTGTTGAGCATCAGAGGAAATAATCAACTTTCATTGGAGAGACATATTATATAAAAGAAGTACCTTTATTTATTTTATTTTATTTATTTATTCTTTTGAAATGGAGTTTCACTCTTGTTGCCCAGGCTGGAGTGCAATGGTGCGATCTCAGCTCACTGCCATCTCCACCTCCCAGGTTCAAGTGATTCTCCTGATTCAGCCTCCCAAATAGCTGGGATTACAGGTGTGCACCACCATGTCCAGCTAATTTTGTATTTTTAGGGTTTTCACCATGTTGCTCAGGCTGGTCTCAAACTCCTAACCTCAACTGATCCACATGCTTCAGCCTCCCAAAGTGCTGGGACTACAGGTGTGAGCCACCACACCAGGATCCAGAAGTATCTTTAAGACCTGGAATCCTGTGCAGCATGGTGAAATGTTTACACTGTTCAAAATATAAATAAAATGAGGCCAACTAAGGGAACAAATTATTAGAATGCCTTTCTCATATGCAAGCTATAGAGTAATTGAGTGATGGGGCAGATGGAATCTTCCACACTATTTACCCCACTCTGTTTTACTCTTTCCAGTGAAACAAAGTGTTTATTTGATTTGATCAAGAAAGAAAAATGGAGGGATATTTTTCTAACAGCTCTCCAACAGTAAGGAAAGTTTTTAGCTTGTATGAAGCTGAATGGTATTTCTAATTTATTTTTTGGTAGATAAAATCATGATGGAATACTATGCAGTCATAAAAAAGAACAAAATCATATCCTTTGTAACAAGATGGATGCAGCCGGAGGCCATTAGCCCAACTGAATTCCCACAGGAACAGAAAACCAGATACCACATGTTCTCACTTATAAGTGAAAGCTAAACATTCAGTTCATATGGACATAAGGATGGGAACAACATGGCTGGGCCTGTTGGCTCACACTCCCAACATTTTGGAGTCCAAGATGGTAGGATCACTTGAACCCAGGAGTTCAAGACATGCCTGGGCAACATAGAGAGACACTGTCTCTACAAAAATAAAAATAAAATATTAGCCAGGCACGGTGATGTATGCCTGTGGTCCCACCTACTCAGGAGGCTGAGGTGGGAGGATTGAGGCTGTAATGAGATGTAATCTTACAACCGTACTCCAGCCTATGTGACAGAGTGAGACTCTATTTCAAAAAATAATAAAATAAAGTAAAATAAGGAAAACAGCAGACACTGAGGACTAATAGGGGAAGGAGGGTGGGGGGGACTAGGGTTGAATTACTATTCTCACTACCTGAATAATGGGACCATTAGTACCAAACCCCAGCTTTCTGTGATATACCCACATATGAAACCTGCATGTATACCCCGAACCTAAAATAAAAGTTGAATTTTTTTTTTAAATAAAACATTATGGTCCTTTCAAAATATGTTATGAAAGAATTAAGCAGTCTTGATTCAGTTTTCATGGATTACATGATATCCTTTAACTCTTCACAATGACTTACACTGAAGTGGTCTGGCCTCTTTATGAGATTAGTGCGTGTAGTTTACTCCCTGAAACAGTCTGAGAATATTCTAGAACTCTTAGAATTAACGTTACAATTGCCAAATTCCCAGTTGACAAATGACAACTTAAAGGAAACAGACTTTGGACAAACAGTAGTAAAGGAAGTATATGATAAGCATATCTATATTTCCAAAAATAAATAAACAAATGAGGTGTGAATTAGCCAGGCCTTCAAAGAATGAGGACTATGGTAATATGCATATATGCTCAGCGGACCTTCTGAATTCAAAAGCAGTCTGAATAAACGGTCAATTAACTTCAAGGGAAAGGCTTATAGTCAAATTGTAGTCTCCCCCATTTCCAAGACACTTCAATATAGAGTGGGGATGTATATTGCTTTTTCTTTCTATGTAAATACTTTATTGTTTCATTAGCTACCTAGATTTGAAATGGTGTATGAACACAAGTCACTGAAATGATGCTTAATGAGCTGATATTGTAAAAATGCAGACTAGAAAGGGAAAAAAGTAAAAGGACTACAGGGGACTTGTTTTCTTACAGGAAACCACATTTTCTTCTTCACTGTTTTTATGATATTAGGCAATTCTTTGTTTAGAGTCCCTCTGACAAATTATTCTTATTTCTGTAACTATTTCTAGAGGTAGCAGTGTGGCATAGCTTTACAGTCATAAAATGTAGCCTCACAAGAAAGGGATATAAGCATTTCCTGAACATCTACTATATCTCAGAATCTATGTTAGGTGTTTTACATTTATTATCTAGTTTAATTTGACCTTCAGAGCAACAATATGATGCATTATAAATTGTGGTAAGAGCATATTTGAAAACTGAGTGTTTGGGTTATAATTGTGCCTCCACTTCTAAGGTATGTAATCTTGCGTAAGTCATTTCACTTCTCTGTGATTCAATGATTAAAACTGTAAAAAGAAAAGAGATGGTAACAACGGTACCTACATCATAGAGTTATTAGGGAATTTAAATCAGCTATTTTTAAAAAATGTTTAGATTACCATCTGGCAAATAATAAGCACTAAATAATATTTGTTTTAACCAACAATTTTAAAGTTAACAGGCGATTAAAAGGGTAACCAGAACTGTGTGAATGGGTTATTTTTCTAACTGATGAATCCAGATTAGGATTGACTGTGGATCCATCTGAATAGGTGTCCTTTCCCCCTATATTAAAAAATCATGATGCAGTAAACTGCTCAATGCCCTGCAGGTGAAAAGAAGCAAAAGACAAATTAAAACTCAGTGCCTGTGACATAGAAGACATTTGATGCGTATTTACGTGGGAGATGAATGAGCAAGTAAGTTAATAATGTGTCTGACTTCTGACTCTTTTTATTGTATTAGGTTGCTTCTAGCTCAGGCATATGAATATCAATTTAAGGAAAGCCTTTGGTCTCCCTGTGACATGTCGGATGAGTTGTATCATCTGTCCTATCAACTGCAAGCCTGTTACAGGACTTTGAAATGGTAAATGTGGTGAGGTATAGGAAAGTACTTTAAAAACCATAAAACACCATTTAGGTGTATGTATGCTGTTATCTGGCAGGTGATGTGCTGCATGTTGCAAAACAAACCTAGGATTAAACTTTACTAGTTTTATGACTTTGGTAACTGCCTAAACTCTCTAAACTTCACATATCTCATGGAGAAATGAGTGTAGTAGTTCCTAACTAATAGTGAAAAGTAAATGTGTCAGACAGTGCATATAAAGTCCTTAACTTAAAACTTATCATGGTGTTTATCAGTGCATAAAGTATTATGTGTCAACTAGATCTTCCTATTATCATATTATTGTTGTTATCATTATTGTATTTTTAGCAAGACACATTTGTAGGTAGCATTTCTTCTGAGAAATAGCAAATATCAGGCATACTACTAGGTCCCCACCCTGTGACAATGGCAGATGTTGCTAATTCACAATAACCTTTCTCTTCCTGCTGTATCAGGCAGCCACTACTGACTGAAATGATAAATGGGATGCAAGTTATGTGCTGCCATTCTCTCTTAAGTTTATTTTTGTAGACTGCATTAAATATGGACAATGAAGATCATGAATGACTCAAATGCAATTTTTATAACATTCATGGTTTCTTTAATAATCTAATCTTGAAGATACACTTTTGATGTAGAAGTGGAGTCCACCAGTAACTATTAGAAAATAGCAACTTTGAAAGTTTGTCTCATTTAATCCTTTTACATATCTATAATAATTATTATTTCAAGACCAGAAAACTGGTACTCAGAAAGGTAAATAACGCAACAAAAGTCACACAGCAATCACATATTGGAGCAAGGGACCTGAGTCCCATAATTACAAAAAACACAAAATAGCAAGTTTTCATATAACTGGAAGATTCCTAGGGGAGGAGGAAAGCCGTGCTTACTCACTGAGACTGCAAAACCCAATTCAAATCTAATCTCCTTTCCTGCAGCCTTATCTACATATCTCAATGTTTAATTCTCTTTTCAACATTTTTTTCATTTAAATATCATTCAGCTATTACTTTAATAAAAGCATCTTAAGTCACAGTCTCATAATGAGATAAGATTTACTTATAATAATTCTAGTAGAGGAAAGTGCCATAAATATATGGGGTTATATTAAAACATTCTCAAAGAATTCAGAGACAAGAAATGTCATTTTCACTTGTTTCATTGGAATTTTCGTTGTATAGAAAGTGATATTCAAACTGAGCTAAGAAGACAACAAAGGCGTGAAAAAGAAGGGGTTTATGCAACAGTGGAGTGTATTTAGTTTTTCTAGGTGATATGGTTTGGATCTGTGTCCCCATCCAAAACTCATGTTGAATTTGTGAACCTAGAAAATCTGAGAGAGGTCTCAGCTAATTTAGAAAGTTTATTTTGCCAAGGTTGAGAACATGCACCCATGACTAGCTGCAGGAAATCCTGACAACATGTGCCCAAGGTAGCCGGGGTGCAGCTTGGTTTTATACATTTTAGGGAGGCATGAGATATCAATCAAGTACATTTAAGAAATACATTGGTTTGATCCAGAAAGGCAGAACAAGTCAAAGTGGGGGCTTCCAGGCTACAGGTAAATTTAAACATTTTCTGGTTGACAATTGGTTGAGGAGTGTATCTAGAGAACTGGGATCAACAGAAAGGAATATTTGGGTTGAAATAAGAGGTTGTGCAGACCAAAGTTTTATCATGCAGATGAAGCTTGAAGCTAGCAGGCTTCAGAGAGAAACAGGCTGTAAAATGTTTCTTATCAGACTTAATGTCTGTGTTGATGTGAATGACGGAGAGGTTTAATAAGGCATGTCTGACCCCCGCTTCCCTTCATGGCCTGAACCAGTCTTTCAGGTTAAATTTTAAGAGCCCTGGCTGAGAAGGTAGTCCTTTTAGATAATTTTTTTTTGGAGGGGTGCCTTAGAATTTATCTTGGTTTAAATTCTCCTTCTTCTGGCCAAGATTTGCCAGAGGCAGCATCAAAGGCCAGCAATACTTATACTGTCCCATAGCATTGGCAGAGTGGCATGACTGCCTACTCTGGGTCCACGTTGTCCCTTGGTGGGACTCCCTATGGCTGAGGGCTTTAAGAATCAAAAGACTTATAGCCAATTAATTGTTGTAGGTCAGATACAACTGGATGTGGACAGGCATTCATTTACCTCTTAAAATTGTTATTTTAGGAGGTGGCTATCAAGATGGCCAAATTGGAACAGCTCTGGTCTGCAGCTCCCAGCAAGAGCAATGCAGAAGGCAGGTGATTTCTGCATTCCCAACTGAGATACCCAGCTCATCTCATTGGGACTCGTTAGACAGTGAGTGCAGCCCACGGTGGGCAAGCTGAAGCAGTGTGGCCATCGCCTCACCTGGGAAGCTGAAGGGGTTGGGGATCTCCCTCCCATAGCCAAGGGAAGTAGTGAGGGACTGTGCCGTGAGGGACTGTGCCGTGAGGAACAGTGCATTCTGGCCCAGATACTACACTTTCCCCATGGTCTTTCTAACCTACAGACCAGGAGATTCTCTAGGGTGCCTATGCCACCAGGGCCTTGGGTTTCAAGCACAAAACTGGGTGGCTATTTGGGCAGACACCAAGCTAGCTGCAGGAGCTTTTTATTTTTTTATTTTTTGTTTTTTCATACACCAGTGGCACCTGGGATGCCAGCAAGAGAGAACTGTTACTCACTTGGAAAGGCGGCTGAAGCCAGGGAGCCAAGTGGTCTAGCTCAGTGGAGTCCACCCCTCCAGAGCCCAGTAAGCTAAGATCCACTAGCTTGAAATTCTCGCTGCCAGCGCACCAGTCTGAAGTCGACCTGGGATGCTAGGGCTTGGTGTGGGGAGGGGCACTTGCCATTACTGAGGCTTGAGTAGGTGGTTTTCCCCTCACAGGGTAAACAAAGCCTTTGGGAAGACACAACATACCCGAATCTCTGGGACACAGCTAAAGCAGTGTTTAGAGGGAAATTTATAGCACTAAATGCCCATAGGAGAAAGTGGGAAAGTTCTAAAATCAGCACCCTAACATCACAATTAAAAGAATTCAAGAAGCAAAAGTAAACAAATTCAAAACCTAGCAGAAGAGAAGAAAGAAGTAGGATCGGAGCAGAACTGAAGGAGATAGAGACACAAAAATCCCTTCAAAAAATCAATGAATCCAGGAGCTGGTTTTTTGAAAAGATTAACAAAATAGATAGACTGCTAGCCAGATGAATAAAGAAGAAAAGAGAGAAGAATCAAATAGACACAATAAAAATGATAAAGGGGATATCACCACTGATCCCACAGGAATAGAAACTACTATCAGTGAATACTATAAACACCTCTAGGCAAATAAACTAGAAAATCTAGAAGAAATGGATAAATTCCTGGACACATACACACTCTCAAGACTGAACCAGGAAGAAGTTGAATCCTTGAATAGACCAATAACAAATTCTGAAATTGAGGCAATAATTAATAGCCTACCAACCAAAAAAAGCCCAGGGCCAGATGGACTCACAGCCTAATTCTAGCAGAGGTACAAAGAGGTGCTAGTACCATTCCTTTTGAAACAATAACAATAAAATAAAGAGGGACTCCTCCCTAACACATTTTATGAGGGCAGCATCATCCTGATACCAAAACCTGGCAAAGACACAATAAAAAAAGAAAATTTCAGGCCAATATCCCTGATGAACATTGATGTGAAAATCCTCAATAAAATACTGGCAAACCAAATCCAGCAGCACATTAAAAAGCTTATCCACCACGATCAAGTCAGCTTCATCCCTGGGATGCAAGGCTAGTTCAGCATATGCAAATCAATAAATGCAATCCATCACATAAACAGAACCAATGTCAAAAACCACATGATTATCTCAATAGAAGCAGTAAAGGTTTTCAATAAAATTCAACACCCCTTCATGCTAAAAACTCTCAATAAACTAGGTATTGACAGAACGTATCTCAAAATAATAACTATTTATGACAAACCCACAGCCAATATCATACTGAATGGGCAAAAACTGGAAAACCTTTGAAAACCGGCATAAGACAAGGATGCCCTCTCTCACCACTCCTATTCAACATAGTATTGCAAGTTCTGGCCAGGGAAATTAGGCAAGACAAAGAAATAAAGCGTGTTCAATAGGAAGAGAGGAAGTCAAATTGTCTCTGTCTGCAGATGACATGATTGTCTATTTAGAAAACCCCATCATCTCAGCCCAAAATCTCCTTAAGCTGATAAGCAACTTTAGCAGTCTCAGGATACAAAATCAATGTGCAAAAATCACAAGCATTCCTATACACTAATAACAGACAAACAGAGAATAGATTACCTGGGAATACAACTTACAAGTATGTGAAGGACCTCTTTAAGGTGAACTACAAACCACTGCTCAAGGAGAGGTACACAAACAAATGGAAAAACATTCCATGCTCATGCATAGGAAGAATCAATATGGTGAAAATGGTCATACTGCCCAAAGTAATTTATAGATTCAATGCTATCCCCATCAAGCTATCATTGACTTTCTTCACAGAATTAGAAAAAACTACTTTAAATTTCATATGGAACCAAGAAAAGAGCTTGTATAGCCAAGACAATCCTAAGCAAAAAGAACAAAGCTCGAGACAGCATGCTACCTGACTTCAAACTATACTACAAGGCTACAGTAACCAAAACAGCATGGTACTGGTACCAATGGAACAGAACAGAGGCCTCAAAAATAATGCCACACATCTACAACCATTTGTTCCTTGACAAACTTGACAAAAACAAGCAATGGGGAAAGGTTTCCATATTTAATAAATTGTGTTGGGAAAACTGGGTAGCCATATGCAGAAAACTCAAACTGGACCCCTTCCTAACACCTTATACAAAAATTAACTCAAGATAGATTAAAGACTTAAACGTAAGACCTAAAACCATAAAAAACTCTAGAAGAAAACCTAGGCAATACCATTCAGGACATAGACATTGGCAAAGACTTCAAAACTAAAACACCAAAAGCAATGGCAACAAAAGTCAAATTTGACAAATGGGATCTAATTAAAATAAAGAGCTTCTGCACAGCAAAAGAAACTATGATCAGAGTAAACAGGCAACCTACAGAATGGGAGAAAATTTTTGCAATCTATCCATCTGACAAAGGGCTCATATTCAGAATCTACAAGGAACTAAAACAAATTTACAAGAAATAAACAACCCCATAAAAAAGTGGGCAAAGGACACGAACAGACACTTCTCAAAAGAAGACATTCATGCGGCCAACAAACATGAAAAAAAGCTCATCATCACTGGTCATTACAGAAACACAAATCAAAACCACAAAGAGATACTCTATCTCACACTAGTTAGAATGGTGATCATTAAAAAGTCAGGGAACAACAGATGCTGGAGAGGATGTGGAGAAATAGGAACACTTTTACACTGATATTGGGAGTGTAAATTAGTTCAACCATTGTGGAAGAGAGTATGGCGATTCCTCAAGGATCTGGAACCAGAAATACCATTTGACCCAGCAATCCCATTACTGGGTATACACCCAAAGGATTGTAAATCATTCTACCATAAAGATATATGCGCACATATGTTTATTGCAGCATTATTCACAATATCAAAGACTAGGAACCAACCCAAATGCCCATCAATGATAGACTGGATTAAGAAAATGTGGCACATATACACCATGGAATACTATGCAGCCATATAAAAGGATGAGTTCATGTCCTTTGCAGAGACATAGATGAAGATGAAAACCATCATTCTCAGCAAGCTAACACAGGAACACAAAACGAAACACCATGTGTTCTCACTCATAAGTGGGAGATGAAAAATGAGAACACATGGACACATGGAGGGGAACATCACACACTGGGGCCTGTTGTGGGGTGGGGGGACTAAGGGAGGGATTGCATTAGGAGAAACACCTAATATAGATTATGAGTTGATGGGTGCAGCAAACCACCATGGCACGTGTATACCTGTGTAACAAACCTGCACGTTCTACACATATATCCCAGAACTTAAAGTGTAATATAAAATATTGTTATTTTAAGTAAAAAGCCAACAAACAAAACCAAAAGGCAAAATTATGAGACTGACTTATTTCTAACCTCTATGTGTTGAGTTACTGTAAACTTGGTTTTTGGTACAGACTTATGGCAATTATCTATATACAAAATAAGCATTGTTCTGAAAATAATTAAAAAATATATATATATTTATCTTCTTAACTTATAAGTAGAATATTATACCCAGGAAGCTTTGTTACAAGGTATTTTTACCCTGTAAAGAAATGTTTTTCTTTAATTCTATAGTAAGCAGGAAATTCTCTGTGGTTGGGGTGGATGCAAAGTTGATACATAATTGTTTAGAAGGCAACTAAACTTGTTTTACTAGTTGTTTAGGCATATTTGTACCCCTTCTTGATTTGGAGGGTTTGATCTTGACCTAATTTTATCCCTCAAAACTGGCCCTTATAATCTTATGCACCCACCTCTTCTGCAGTATCCCCTGGGCCTGGAGGAAGGGTGCTTGTGTGGTTGAGCGGCGGAGCATTCACAGTGAAACTGATCCAGGCCTCCTGGGATGCCAAATGAGGGAGATTCATGTCTCTGGTATGATGATTTTGGTATCCTGGAAAGTCAAACAAGGAGAGATAAATAACATTTATAATTTGACAATTATAAGACTAATTTGTATGTCAGAACAGGAAAATAAACTATTCCATTAGGGCACCAACTAAAAATATGAAGAAAAATTATAATCTGGTACTCTCTGGAGAATTACTGTAGCCAATAAATAATGATTTATTCTGCACTCAAAAAAAAAAAGTTGGGGCTGAGATTTAGCATTAGGTGTTATGCTTTTCCCTCGAAACAATTTATTGAGCTTTTTTTTAATTAAAGAGATATTATAGCAGGACCATTTTGTGTACAAAATAAGTTTTAGGCTTATTAAATTCAGTCTGATTATTTTGCATAGAATGCAGCAAGAATTGATTGGCCATGGAGGCTTTTTTAAGTTGGCCTTGCCTGAACTTTACCTACAAATACGCTAGTTTAGTTAAAGTCTTAGAAAAATAACTGGTGTCTCCAGTTGTTTCAAAATACTCTCATTGAATTTATGCAGATAACTATATTGTCATAAAATTACAAATTGAATTTTAGAACTTAGACAAAAAGGTAAACTTGCTTATAAAAACATATGTTACCCAAATAACTTAAAAGCAAAATATTTTTTGACCCTTCTTTAACTAGAGCAGCAGCTTTTAAAACAAGACGTTGATTTACCTTGGAAATTCCATTTACAAACCAAGCAGCTCACGAGAAGTGCCTATTAGGCACTGTGGAATTTAGCAGCTCCTCATAATTAGTCTTTGGAAAGAGTCTCCTGCTTATTAGGTAGCAAGATTTTATGTAAACCATTTTTATTTTATCATGGAACTCTTTTGAGAAACTTTGTTTCCATTAGCATAGGGGTAGCTTCAGTTAGTGTTCCATAGCAAGGCAGTAAATGCCCTAAGCAGAAATTCTCTAGTTCAGTCGTTATTGAAAAGTACTCATAATGTTTGGTATCAGCCCTGAAAAAAGCTCCACATAAAGGGCTATGCAGTGGAGATTTGTCCCAACTAGCAGTCGAACTTTTACCCTGTATTTTGTGGGCTCAGGCAATTTACTAGTTCCCATTTAGCATGTGCAATTAACATTTCTTAAAAGAACAAATTTATATGTCTTCAGTTTAGGAAACATCTCCCAGTTAGATATAGTACCCATTTTCGTAAGACTTTTCATAAAGGGGTTACAACTACCTTACATAAAGCTTGTTTAAACATCTTAAATTTCATAATTTTATCAACCTTTATGTTTTTACGTTCTGGGTCCCAGATTATATATATATAACATCTTCAGATAACTATTTTACCTTTTCTGGTGAAAAAAAAAAATAAAAGGATTTGGGTTCCCAGCAGGGAGTTGCATCTGTTAGACCTATGAGGGACAGCAAATTTGATAAGGCTTCTTAAACAGTCCTGTGATTCTATGGGACGGGCACCCATGAAAAAGGGACCCCTTAACCCTCAAATTCACCACGACTTGGGTAATAGACATATTTGGTGGGAGGGTGTTTCAGTTACCATAAAGCTAGTCCAACATGGCTTGCACATGAAGCATATTAACTGCTTCATCTGGGGTGCTTCCCTTAGTATTTTATAGGGAGAGTTGGGTAGTCCCCTTCTCAAAGCAAACAGACCTTACATTGGCATTTATCCAGCCCATTAGGCTGCTTGCTTTTTCAGGAATAATCCCCTGTGCATTTGGATCACATATACTCATCAGTGATTGTTCAGTAGTGAGCTGTGGGTCCTGCATTAATCCAAACCAGCTCTTAAATTCTGTACCATTTAAAATTAAGAAGCTGAATGATATCAATGTATGTAATTATTTATTTATTTATTTATTTATTTATTTATTTTTAACATTATACCCTCTGGTTTTACATAGTTACTTGTTTTACCCTTCCTCCATATCAACTATTTTCTTGGGAACCACAGTGTTCAGAGTAAACTTCCATTGCCCTGGCTTGTTTTTTTCTTTTTTTTTTTTCCCCAATTCAGTTAGTTTTATTTGTATACTTTTCTTCATTATAAAGCAACTCCTCATAATAGTTTCTTAAGCAAAAGGAAACCTGCATTTTTGAATATTGACATCTTTGTGTTTTATACAATTTTACCAAAAGCATATTTTATCTCCTACTTTTTTAACTTTTTAGTAACCCAAATTTCCAGTGGCAAGGGGGAAACTCGAGGGTTTAACGTGACTTTAAGATTTTAAATTACTGGAGGTTATTGAGATTAAATTTACTAAACTACTTTTACCAAAGATTACCAAGGTCATGTGAATTGAAAGTCAGCTGGGTTAGTTTCTACCAATCTGATAAGCATTTACATTTTCTAAGTTACTTGATTAGAGCTCTTTCCTGTGGTTTGGTAGTGATATATGAGTTCCACACGACACAAATAAAGATAGGGATATAACAGGCACTCAGAGTAAAATATATGTCCAAAAGATACTTTACTTGCCTGTATTCAAAAAAAATTTTTTCTCCCTTACTTTAGATAGTTAGTAAAAGTTACAGAAGCCAACAAAAGGTGAAGGAGAGAGCCATCATTCAAGGTCTTTTCAAAAGAATAAAAGTGGTACTTTTAAGATATCAATCTGAAGAATGTTAAAGAGGCAGATATTAAAATTTAACAATTTTTCATATTAAAAATAAGTTAATATTTGTAATAAAACTTGTTTTAAACAATTATTTAGTTTTGTATTAGTGCATTTTTAAATATCAACACTCATCTCTAGAAAGACTATTATAATTTCTTTTTAATCACAGCCAACTGAATTATAAAATCTCTTTAAAAATTACTTTTATTAATCTTATTATGACCTACATAGACCATTCACAACGTGCTTAAACTTTCTGTTTTTCCCCAAATATCCCCTTTTCTTGAACAAACCAGTCATTTTATTTTAGGGTAAAAATCCACCACACAACATTATTTCTTACATAAAATTCCTTTCCTTTTTACCTTCTTTACCAAAAAATACCTCTTTGTATCTTTAGCTTTGTGTCTCATTTCCTGATTTCTTTACCTTGTTTTATATATATCCCTTAAATAAGCTTTGAATTAGACAAAGATATTTACCTTTTAATGAGAAATTTAAACAATGTTTAAAATTGGAAATGACCCAGGTACTTAATATCAATTAATGACCTTAGATCTTAAATCGTGATGTTAGTGTACACGTATTTATTCCATTATTTACGTGATTAATTTATTTAATAGTTTAACTAGATTATTTACAAAAACTGTGATAGCCAATATTTAAAGTTATTTGCCTATTAGCAATTTTTTATATCTGTGAATTTCTGGTATTTACTTAAGTAATAAAACATATGGTTTCATTAAAGGGTACTTATTCCAATAACTCAGGATTTAGCTGTTTTCATTAAGCCAACAATATTTCATAAGCATACACAAGCAAAGATAACTCTGTCTTGGGCTGGGTTTTATAGTTTTATAACCCTTATGGCAAATCTTATAGTATTCTGCAGGAATAAACCCGAAATCATTTGATAAAAAAAATACTAACAATTCATAAGACATTGCTAATATCATTTTATCAATACTTTTAAAGACACCTTATTTATTAAAGAGTTTACTTAAGTCACGTGAACAAAAAGCATTTGACTAGTCTTGTTTTAAAGTATCTGATTTAAGCACTTGTATTTTTTAAGCCAATTAATTAGAGCTCTTTTATATATTTTTAGGAGTGAAACATTGTGTACACAACACATAAATAGATAGACGTATTAGGCATGCCAATGGAAGTACCTTTTATTGATTCATAAAGAACCCCCCCACTTTTTTTTTTCCTGTCTTAGACTTTCAGATTCTTGATAACCTGCTGACAACCCTAGGCAGTCGTCAGATAATGACTTATATTTGCATAATAAAGGAAACAACTTAAGTGAAAATCAAATAGCATAAGTAAATCATAAGGTACAGAGAGAAAAAGTCTGGTAGTGCTAGAGAGAGAGATGCTAAAATCAGGCAAAAACAGAATTCAGTCAACTAAGAAGAAAAAAACACTTTTTCCCCCCAAAAAAAGACAAGGTCTTAGAAGAGATAAACAACAAGAAGAAAAAAACGAAAACATGAAAGCTTTTAAAATACAAATACAAACATGCACACATATATGCACACATCATGGATGTTAGCCTTTTAATTAAGCTGACTTTTAACCATTGAGTTCCTTTTAAATAAATATTTTAAAATCTCTTATTACCTTATTTCGGCTAGGACAAAATGCTGCTATTTCAGAAGTACAGCCATTGCTCTTTCAGGTTGGTCTGGCTGGCAAAAAGGTGGTCTTGTTATATAAATAAAGCCCCTTTAGTAGTCAAAATAAAAAATCTTCCCTTTTTTTTTTTTTTTTCCTTTTGCTGGCCATTTTCCTCTCCTAACCATACCACCCTTTTGTGTGTGTGTGAGTTTTTAGCCATTTCAGCAGTCTTGTTCCCCGTGATTTGGCATTCCCCTTCAGATTTGACCAAGCTGGGACATGCGTCGGACTCAAAATGTGCCACTTGCAGACCTAGCTTTTCAGGGCCATTACTCCATGAACCGATTCAGACCACCTGTGTTGTGGCTACGTGGCACAGTGTGTCAGGGGCTCAAGGTCCGGGAGGGGTCATCTCCTTATATACACCTGCCAGCCCTAAGTACATTCTTTTTAGGGGGAAATCTATTTAGAGCCACTGCATATCTCAGGGAGTGTTCCTCCCAAACACCCTCATGTGATTCTCAGTTGCCTGAGAATGCCCCAAAAGGATGAGGCAAGTGCGGTGCTCTTATTTATTTGGAGTAGAAGATTCCACACTCATGAGCTAGAGGGTTATGAGTTGGTCAAATCCGATAAGGGAAAGGACCAAAACACACACACATACACACACACACAAAATCCAACAAGACAGAAACAAACAACAAAACAGTTAAGCAAAACTAAGAATGATCACACAAATTACAAGATTTCTGAGTGCTCTAAGAGTAAGCAGAAATTAATGCCAGGTGGTTGTTAATGCTAACTTTAGTCATTTAAGAAGAATTTGCAAGACAGAATCCCAAATCAGTTTCTTACCTAATGTTGCATCTCAGGCTATAGACTGCTCTCTACCATCTTAGAAGCAGGAAACAAAACAAAACACTAATCTTTCCTGTTGGAAGTGAGCTCAAACTCCATAAAGGAGTTACCGGCCTTCCATCACTATGGAAGCAGGAAAGCTTGCATTCCTCATTGGAAGCAAGTAAAACTCCCAAAAAAGAGGGGTTGTACAGCAAAATAAACTTTAGATATTGATAAAATGTTGGAAGATCAGAGATTTTCTGGAGGGGTGTTCTCAGATCTCAGCAAATTGTCCTATTGGTGTGAGCCATAAAATCTCATGCTGGTACCAAGCACCAATAGAAGATTTGTCAAAGGTCAGAGTCATCTTCACTCAGAATCCCTCTGTGGTTACCAAAAAGGTGAACCCAGAAAATCTGAGACAGGTCTCAGCTAATTTAGAAAGTTTATTTTGCCAAGGTTTAGGACACGCACCCATGATGCAGGCTCAGGAAGTCCTGACAACATGTGTCCAAGGTGGTTTCGGTGCAGCTTGGTTTTATACATTTAAGGGAGGCATGAGACATCAGCCAAGTATATTTAAGAAATACGTTGGCTTAATCCAGAAAGCTGGTGCAATTCAAAGTGGGGGCTTCCAGGCTACAGGTAAATTTAAACATTTTCTGGTTGACAATTGGTTGAGTTTGTCTAAAGACCTGGGATCAGTAGAAAGGAATATTTGGGTTGTGATAACAGTTGTGGAGACCAAAGTTTTATCATGCAGATGAAGCTTTTAGCTAACAGGCTTCAGAGGAAAACAGGCTGTAAAATGTTTCTTAACAGACTTAAAGTCTGTGTTGATGCTGATGCTGGAGATGTATAATGAAGCATGTCTGACCCCCACTTCCCTTCATGGCCTGAACCAGTCTTTCAGGTTAAATTTTAAGAGCCCTGGCTGAGGAGAAAGTCCATTTAGGTGATTGTGGGTGGGCAGGGGGTGGTTAGGATTTTATTTGGTTTACAAATTTTAATCCCCGATGTTGGAAGTGGGCGTTGGTGGGAGGTGAGAGGTGAGTGGATCATAGCAGTGAGTTTTCCCCTTTGATGCTGTTCTGGTGATAGAGTTCTCATGAGATCTGGTTGTTTAGAAGTTTACAGCACCATCCTTCTCTCTCTCTTTCTCCTGCCCTGGCCATGTAAACACGCCGCTTCCCCTTCTGCCATAACTGAAGGTTTCCTGAGGCTTCCCCAGAAGCCGTCAAGCTTCCTGTAGAGTTTGTGGAACTCTGAGTCCATTAAACCTCTTTTCTTTATGAATTACCCAGTCTCAGGTATTTTTTAATAGCAGTGTGAGAATGGACTAATACTGGGATACTTGGATTCATACTAGGCAGTTGTAGAAGATAAAACAATATAAACATAATAGGGATAGACAGGGCATAGTTTCCTTTTTTTATTTTTATTTTTTCATTTACATTCTTTTTTATGCTTTAAGTTCTGGGCTACATGTGCAGAACATGCAGTTTTGTTACATAGGTATACATGGGCCATGGTGGTTTGCTGCACCCATCAACCCATCTTCTACATTAGGTATTTCTCCTAATGCTATCCCTCCCCTAGCCTCCCATCCCCCAACAGCCCCCAGTGTGTGATGTTTCCCTCCCTGTGTCCATGTATTCTCATTGTTCAACTCCCACTTATGAGTGAGAACATATGGTGTTTGGTTTTCTGTTCTTGTGTTAGTTTGCTGAGAATGATGGTTTCCAGCTTCAGCCATGTCTCTGCAAAGGACATGAACTCATCTTTTTTTATGGCTGCATAGTATTGCATAGTGTATATGTGCCACATAGTTTTCATTTCCAAATCTAGACTTTGGATTTTGTGTGTAGTTGACATTGTGCTGAGAGAGTCGGGCTCACCCTCAGGAATGAAAATTCAGTTTCCATTTGTTGGGAGGACTGGCTCCCTTCCTCAGTTAAGGATGATGCTGATGAGTTACCTCAGGTGTTGTGAATGCATCAAGTATCACAGCTGAACTCCTGCCTCCGTCCCATCCTACTCACTTCCCTGCCCCCACAGGCATTTATCTGGGCATATCTCTGAATAAGGAAAACACACTGTTTTTACACTATACTCTCGGCTATTCTCACTTCTGACATCAAATGTTAATTTTCGTTTTCCCACACCAAGCAATTCCCCAATTCTTTGCAGACACAAACTGAATGCCCTACAATTTAGCTCAATTCGGACACTGTCTACCTGGAGAGAGCGTAAAATCCCACAGATTAAGAGGTCAGATCCACAAGACTTCCCCTATGTCAGATACCAATAACAAGTCCAATTTGTTACCTGTGCTTCGGGCTGACTGGCTGTAAGTCAGAGATTCCCATGTCCCCTTTCTCAGGTTCCACCATTTGCTAGAATGGCTCACAGAACTCAGGAAAACTTTGCTTAGGGTTAGCATATTGTTATAAAGAATAAAACTCAACAGCAGCCAGATGGAAACGCTGTATAAGGCAAGGTATGAGGGAAGGTGCACTGAGCATTCATGCCCTCTCCACGTGCTCCACCCTCTGGATGCCTCCAGCACATCCAAGTGCTCACCAGCCTAGAAGCTCTGCAAACCCCATCCTCTTCGGTTTTTATGGAGGCCTTATTACATACACATGACTGACTCAATCATTGGCCATTAGTGACTGACTCAACCTCCAATCCCTCTTTTCTCCCAGAATATCAAGGTAGGGACTGAAAGTCACAATCACTTAGTTGGTTCCCCTGGCAACCAGCCCCTATGCTAATGCTATCCAGTAACTGCCCCCCAGCACCAGTCCTCTCACTAGCATACAAAAGACACATCATCTCAAAGATTGCAAGAGTTTTAGAAGCTGTATGCTGGGTCATGGGGGCAGAGATCAAATATATTTCTTATTATATTACAACTTCCTAATAAACTTGATGCACACTAATCCCTATTGGAGAATCTATTTTCTTGGGAACTTGACTTTTAATAATCGCAAAATATGAAAAAAAGGTATTATAGAATATTTAAGATGCAAAAAAGTACATAAGACAGTTAATACAATTGCTTCTTTTCTTTTTTTTTTTTTCCTTTTTTTATTTGCGACGGAGTCTTGCTCTGTCGCTCAGGCTGGAGTGCAGTGGCGCTATCTCGGCTCACTACAACCTTCCTCTCCCAGTGAGAGACAGGACTAGCTGGATTTCCTAGGCCGACTAAGAATCCCTAAGCCTAGCTGGGAAGGTGACGCATCCACCTTTAAACACAGGGCTTGCAACTTAGCTCACACCTGCCCAATCAGGTAGTAAAGAAAGCTCACTAAGATGCTAATTAGGCTAAAACAGAAGGTGAAGAAATAGCCAATCATCTATCGCCTGAGAGCCCAGGGGGAGGGACAATGATCGGGATATAAACCTAGGCATTCCAGCCGGTGACGGCAACCCCTTTTGGGTCCCCTCCCATTTTGTGGGAGCTCCGTTTTCACTCTATTAAATCTTGCTGCTGCACAGTCTTCTGGTCTTTCTCAGGGCTGGAGCTGAGCTGAGCTTCCGCTTGCTGTCCACCACTGCTGTTTGCCCGTTGCAGATCCGCCGCTGACTTCCACCCTTCTGGATCTGGCAGGGTGTCAGCTGTGCTTCTGATCCAGCTAGGCGCCCATTGCCACTCCCGATTGGGCTAAAGTTTTGCCATTGTTCCTGCACAGCTAAGTGCCCAGGTTCGTCCTAATCGAGCCGAACACTAGTCGCTGGGTTCAACGGTTCTCTTCCATGACCCACAGCTTCTAATAGAGCTATGACACTCACGCACGGCCTAAGATGCCATTTCTTGGAATCCGTGAGGCCAAGAACCCCAGGTCAGAGAACAAGAGGCTTGCCACCATCTTGGAAGTGACTGCCACCATCTTGGGCGCTCTAAAAACAAGGATCCCCCGGTAACACCGGGTTCAAGTGATTCGCGGGCCTCAGCCTCCTGAGTAGCTAGGATTATGCACCACGCCAAGCTAATTTTTGTATTTTTAGTAGAGATTGGGTTTCACCATGTTGGTTAGGCTGAATTGCTTTTCTTTTAACATGTTTGAGTTTAAGTTTCTCCTCTTCTCTCCAAAGCACCAATAAAATGATATAAAAAAGAAAAAACTATAAAAGAGCAGAAAAAAAAGATAAAAGAAAAAACACTCAGTGAAAAATTTCTACAAATTTCTGCAAAACAGAAAGAATGTGAGGGTCAGTAGTCATGAAAAGGAAAGCAATAAAAAGAAGTAGCCCAAGATAAAACAGGAGTAGGCTACAATGGGGGAGAAAGCCAAGGGTTGTTAAAACAGAAAGTAACAACTAAAAGTCCTTCTCAAATTCGATGTATATTACAATGGTAAATATACAATCAACAAAAGGAATAAAATAACAAATTTCATTGATTAAGAGGAAGTGGGGACAGAAGGCTTTGTATATTTAAGATAAATCTCATCTTTCCTTGGAAGGCCTCAAGAGACATTGTTGCTGAACACAGGTTTGCCCACTCTCCACTTGCAAAATCAAATAACAAGCACGAGGGCGGTAAAAAGAAAGTGCTTAATTCCCAAGCTTAGCAATGGGAAAGGGCTAGATTCATATGTAAATGACCCACTTCAGCTTTGTGGGCAGAAAGCAGGGTTTTAAGAAGAGAAATTTTGGTATGCAGGGTATGCAGAAGAGGCATGGAGGTGGTGGTTTATGTGACTTTCTTGGGGACTCATCTCAATTAATAGGTCATCTGGTAGTCGGGCTGGCACCACTGCAGACAGATTCGGCCTGTAGTTTCCTGGTGGGGGAGAATTCTGGAGGGTGCTTGGTTTGTTTCAAGACTTGGTCCCTGGATCTTCTAAGCAAACATACAGCTAACAATGCTTGTAGGCACTCTGGCCAGAGGAAAGGAAGGTAAAGGTTACGTTTGCATTCCTGAGATGCTAAGTGAGAGGTGAACACAAGGAAGAAGAGAGAAGTAAAGATAACTTTTGTCCTTGCGATACTTTGCTGAGAATGATGGTTTCCAGCTTCATCCATGTCCCTACAAAGGACATGAACTCATCATTTTTTATGGCTGCATAGTATTTAAAAAAAAAAAAAGATAACTTTTAAGAAAATGGCATACTCAGTTACAGTACATTCAATTTATAACTTTAGACTGGTATATGGTAACTAAGGCTAGATAATGGAAAACAATTCTATATTCAAAATGTATTTAAAAAGTGAGATATATTAGGGGTAAGAAAGGTTAGGGAAAATATATGGGTGTGTGTTTTGTTTGTTTGTTTGTTTGTTTTTGCAACAGTGACTTTGCCTAGTTTAGAGGTTATTTAAAGAATGGATTAAACTGAGAGAATAAAAGGAAAAAGAATGAGATGGATTAACTGAATGGATATAGAACGTTGGGAAAAAAGAATAAAAATTGTGAAAGCTTAAAAAATGTTTACAGAAATCTTGTGTAGTCAAAGCTAGTTGAGGTTTGATGGATCTCTTTAGAAGCTTCCATTAAAATTAGGTTTACTATTTATAATACACTGATGCAAAGTACCATTCCGTTTTTTCTTTTGAACACGATGTTTATATATTATTCATAAGATAGTAAAAGACACTCAGTTTTCCAAACAATCAAAAGACCTAAGAAAGATAGCATGAGACCAACAGAATCTGTTTCTCTTTCTCCCTCTTCCCTTACTCCCTTTTTAACAGATTACTCAAAAGATATACAAACAACTCTATAATTAACCTAACACTCTATGGTCATTCAGTAATGATAGTCAATAGCTCATCAATGTTATTTCTGTAAATCAATTAGAATTCCTTACAAATAACTTTTGTAATTGCAACTATTCAGATTCATCCTTTTTTCTTTAAAGACTTGAGCCTCTCCTTTGTTCTCTTGAGCACTTCCCAAGGTAACTTGGAAGTGTTTCTGGGCTTCAGCCCTCAATATTCACTCAAATAAACTGTTTATTATTACCTTAGCCTCAATTTCTTTCTTTATGTTGACAGTATTGCTATTAGTTTTCAAGATTGGGTGACTAAGAAAACAGAAGCAGGACTTTTTTTTGGTTGGTAGTTTTTTAACTACAATTTCAATCTCACTGCTTGTTATTGGTATGTTCAGGTCAGGGTATCTAATTCTTCCTGACTTAAGCTAGGAGGGTTGTATCTTTCCGGGAATTTATTCATCTCTTCTAGGTTTTCTAGTTTATGTGCATAAAGATGTTCATAGTGTGGCAGGCCAGGTTTCACTAATGCAGGCTTCCATCACCACTGTTTCAGTACTGACTGAGTGGTTAAGTTCAATATTAAAAGCTAAAAAAGGAAGCCAGTGCTCTTATACAAAGACTGGGATAGAACAAAAGCCCATCAAGAGTTTTGCCTAGGCCTTTCCTGGGCCTTAAAGCATGACAAAATAGCAAAGGAATTCTTAACGGGACTTATTTTGGATTGAACAAGTTTTATTGGAGTCTGAATAAACTCCTCAGGCCTTCACAAACAAGTTTATTGGGGGTCTGAAGGAACTCCCCAAAACTCCGTGATGTAGCAGGAGGCAAGATAAGGGTAATCACCCCATTTAGAGTCAGTAAACTTACTGAGGTTCCAGAAGAAGGTCTTCAGGACTGAGACCTTAGGTATAGATGAAAAGAAGTCAATCACTTACGTCTTTAAATGAATGCACACTTACATGTATATGTATAGCTTAGAAGGTATATAAGCTCTGAAAAACTTTGTAATTTTGAGTTGGTCAGGTGATAATTTCCAGGCCTTCTTCCTGTAACCAGTTACAGAAATAAAACTCTCTTTCTCCCCAGTTCATCTGCATCTTGTTATTGGGCCATGAGAAACAGCAGCCTGACCCTCAGTTGGGTCCAGGAACAATAGTAGCCTTGAATGATCTTTTGTATTTCTGTGGTGTCAGTTGTAATATCTTTTATTTCATTTCTTAGAGGTTATTTGAATTTTCTTTCTTTTCTTGGTTAATCTTGCTAATGGTCTCTCAATTTTATTTATCTTTTCAAAGAATGAGCTTTTTGTTTCATTTATCTTTTTTATTGTTTTATAGTGGCACAGTTTTCAAGTTCAAAATCATAGAACCAAACCAAATGACCATCAAATAAAGAGTAGATAAAGAAACTGTGGTATATATATACAATGGAATACTGCTTAGCCATAAAAAGGAATAAACAGCATTCGCAGCAACCTGGATGAGATTGGAGATTATACTCTAAGTGAAGTAATTCAGAAATGGAAAACCAAACATCATATGTTCTCAGTGATACGTGGAAGCTCAGCTATGAGGACACAAAGGCATAAGAATGATACAATGGACTTTGGGGACTTGGTGGGGAAAGGTGAGAAGGTGGTGAGGGCTAAAAGCAAATAGTGTGCAGCGTATACTGCTCGGGTGATGAGTGTACAAAATCTCATAAATCATCACTAAAGAACTTATGTAACCAAACACCTCCTGTACACTAATAACCTATGGAAAAATTAAATAAACAAATAAAATAGCTAATTAAGTTAAAAGAAACAAACAAAAAACAAACAAATGGAAGCAGCAGGACAGGAAGAAACAGTCGTCAGTAACAGCAGCTGTTTAGAAGGATCATTGTAAACATTTTTGGTTTAGATGCATGTAGAATAAATCCTAAAACCTGTTCAGCAGGCCACTGGAATGGGACAATAACATATGGGAAACAGTTAAACTGTATATTCTATTATGTTACTTTAAACAAAATATTTTGGAATGTTAATCATCAGGCTTCCTATACATTCTTCTCTTTCCCTTTTGATTTAAGGGGATGGAAGTACCTTGAAATTGTCCAGGATTGTTACAGCAGAAATGCAAAGAGAGGCTAGGCTGGGTGTGGTGGCTCACCCCTGTAATCCTAGCATTGTGGGTAACCCCGGTAGGAGGACTTCTTGAGTCCAGGAGTTTGAGACCAGCCTGGGCAACATAGCGAGATGCTGTCTTCGAAAAACAAGGGAAAAAGAAAAAAAAAAAAAGAAAAGAAATGTAAAAACAAAGACACAGCAAAAAAAAAAAAAAAAAAAAAATTAAAAAGTCCTAACTAGGCCCTTGACAGTCAACAGTCTAGGAACAGACAGGATGAGAACATCAAATTGATCACACAGAAAACTTTAGAAAGTGTATAGAAAGGAAAAGAAAGAAATGGTTGGTGGCCCACGTAAGAGTAAAGGAGAATCATATGGAATTGAACAGGGTTGACAGAGTGACAGGCTTATGGTCATGAAGGAAGGCCAGCGTCAAAGACAAAAGGATGTGTTCTGGAGGATTTGCGTACACTCATCAAAAGATAGGAGCAGTATGTGGCCAGCCAAGTGCAAGACGACGTAACAGCTGAAAACTGTAACTCTTCATTCAAGCAAGCAGCTCACCCCATCTGAAGAGAGGCCAGATGGGCTTCACCTTCCTACAGAACAAATGCTTCCCATTGACCATTGCTTTTAAACCACCAGAGCCTCTTTCAGCAGAGAATGCCCTTTTGTGCTGTGAAATTTTTTGAGTCCCCGTCAAAACTCCCTTGTTTGCTTTGCCACAACCAAAGACATTTGTAAGCATCTCAAAAGCACAGAAGGCCCTTGACTTCTAAAGGGACTGTGGTAAGATAAGCTTTGGAGGATAATGGGGCTGGGCGTGGGGAAAGGCATACTTACATTATTCAATTTAGCAGTTAATCATATATTAGCATATTGTCGCTTTATTTTATGATGTCTATAAATGCTGTTTTTTTTCAAATTTAGTAAAGTCTTGATTTAAAAAGACATTCTTCTGCAATAATCTCATGTTCTCACATAGAACAAGGCCTATAATGAACATTCATTAACACTTGTTGACTTAATTCTTAAAGATTAGAAATGTTTCATTATATTCCCATTATATTCCTTGAGGACTTTTTAAATCCCACTTACAGTTATGCTGTATTCTGAAAAAGACTGATTTAAAAGATAAGTATGAATACATAAAAAATATTAAGTATACCCTGAAATGACCAAACATTGTTGAAATACATATATTTTTTTTTTGAGACAGAGTGTCACTCTGTTGCCCAGGTTGGAGTACAGTGGCACAATCTCAGCCCACTGCAACCTCCAACTCCCGGGTTCAAGCGATTCTCGTGCCTTAGCCTCCTGAGTATCTGGGATTACAAATGTGTGCCACTACGTCTGGCTAATTTTTGCATTTTTTGGTAAATACAGAGTTTTACCATGTTGCTGGTCTCGAACTCCTGACCTCAAGTGATCCGCCCACCTCAGCCTCCCACAGTGTTGGGATTACGGTGTGATCCACCACGTCCAGCCGGAAATACATTTTTAAAGAGACCTAAATTGATGGAAAGACAGCCTGTGTTCATTGATTGGAAGACATACTACTGTTAAGATGGCAATACACACACATACACACACACATGCACACATGTAACCCATGTTTACAGGCATGTCTGTATTTATTTCTCTATCTGGCTAGCTGTACACACATGAGGGCATATTGATGACTCCAATTCCCACCCACAAGAATCATTCTAACATTCCTTCCCTCATTTCTCATTTGTAACTTCTTTCTCCAGCAGTGAGAAGCCTGGCTCTTATCACCTATAGTATATTTACTTATTTGTTCAACACTTGTATACATATAGTTTCTCCATATTCCTTTCAAAACCTAAATCAGACCACTCCTTTGCTCAAAACCCTCCCATGCCTCCCATTTCATTTAGAGTAAACCCAAAGTCCTTGACCTCCTCTGACCTACAAGGCCGCATGTGCTGTGCATCCTCAATACATATTGATTGACTTACCCCTCCTTTTCCTTTCGCCTGAGATACCTTGACCCCCTTGCTGTACCCCACAGGCTAAGTGATGGGAAGGGATTTCTTGAGAATTGGAATAGGAAACTCGTTGGTATAATAGAACTATTTTGCATTTTGACTTTGGTGGTGGTAACGCAACTATATACATCTGTCAAAGTTCCTTGAACTACACATTAAAATTAGTGAATTTCATTGTATGTAAAGTGTGCTGTGATGAAGTTGAATTTTCTAAGAAGACATGTATTTCAAGCCATGCTCTCTGTGATACCACCCATTTGGAATGTTAGTTTGATGTTTCTAAAGTACTCTGAAGTACTTTGGGAGGCTGAGGCAGGAGGATCACTTGAGGCCAGAAGTTCAAGATCAGCCTGGGCAACATAGTGAGGCCTCATTTCTAGTAAACAACAACAACAACAAAAAAATTACCTGGGCATGATGGTGTGCCTGTAGTCCCAGCTACTCAAAAGGCTGAGGCAGAAGGATTGCTTGAGCTCATGACTTTGAAGATGCAGTGAGCTATGATCACCACTGCACTCCAGCCTTGGTGACAGAACAAGACTCTGTCTCCAAAAATAAAATATTTAAAATAAATAAATAAATAAATAAAGTATTAGTATACAGAGAGCTATTCTTTCCTTTCTCACTCTTTTTCATTTGCTGTTCTTAGTAGGTCTCTCTGTGGGAACAGAACATTCTCTTCAAACATAAAAAATGCCCAAAGAAAGAACATATAACCCAGTTTGTGCTAGTCTCTGAAATATTTCAAACCTATGCTCATTTCCTTTATCTCTTTCTTTTTTTTTTTTCTGGTATTCACTTCTTTGCTACTTCAGTTTTTTGGTCTTTCTTTTATTTATATTGAAAAGCCTGGTAAAAAGCGAATGCATTTGAAGCCTAAATATTTTTAAAGCAAGCTTTGCTAGTAAAAATGACTGAGGTTTCTTTGACCTCTAACTTCTTCTGCTGTAAGGGCTTACATATTTTCTCATCTTATTTGGCATAAGGTTCAGAAAATCACCTGGAAGTGATTTTGAGATACCACTCAAAATCACCAGGTGCCTTTTATCATGTGCCTTTTATCATGAGGCATTGTGCAGCACATTTACATTATATTTTTATATATAGAAAACTAAAAAAGTCTCTGGTTGGTTTCATAACTCCTAATAATAAGGCGTATGTTTGAACTATTCTACATGGTCATAAACAAGTAGACACAGAATTAATTTTTGCATTGATCTGTACCCTTAATGCACAGGGATTACATATACACTTTAAGCTATGGGTACAGTAGAAAATCTATCTTTCTTAAAGAGCCACAGATTACTATTACTATTATTATTATCATTATTATTGTTATTATTTTAGAGATGGCATCTTGCTATGTTGCCTTGGCTGGACTCAGGCTCAAGAGATCTTCCTGCCTCATCTCACAAAGTAGCTTGGACTACAGGAACACTACTGTTTTTATCCAATGTCTTTGATTAAAAGAATGAAGCCAAGTCTATTCACATGAAAAATACTTAGACTTTTACTTTGTCAGTGTTTTATTTTAAAGTCTTTAACTATTTTTTCATTTACTTCCAGAAGACTGTCAAGTATAAATTTGAAAGTCACTAGAATCATACATAAATTGATTTAAAAGTCTGTATCCTGTCCAGACATGGTGACTCACAGCTGTAATCCTAGCACTTCGGGAGGTCAAGGTGGCTGGATCATTTGAGATCAGGAGTTCAAGACCAACCTGGCCAACATGGTGAAATATCGTCTCTGCTAAAAACACACAAAAAAAATTTAGCCGGGCATGGTGGTGGGTGCCTGTAATCCCAGCTACTCAGGAGGCTGAGGCAAGAGCATCACTTGAACCCAGGAGGCAGAGGTTGCAGTGAGCTGAGATGGTGCCACTGCACTCCAACCTGGGTGACAGAGTAGGACACCATCTCAAAAAAGAAAAAAAAAAGTCTGTGTCCTAATATGTGCCAGACATCAAAGCGAGCATAAGATTAGAAAGTTGAGTGTTATGATTAGTGAAGTACATACTGACCTGGTGTATCTGGTCTCCACATATGTAGACTGGCATATTATTGGGTCAGGAATTAGTAGAAATCAGTAGGGAAAAAAAGCTGCAGTGCTACTGATACAGTTTTAGGAGCTGTGCCTGCATCAGCTTATGTTGACCTCTTTAGTACTCCCTACTGTGTAGCAATATCTGAAAAATGTAGTCTGTCTATGTATGTGAATCTCCGCTGTCAGATTCGGTGTCCATGAGAAAACTTTGTGAATCTTTCATTTGATCTTAGGTTAATAGATAACAAATATAGTTGTCTTTTTTTTAAGTGTAGAAAGCTTTAGTTTGAGAGACATCCTTATCTTATTTCTAATAGGAAGATGGACAAGTATTAGCATATTTTGAACCCCAGTAGACACCGATCGACTGTTTTACTCAATCTCTTTGGGAGCTCAAAAGATTTCTCTGAAATTCATATCTTATACTAGTAACCTTATTATAGTGTTTATATCATGCACTCTAAATTTATCCTGTGTTTTATTTCTAGCTCTGCTCACTACTAAAATTGTGAATTCAAGCTCATTTGCTACAGAAGTTTGATCTTCTATAAAATGTGATGGATAATAATAATGCATACCTCAGGGTAGAGTTTTCAGGAATGAGAATTTACTTAACAAATTTAATTCAAAGCCTACAATATATAAGCATTAGGAATGTTAACTCTGGTACAATTATTATTTTTATTACTCATTTATTTATTTTAAGCAGGATCTTGCTCTGTAGCCCTGGCTGGAGTGAAGTGGTGTAATCATAGCTCACTGCAAACTCCACCTCCTCTGAGCTCAAGTGATTCTCATGCCTCAGCCTCCCAAGTAGCTGGGACTACAGATGTGCACCACCATACTCATCTAATTTATGTAGTTTGTTTTTAGAGAGGGGGGTTTGCCATGTTGCCCAGGCTGGTCTTGAACTCTTTAGCTCAAGTGATCCACCTGCCTCAGCCTCCCAAAGTGCTGGGATTACAGGAATGAGCCACCACTCCTGGCCCAATTATTATTTATAAATACAAATAAAAGTTAAATGAATAAGGATATTTATCTAGTTACAAAACTAGTTTTACAATCAAGTTGTACTTCAGTGTCATCCTTTAGGTTTTGAATTCACCTCCAAAGCTTTTCTTTTGTATTGCTTAGCTCTAAGTATTCCTCATCATTTTTACCTAATTTCTTCTTCTCAAATCATAATTTATTGTTCAAAATTATGTCATAAATAATAACAGTCAACAGAACATGACATAACTCTATAATCCTTGGTGAAATAAACAGTATTTGTAGCCCTAATGTTTTGGATTAAAAGAATGAAGGCCAGGTTGTACGCATGAAAAATATTTAAGCTTTTCTGTTATAGTATTAGATTTTAGTCTTTGAAGATAGAAACAAATCTATCACCCATGCCAACACAGGTCATGACATATATTGGGAACTCAGTAAATATTTCAAAAGAAATTTTGCCTCTGGATAATACATTAATTTTGGTAACCTAATGATTTCTGTAGATAGCTACACCATCAGATTGATGATGGACATTAGCAAAATCATTATTGTAGCTATAATTACTGTCTTCTCTGTTATATAATTCTACCATTAACTTTAAATTATTCTTAAATGAAGGATTTTATCTCTAAAAATTACTGAAGGAAAAGATTTCTATGACAATGGCTGATATGAATAACTATACAAATTAATAATGAAGAGTGTTTCTCCAGATACTTGGGTGGTCATATATTTCAGAGATAAAATGATGTACATGTGGAAATATATATGCAATCATTTCCTCAAAAAGCAATTAGCTTGAAGTGGGCAACAATGTTATTCCATTGTAACTAGCATTTTGACACAAAATTGAGGATTAACGACTACACTTTATTTCTCAGAAATAGTCCTAATCTGACTGTAATCCAGGGTTTTGAGGAGTATCACATAGTTCATATATGATATGGTTTGGCTGTGTCCACCCCAAATCTCATCTTGAATTGTAACTCCCACAATTCCCACGTGTTGTGGTAGGAACCCGGTGGGAGGTAATTCAATCATAGGGGTAGGTCTTTCCCATGCTGTTCTTGTCATAGTGAATAAGTCTTATGAGATCTAATGGTTTTAAAAACAGGAGTTTTCCTGCACAAGCTCTCTCTCTCTTTGCCTCTCACCACCCATGTAAAACGTGACTTGCCCCTCCTTGCCTTCCACCATGATTGTGAGGCCTCCCTAGCTATGTGGAACTGTAAGTCCATTAAACCTATTTCTTTCATAAATTGCCCAGTGTCGGGTATGTCTTCATCAGTAGCATGAAAACGAACTAATACAATATGGACTGATTCTTTCTATTATTTGTAGTTGATTCTATGTGTGTGAATTAAACTGTAATTACTTTAATAATATTAGCAATAATTTTTGATTTCTAGAAATCTTTCTATATTAAAATGATTTTGAATATTATGTGATATTTTGAAACAGACAATTGAAAGAAAAAGATTATTTCTGTGCAAACATTCTAGTTCATTTCTAATATACAGACAAAAAAATTCCTTACAGTAGTATAACTTCTTTGAATCTTTTAAAAAAATTGCTGGAAATAGCTTTATCTATCCAACAGCTATGTAGAAGACACATATAGGCTTTTATATAGTGAATTTTTCTTTTTTCAAAAAGAATGGTGGAATTGTCTAACTCATTTCACCATCTAGCCTCTTTGGAAGACTAAGAAGAGGTGAGTAATAATTTCTATGTTGGAGTTATAAAACATTTTCTAGTACATACAGTTGCTTTTTAAAAAACACAATGTGAAACACGATTTCCCCTCTGGGATTGTGGAGTCCCTCAGCAATTGAGAGAACTAAGGTTAATGTTAACTTATTCCCAAGAAAATTATTACTGTTAATATGCTGATAATTGTATACACAGTAGCCACCAGGCTCAAACAGAATAACACCAGAGTTAAGAGACCAGATGTCTTCTTTTAAAATATGACAGTTGTGTAAATTGGTCTTTTCTTTAACTATGCCTATTCTAAGCCACTGGCTTTGACGTTGCCAGCTCTGTAAAGACATGGAGAAAACTGAACCAGGGCCAAGAACTTCATGGGAAATGTGATTTCAAGAAATCTCTATTATAAAAAAAGTAAATATACAGTTTCTTCAACAGTTGAAAGCTCAACATAAAATAATTGGAGAAGAGAAAGAAGCAAGTGACTCAAGAAAACCAGCTTCTAAGCGTATACTTTATACCAAGTCATGTATGCCTGAGTAGTAGGAGTGAGCCTTGAACCTCGTTCTGCCTGACATTCTGTAACTTTTCACTAAGTACTTTGAGTTTTATCTTCAAAATCTCTTTCCAGTGCATTTGTCTGAAAGCATCAAGTTAGAGACAAATATACTTTCTCTTGGATGAAAAAACTTTCAATTCACTCTTGTCTCCCTCCAATATTTTTACTGGATCCAGAGAGATATTTTAAAATGGAAATATAAATACTTCGCATCATGTTTTTACTTAAAAGTATTCACCATCTTCCTATTGCTCCTAGGTAAAAATTAAAAATTTTTATTGTGGAACATGAGACCTTAAGTAATCTGACCCCTGCCTCTCTTTACGGTTCTAGCCCATATCATTCTCTCTCATGTCTTTTATTTCTTTTTTTAAAAAAATTTCTTCACGCAAACATGATTTCTCTCTTTATAAGAAATTGCACACACTCATTTGCTTCAAACACTCTTTTCTCTTTCCACTACATCATTTTTGGCTAGATAACAGAGTGGTCCCTTGGTATCCATGTGGAATTGGTTTCAGGAACTTCCTGCCCCCAGATACCAAAATCCATGGATGTTCAAGTTTCTAATATAAAATGGCATAGTATAGTATTTGCAGGTAACCATATATGTTATATTTGCTATAACATTACTGAAGTAGATGATTTTAGTAATCTACTTTAAATCATCTCTATTTATAATACTTAATACAATGTAAATGCTATGTAAATCATCATTATAATGTATTTTTATTTATATTTTTACTTGTTACACTGTTATTAATGTTTCCAAATAGTTTTCATGCACAATTGGTTGAACCTGCAGACTTGAAGGGCAGACTGAATATACGTATCTCATTTGCCATTTGCTCTGAAAATTTTCTTGAACCCTGATATTATATCATGTACTTAATAGCACCTACTTGTTTCCTTTAACTGTACTTTTAAAATAATTTACTTAGAGATGCATTTGTGCAGTTGTTTGATTAGTATCACTCACTGCTCCACTGAGCTTTGGACTGATAACAAAAGACACCATGTTTATTTTTTTCACTACTGTATCTATTGTATTTGCCTGTTGCCATCCATATAGTCAGCTCTCAGCTTATGTATTTTAAGGAATGATTAAATAAGCAATTGAATGAATGAGTAAATAAATGAATTGCGTAAAATAAAATATCATGTGCAAACATTTAGTCCGCTCTTTTTCATGAGTCTGGCTGTGGCTAAGACATTATCAGTGATGTAACACTATGCCAGTTCCAAGCTGAGACCTCGAGAGACATAACGTCTCATATTCTTCTGTGTTCTGCCATCTGCCATGAGAAACATACCCCAGGTAGTATAACCCCTGAATGTGCACACACATGAACTCAGCTTATCGCTTAGAGTCAAGATAGCTGATCTGAGACGAGCTCTGTAGGTCCAGAGCTGATCCACCTGTGAGTGAGAGATCAACTCTTTGTATAGGCTACTCAGTGTTTAAGACACTTGCAATAATAAATGACTGATACATTTCTAAATATATAAATGTACTTGATTATGAATTACAGTGGGAAACAAGGCCATTCATTAAAGTTCGGCAAATATAGTACTTTAACCTATTTGATATACACATATTTATATATAATTTATACATGAAGTAAAATTACGTTATATGTACTGTTTAAATATATAAATATTTAAGTATATATTTGAATATATACTATTTATATATTAATATATACTATTTATATATTAATATATAACATAATATACATTTAAATTTCCTCTTGCTGTTTAAGAAAATTACTCTAATTCTCATTAAAATGCTTAATTAAACCTTATAAAAGATGAAATGGGTTGCATTATTTTATACTTATGAAGAAGATTGTTTTCCTTATTTTAATGTAATACTTTTTACAAGTTATAGCCATTTAAACTCAGTATTGCTTTACTCTTTTTCGCTAAAATTAGGCACTGGAAGAAGTTGACTTTTGTAGATTCCTTGAAATTCTCAGTTCTATCTTCTAAACCATGTACTTATGCCTGGCAGAGAAATGTCTTTGAAACTTAACTATGGCTAGATTTTATTTTTCTTGTTCCCTTCCAAGAACTGCGGATAAATTGAAACAATAAGTTTATGTCTGCAGCACTCATTGCATTGCTGTAGCGAATTTCTGTGACTTCTCATGAGAAGACCAACTGTACAGTGGTTACCTGCAGGGCATGTGTTTCTAATGAACGGCAAGTGTGGGAAGCTTCAGTCATTAAAAACTCCAGGCAGAAACTATTTCTAGGAGCACATGCTGATGCTCACCAGCAGTGGTGCATAATAGTAAAAAAAAAAAAAAAACAGGAATTACCTTTTTATAAAAAGCATATACATTTCAAGTTTTCCAGAAAGGCATATTTTAGATTCCTTAGTATCTAAATACTATACCTTCTTAACATCTTATTAGTCTCTTTTCGAATTTCTTTGAACTGCAAGAAACATTAATGTTCCTCTAATCCAGTTTTATCAACTGTGACTATAAAATCAAATTATCTGTGTACTTTCAATGTTTACTGATTCTCAGACTCACCCAAGATAGATTCTGATCACAAGGCCTGAGCAAGGGTAGTTTTTAAAAAGCTCCCAGATTAATTTAAAGATACATTCATGTTTGAGATTGTTGATACTAGTCTAATACCTTTAATTTATAAAGGAGACTGAAGCCCAGAGAAGTAAGATGATTTACCCAAGGTGGCCAAGAAAGTAAGTATAATTGTTAGTAAGACCCAGTTCCATAGTACAATATTTTTTCTAATAGGGAAAAGGCTCCTCTTGATCTGCCTGTATGCAAACCAGGATTTGACTCTTATATTTACTAATCATAGCATGTCTCCACATAACTGAGAGAGTTCATAAGCATGTCTGTTACATTTCTTTAGTATATGGTGAAGATTATGAAAATGAAAATAGAGAAGCAAGGAAAAGGTTGAAGAGGTAGGGTTTTTATAAATGTGAAGTAACGGTCACAATTGTATGATTTCAAATAAAAAAATAAGATTGTATACAGAAAACAAATCTAAGTAAATATTGAATCTTCATTAGTACACTATTTACTTTGTAAATTAACCTCTTCTAGATTAACAGAGTGGTAATTGCTGATGAAAGAGGATTAAATGTAAACATTGACAATTAACGGATACATTTTCTAAACTTCTTTTTCTTTCCAAAGGAGAGTGTATTGTATTTAATGCAATATAATTCAATACATTTTACTATGGAACTTTGTGATTTTTGCATACTCAGTGAAACATACATATTTATCATAAGAGGGAGTATGGACACTGACATGGTAAGGAGAGTGAAGAACTCTGCAAATATTAACATGCTCACTGTTGAAAAGCATTCATTAGCATTATTGGACAAATGAATCTCTTATTAAAGATGATATTGTTAATAACGCCATCAGAATTCAGTGTTGTCTGAGTCATATGACTGGAAGGCTCAGAGTGTCTAAAAGTTCCCTTCTCTTTTGGTGACTTCTAAATGTATCTCTGGGAAAGCTGAGTCTGTGTTAATGCCTGCTTAATCGCAACAAGGTCATTTTTAATGAACAGAAGTTAATTAGGCCCAAATGTATTTATTTTGGTGCAAAGGGTGCTATCACATTTGAATAATCTTAGACTATTGGGCACAGAAAGAAAAAATTAGAAGTGTAACTCACTAACGATGTCAATCTAGGATTTTTAATAAAAGAAATACCACTGAGGGGAAAAGGAAAAAAATGAAAGGCCTAAAAATTATTCAAGGTGGAAGAAGAATAGAAATTTGCAGAATGAGCACAAGAAAATTATAAACTAGAAACAGAATATCTATAGTAATTAAAATGATTATGGAAGGCAATTGAATGTGAATGTTAAATAGATTCCAAAACATCACTAAGAGAATGTTGATGTATTGATTAAACAGACACACACACACACACACACACGCGCGCGCACACACACACAGAAGGTTGAAATAGAAACACATTAGTAGTCTCAGTTAATCCATATGTTGGCCAAAAACCTTAATCTGAGTCAACTTATTGAGTCAATAAGATGTTAATGACAAATCTCATTAACATCTACATATAGTGGTTTTAATTTCAATTAAAATTATTCAGAATTCTTTAATTACATTATTACAAAATTTCTATGATGTAATCTCCAATTAAGTAGTGTTGCTCTGAAATGCACCAGCAATGTATCTAATTAGTTTTACTCTAAACTCTATCATTGCAAGTATTTAAAACCATCCTATTCTGTGATTAAGTGGAAATAAAAGAAAAAATATTATCTTATATGAAGATGTTTAAAATAATTTAAAATTGGATTTAGGACCAGGAATATAGTGAGGTATAATGTCATGAAACATGATTGTATTTCTAATTAAGAAGTGCTCTAAGTTGGTTTATTTTGGTAAATTCAAGCATATCAATTAACTTTTTGTTAATAGTTTCCTCATATGTAAAATGAGTAGGAGAAAAAATTTTGAGTCCCTTACAGTTAATAAATTGTTACAATTATTCTAGTTACATAGTAAGCTATTTCAAATGACTCACCGTTCCTTTAACCAAGCATATATATTTTTTCATTTTTATTGATACAAATTTGTCAAGAAATTATGACTATATTATGTAAGAAAATTTATTTATGACCTTTTATTAACCATTCTTAAGAGAGTAACATATTGAGTTTCTTAGAAAAACTCAACATTAATAGTAAATTAGGAAAGAAAATAATCAGTATAAATTTACCTAGCACGTTACCCTCTGCAGATATGTGATTATTTGTTGCTCTACAAAATAACAAGGTGACATTTATGACTCCTAAATCAATCCCATGTTAGAAAATAATTTTCCTTGTAAATCTAGATATAGAACAGGGCTGAATTCTCAAATGCATACTAAGACTTCGAAACTTTATCTAGTTATGTATTTTTTATTTACAACAAGAGATACAGTATAGGGGCAAAGCATATATTTAAATCTAAAGTGTAGATTTTATACCTCTGTTAATACATGTGAATTCATGCATTTATAACATTTTTATCAAAGAGCCCTTATGACTAACACTCTATGCATGTCACTTTGGTGATATGACATATATTCTACCCTTACATGATAGTAAGAGACACAAGAAATATAATTGCATTTCAATAAAAAATAACATTCAAGTGACAAGGAGTTCCTATTGAAATAGGTGATAACATGTAAAGAAGGAGACAACACTGCTGTCAAAAATGACCAGGACAGACAAGAGAAAGATTCTTGAACTTAGTCTTAAAGGATATACATGCCTGAATAGGGGATAATAAACAGAGTGCATGTTAAATGTAGGAAGGACATTGCTGTACAATGAATGTTTGAGTTTCCTCCAAAATTCATATGTTGAAATCTAATTCCCAGTGTGATGGTATTTGGAGATGGAGCCTGTGAGAATTAATTAGATCTTGGTTGGGGCCTTCATGATTGGAATTAGTGCCTTTTTATAAAGGGAGCTAGCTTCCTTGCTCCTTCTGGCCATATGACGACACAGTGAAAACATGCTATCTATGGGCCAGAAAGTGGGCTCTCACCAGACCCTGAATCTACTGAAACCTTGATCTTGTACTTCCCAGACTCCACAACTATGAGAAAGGAATTTCTGTTGTTTATAAGCGACCCAGTCTACAGTGTTTTGCTATACATGCCTGAAGGGACTGAGATAAATATTCTAGAAAGAACAAGCATTCAGAGGCAGAAAAGTCCAAGATGTTGACATTTTAACGTAGTTAACAGTATAGACTTGACTCAGCTAGCCTGGTTTGGAATCATCACTTTGATGATAATAATATGTATGAACCCTGAAAGAGTCAATCCTTCAAGATGGATCCTAAGTGGCTGAATGGGCCTTAATTCAAAATAGAGCCAAGCAGCCATTTGGTGACTGGAGGCCAATACACATACTCTATGTTCTGGGAAAACCCTTACGCCTCACCTAACTTTGGGACTTTCATAGCTACCTATTCCTGTTTGTGCAGCCTGAATCAATCAATAGACTGTGTCCTGCATCTGCAATCAAAACTCAACAAGCATCAGCCAGTCAGAACTAAATAATTTTGCATCCTTCATTTGCATAAGTAAACCAGAGTGAGAACCTGGGCAGAAACTTTGTCTATTAATAAAGACAGTCCTTCTCCTTGTTCTCTCGAATGCACCTTTGTTTTGTACTGAAGGCTGCATTTTCCTGGTCTGCAAACTCTTCACCGAAATAAAGTCTTTTTACTTCTCTCTCTTTCTTTTTTCTTTTTAAGAAGATCCTCTTTAGTGGATTTTTTTGTATATTATGGCATAGGGCAAGTTTTTTAACTTGTTTTCTCATCTTCACATTGGCAATAATAGCGTTTCACTATTATTGTAACTATTTCATGGAGCAGCTTAGAGAGGTGTGCTTATGGAAATGTTTGAATTCTAGGCTAAAGGGCTTAATATTTCATCAAGACTGCCTATTGTTTTAGACAGAGTCTCGCTCTGTCTCCAGGCTGGAGTGCAGCGGCACAATCTCGGCTCACTGCAACCTCTACCTCTCAGGTTCAAGCGACTCTCCTGCCTCAGGCTCCCAAGTAGCTGGGACTACAGGCGCAAGTCACCACGCCCAGCTAATTTGTGTGTGTGTGTGTGTGTGTGTGTGTGTGTGTGTGTGTGTGTGTGTGTTGTTTTTTTTTTTTTTTTGAGACGGAGTCTTGTTCTGTCTCCCAGGCTGGAGTGTGGTGGCGCGATCTCGCCTCACTGAAAGCTCTGCCTCCCGGGTTCACATCATTCTCCTGACTCAGCCTCCCGAGTAGCTGGGACTACAGGCGCGAGACACCACGCCCGCCTAATTTTTTGTATTTTTAGTAGAGACGGAGTTTCACCATGTTAGCCAGGATGGTCTCGATCTCCTGACCTCGTGATCCACCCGCCTCAGCCTCCCAAAGTGCTGGGATTACAGGCGTGAGCCACCGCGCCTGGCCCTAATTTTTGTGTTTTTAGTAGATACGGGGTTTCACCGTGTTGGCCAGGATGGTCTCGATCTCTTGACCTAGTGATCTGCCCGCCTTGGCCTCCCAAAGTGCTGGGATTACAGGCATGAGCTACCGCACCTGGCCCCCAAGTGAACTATGTTTCATATTAACTAGTCATTTTAATTTGGGGCAGTATATACAAGCCATTAAGACTGATTATAGCAGCAGGGATAAAGGAAATAAAGCATGAAATAGTTGAGAAATACTAATAAATAATAATCAACAGCGCTTGGCAACTGGGTATGGAAAATGTGAGAACAACTTAGAGTGAGGACGGATTCTAAAACGTAGAATGAGAATGATGGAAAGAAAAGGCCTTGGACAGAAATAAGGAAGCCATAATGAGGAGCTAGTTTTGACAGCAAAATAAGAAGTTTAGTTTAAAATATTTTGTTAGAAATGACAGCTAAATGGCAGCATATGTACCAGTTTGATTTAGAGAGATGTTTTTGTTGAAATCCAAGTTACTTTCATCACATTTGTTGAAGTTTCGTTATAGACGTGGGTTACTATCCACACAAAACTTAAAAAGAACCTCATTTTCAAGTGCTTACACTTTACACAGAGGAAATTGAGGGCAAGCAAGATGATTTACTAGCAGAGCTAGATCCTCTTAGCCATAAAACCTTAACTTTTTATTCTACCTTATGATTATATGCGAAAAACAAGAGAAAATTATGAAGAACTATGAGAACAATTTCAAAGTATTAGAAAACATGAGCCCTGCATACTTAAAGATAACTTCCTAGTCAAGTGTGCTTGTTGGTTTAAAGAAAAGAAGATTTAAAAAGATAATATAAGGAAGCAATTTCTAAAACATCATGTTATTTAAGTAAACAATTTATAACATATATTTATATCAAACCCTTTATTCTTTATAGGAAGAAACTTAAAATATTTAGATAAATCTGGAATTACAAATAAATCTATTAAGTGGAATAAAGAGTTAAAATGGTCCCACTTCCAAACCTACATCTGTATGTGCAAACAAAGGCAATGCTTAAAATCTCAATGGAGTAATGGGACGCCTGATTCTGTAGCTCTGTGCCTAGGTCTGCTCATGGATATATTTAAGAAGTTCTGCAGGTGATTGTTAGTCTCCAAGAGTTTTAAGAATCATCTATCCCCAGCTACTCAGGAAGCTGAGGCAGGAGAATTGCTTGAACCCGGGAGGCAGAGGTTGCATTGAGCTGAGATCACACCGCTGTACTCCAGCCTGGGCAACAGAGAGAGACTACGTCTTAAAAAAAAAAAAAATCATCTATCCTATAAAGATTGAAGCCTCCCAGATAATCTAGCTATCTAATAGACTCTTATTGAGTCCATATTGGAATGACTATTGTGTGGCAGGCAGAGACCTTATTCCTCAACGCATGGTCCAGCACCATGGTTACCAAGGTTTCATTTAGAATTTGTTAGAAAGCCTGGAGCCCACTAATTAGGCTACAAAATGCTAAGCTCATCAAGCTTCTGCCTCTATCTGGAATCTTAACTTTTGTCTCCTTGGAATCCAATCTTTTCATAGATTTTATTTCCCCAGTTATTCTTTAAATCAACCCTTAAGGAATAAAAACTCCTCACTAAACCTATGGTCTATGTTTTTACAGTATCTATCCATTTGCACTTCCCTTCTCAAATATTTCCATTCTTTCCTCTGACACCTTTGTTATGTGATTAATCTCTTCATCTTCCCCACGCCAGGGAGTATGCTGGGACTCTAAATAGAGGGAGTCCACAAAAGGTGAGTTGACATTCCCCCAGGGGCTCCACTCCTGAGGAACCACACAGAGACTACAAGGGAAGACAGTTACTACAGAGACTATGTGTAAGACCCATGGGGTCTCACAGAGATGCCTTGGCACCCCTGTGTCCCCAGGGGAAGTTCCTAGCCTAGGGTGGTGGTCAGTTACTATGTAGGTAACCATGAGAGAGCATTCCAGAGGAGAGTGGGAAGCACAAAGGCCCTGAGGCAGAACCATACCTACCAGCCCTGCAGATTCAACAGTAAAGAGGCCAGTGTGCCTGGGGCACATTTAGATGCATTGTCCACACTGAAGGAAACTCTAGAGGCAAGCAAAAGTGAGTCTTGGTGGAAAGAGGCAGATGCAGAATCAGAAATTGACCATAAGCGCAGAGCAATTCGGGGAAGGCATTTTTCTGGAGGAAACTTTGGGAGCCCAAGATTCTAGAAGTCTACGGATTTCATGGATTTAGTGGTTTCAGTTATACTCACAGCAGTATTACAATTTTTACATAACTTACTCAAAGGCATAGCTACTTACAGCAAAGGATATACTTTATTGGAAAGTAGATGTGGCTCTGGTAAGAAGATAGTTTTTTGTAGCCAGAGCCAAGTAAAATTCTGACTAACTGGAGGAGGCACAGAGACTAGGGAAGTTTGGTCATTAACACTTAGCCACAGCCTCTGCCCTACAGGTCTCATTGGCTTTTAAGGCAGAGGTTGAAATTACTTTGTAAGTGCCACAGTCATCCATACCTAACTTCCAGGTCTCAGGGGTCAGATTTCCAGCCATACCTTAGAAGAGCTTTTCAGGTTAATAAAGGATCCCTGAAGTGATAGGAGTGCCTTCTCATCTGCATGTCTGCCATGTCCCCCTGTGCAGATTGCACTGCCTTCTATGCCGGGTTTTTAGTGAGGGGCCTTTATGGTTTATGTCTAGAATTCATGGCTCTAAGAAAAACATTGAAAAAGATGGAAAATGAATGTTTCTCCTTGGGGTTTTAACAGTTTTAATTTAAATAGAGTGTCACGAAAATTTCAAAAGCAATTATCTCTGTTCTGTTGTTTAGCCATGTTTTTATCATTCAAGTCTAAAATAATGAGGCCAAAGAGTCTCTTGTAGATTTCCCAGGACCCTCATCCAACCCAAGTCCCTAAGCTCTATCTAGAATTTTTAGATAGCGAGAAAGTCAGGCTGTCTCCAGGCATCCCTTCATGTTGGCTAAACAGAACGCAGCAACTTTGGAGTTGAGGATTGGGCTTAAAGAACTAACAAGGGCTAGTGGGAACAAAACAATAGTACAGCTTCAGTTAGAAGTGAAGTATGCAGAGGTAAAGAGAAAGGAAGAGTTATCTTGTCTATAGGAAAAATAAACTATACTCTCTGTACTCCCTACACTATCCTCTCACTCTCAGTACTTCACTTCTGACACCAGATGTGTAGGGTTTTTCTCACACCATCAATCCTCCTACCAGCCATGCAGACTCAACAGTAAAATTAAATTAAATTGTAAGATGCCAGCTCCATGTCTTACAATTCAATTTAATTTTGATAGCAATCAAAGTTAGTCAGACCCCACAGGTTAAGCACTCAGTCTTGCAAGATTCCTCCTCTCCCACTTCAAGTCCCAGTTACAAGTAGTAGTGTATTTGTTAGTTCTTGCATTTCTATGAAGAAATACCTGAGGCTGGGTAATTTATAAAGAAAAGAGGTTTAATTGGCTCACAGCTCTGCAGGCTGTACAGGAAGCACAGCAGATTCTGGGGAGGCCTCAGGAAACTTACAATTATGGTAGAAGGTGGAGGGGAAGCAGGGACATCTTACATGCCTGGAGCAGGAGGAAGAGAGGTGGGAGCGGCCACGCACTTTCAAACAACCAGATATCATGAGAACTCTATTATGGTGATGTGGTTTGACTGTGTTGCCACCCAAATCTTATCTTGAATTTCCATGTGTTGTGGGAGGGACTCAGTGGGAGGTAATTGAATCACGGGGGCAGATCTTTCCCATGCCGTTCTCATGATAGTGAATAAGTCTCGGGAGATCTGATGGTTTTAAAAAGGGGAGTTTCCCTGCACAAGCTCTCTTCTCTTGTCTGCCACCATGTGAGACATGCCTTTCATCTTCTGCCACAGTTGTGAGGCATCGATAGCCAAGAGGAACGGTAAGTCCAATAAACCTCTTTTTTTTTTTTTTGTACATTACCCAGTCTTGGGTATGTCTTTATCAGCAGCACGAAAACAGACTAATACACACAGGAAGAGAACCAAAGGGGAAATTTGCTTCCATGATCTAATTACCTCCCACCAGTCTCCACTTCCAACACTGGGGTTTACAATTCGACATGATATTTGGGTGGGGACACAGATCGAAACCATATTAATAGATTTACAGATTATCCACAACTTCTGTCTAACTTGGCTACAAATCAGAGTTGCCTGGGATCTTCTTCTCATGCTCAATAATTTTCTAGGGCATCTCACAAAGCTCAGAGAAATGCTTACATACATTCATTGGTTTATTATAAAGAATTTTACTAAGAATACAGGCGAACAGCCAGATAAAGAGACTAATAGGGCAAGGTATATAGAAAGGCCCTCAGAGCATCTATGGCCTCTCCAGGTATACTACCCTCCAGGCACCTCCATGTGTTTAGCAACCCGGAAGCTCTCCAAATTCTATGCTTCTTAGTTTTTATGGAGGCTTCATTAGGTCAACATGATTGACTAAATCATTGGTCATTGCGATGAACTCAACCTTCATCCCTTCTTTCCTCCCCAGAGGTGAGGGGAAGGAGGGTGACACTTCCAGTCCTCTAATTACACAGGTGGTTCCCTTGACAACCAGCCCCCATCCTAAGGCTATCCAGGAGCTTCCAGTCAGGAGCCAACTCATTAGCATTAGGGGCTGTGTGTTAGGAAGTGAAAATAACACCAAAGTTATTATAAATCAAAATATCACATTCTACATTTTTCCATTTGCCTTTTTGTAGTAAATGTTGGTATCATTTCTGAGCAATCAAAGATTATGGGTAGAGGGAAAGACATTGACAGGTAATGCAAAAAACATGAAGTCTTACATTGTTTAACCTGCAATTTTTCTATCACTTGATTTAGGGTTTTGCTATTTTTATAAAGGCAGTCTCGAAAATCCTGTACATTTTATTTACAATACTAAAAAGCCTTCCCAGACATATTTTCATCACATTTGTCCCCCTTGATGATTTCAGTGGAGGGAATATAATACATTTAGTTAGCACTTTACTGGAGAGCTATTTAGGGTGAACATATGAAGGTATGTATAATATGCTAACCAGCATGATTAGACATACTTTAAAAGTTATTCAGCATTACATCAATCATTTGATTATAGAATAAATAATGAGATGTGCACACACACGTTTTCCTTTTTTTTTTTTAAACTCAATCTGTGTATATATGTTCTATATTGTTACCTTTGGCAAGATTCTTAACATGTCTGAAAATTCCTGTGAATATTTGCCTATTTAGATGTTACGCATCTATTAATTGTAACTAATTTTAAAAATAAGAGTATAGTGATTGCATCTCATGTCATGTAGTGTTTGGCATGTGGTAGGTTATTTAACAAACGTATCTTGTTTACATGGAGAAATGTATAAATAACATGATTTTTAGTTGAAAGATATCTGGCAGAAACCTGGGAACCAAACACATATTTAATCAAGGTAAATTTTTTAAATCAAACATATTCTAATTCATGTTTCATTAAAAAGCTTATATAAATATGGCAAAATATATGTTAAATTAAATGATGTTATATATATCGTATGTATGCTTTGCTAGCGATTAAAAATAAACTTAAACTTATTGTGATCCTATTATGTATGGGATATTTACATGTCACATTTACTCTTCACAGCAATCTTTGTCCACATATAACAAGTAAGAAAAATTGAGGCTCAAATATGTCAAGAGACTTTCATAAGGTCATTGAATTTATAAAAGGGTGAGCTAGGATATGAGCCCAGTTTGCTTAGATGTCAAGTTAATGACATTGTGTTGATGTCAAAATGCTTTTGATTTTTAACAAGGCAACATGGATAAAATGCAACACAAGAATGCCATACGATGCCAGGCACGGTGGCTCACACCTGTAATCCCAGCATTTTGGGTGGCTGAGGCAGGCAGATCACTTCAGGTCAGGAGTTCAAGACCAGCCTGGCCAACATGGTGAAACCCCATCTCTACTAAAAATACAAAAATTAGCCAGGTCTGGTGGTGGGCACCTGTAATCCCAGCTACCTGGGAGGCTGAGGCAGGAGAATTGCTTGAGCCTGGGAGGCGGAAGTTGCAGCTGTGAGCAGAGATCATAACACTGCACTCCAGCCTGGAGTCTCAAAAAAACAAACAACAACTCAAAAAAACAAACCAACAACAACAACAAAAGAATGGGTAGCCATAGTGGATTCACACTGGGAATGCACAATAGGTATAGTTTACCCAAGACTTATATATACCTGTTTAATTGGGAACAAGCTCACACATTAACTAAACATTTCTAACTCTCATATCTAATTTCAAAGAAGTTTAACTGTATCTATTCTCATATAATATTAATGAAATGGCCAATAATTAATCTAACAAATCTTTGTGGAGTTCCTATCAATCATATGCGTAAACTGAGAATACAGCACCAAATGAAACATGGTTTCTGGGTTCAAGGACCTCATGGGCCACAATGAAGACAGACGGTATTCAAATTTTCCTAATAAATTTCACATAAAAGATTAGGTAACTAGATAAATAGATCGACAGATCAATAGATGGATGAAGATAAAATAATACAAATGTAAGTATTTTATTTCCATGTATACATAAATATATTTCATAGATAATCAAGTCATTCCAACCTTACTGAGTTTCCTAATCAATCATACCTAACATAATTTAATGTTATACATTTGGTATTTTCATCTATTTGGTGAAACTATTTGAATTATTTTTAACTATTAGCTCTTGAATTCATCACATAGAAAGCAACTGCTTTTGTTTTATTTCTAATTGACACATACCATTGCCATCTTTATGGAGAAACATTTTGGTTCTAAACTGATATTGAATTCATTATGATCGTAACCCAATATTTTTAAGCAATATTTGCTTCAAGATTGCTAAAACCTTTTCACAAGTCACACTTCATAACCCTTCAATATTTTGAAAATTCCCTACTGCTGAAAAAAATTAAACCAGCAACATTTGTATTACTTCAGGGTACTCTCTACCTTAATGCTAACCACCTAGAGGTTTACAATTTAAAAAGAAAAAAAGAACCACTTCATTCCATTCAGCTATTCCGGTGTGTTTGTTCTTTGTTATTGATTCTTTACAAATGTATTTGGTTAATACCTTGGCACTGCCCTGTTGGTAGATACTTGTTAGAGATAACACTTACATAACTCAAGTATAATATTTTAGCTTTAACCCAAAGAGATAATATAACTGATTTGCTTTGAAAAAGATACCCGTTTTATGGCTTTTCCAGTGGTGGAGATGGTTTTGCAACAATTTCCTACCATTGTACCAGTTTCTTTTTTGTAGATTTGTAAGTATGCAAGCAAAATAAATATGACAACAGAAATTGTGGCTGTGAAATACTTTATTTGTCTTCAGATTGGTCTGGCTTATACATGGATTGAACCTCAGTTAGGGCAGCACCATCTTCTGTGAAATTCACTGTGACAGTATCACGTCTTAAGTAACCATATCCCCAAGATATTTCATTTCTCTTGAGCCCTGCATATCCTGAGGATCTAGTCACTATCCACCAGTCTTTTTATACAGGTTCTTGAGCAAATGTTTATGTAATCATGCATTTGTATTGAGAATTATTGGAAAGCCATGAAAGTGAAAGTAGAAAGACCATTTCGAAGATAATTGTGACAATTCAGAGGAGAGATAGCAAAAGCCTCCCTGTCTTAGTTTGTGCTGCTGTAAGAATATGCTTGATACTGGGTAATTCCTGAAAGACAGAAATTTTTTTCTGACAATTCCAGAGGCTGAGAAGTTTAAGATCAAGGTGCCAACAGGTTCAGTATCTGGTTAGGGATGCTGTCTGCATCCAAGGTAACATCACCTATCACTGGGGAGCCACTTGATCTCCTTCCCTTGGTGACAAGCAAAAATATCTAGAGAACCATATGGCAATAAAGAAAAATGCAATTATTTCTCAGGAAATACTGCTTTAAAGGTAATTTGAAATATTGCTGTGACTTTGAAGAGAAGAGCATGAAGACAAATTATTCCATGTGGGAGGTTTGCTACACAGCAAATGAGAGCACAGATACTTTTAAGATGAATCGCCTTAACATATTTAGTGGATTATCCTTCAATAATGAAGAGCTACTTCTATGGGGCACTAAAAGATTATCTATCTATCTATCTATCTATCTATCTATCTATCTATCTATCTATCATCTATCTATCATATATGTATCTATCATCTATATATGTATCTATGTATCTACCTATCTATCATCTATCATCTATCTATCATCTATCCATCTATCTATCATCTATCTATAATTTATCTATCTATCTCCTATCTATAAATCTATCTATCTATCTATATCAGAGGTACAAAACATCTCAGTAATAAACAACTTAACAACTTTTATAAATACTGTATGTTAGAAGAAAATTGTACACATATCACCACTGGTGGAGGGCCTACATGACATAAATTTTTTAAAAGAAAAATATATTGAACAAATATTATATATAACAAGAAGGTATTGTTCTCCTATCTAGTGCTAGAGACATTCTATAGCTTTTATGTTGTCAAAATATATAGATATAGATAATTTCATATTTAGTATGAATCATATTTTGGATAATATACGATAATCAGACATTATATCTTAGTTTAACAAGAAACTTCTTTTATGTTAGCTGATGGGTTTTACGTATTAGACAATGCGTAAAATGCTAAAATAGTAGATCTATTTCCATACCCTGAAGGTCAGTAATTTGAACTTAGTAGGATAAATTGAGGGAAGATGTTGTAGAGCTAAGAATACTCTATGGAACATCCTATATATCTCATTCTCTGAGATCCACCTGGTAACAGCACAGTTTTTGAGCCAGAGAAGTAAAAGTGTGCTGCAGACATGTTGTTAAGGTTGACATATGACTATTTTTGAATGATTTTAAAGCCATTTCAAATCACTTCAAAAGTGAATGTGAAGTTCTTTTGCTGACATTAAGATAGATTGATGGTCATACCTTTGGACATATAAGTGAATGCAAATTGGAGAGGTCATTTGAAATCTCACTTTCAAAATAGGTATAGCAATAGCTATCCTGCAGTTTTTACTTTAAACGATTCATCAGTAATCAGTACTACTTTTTTTTACTATGATGATCTAAGGTTGACTTTCTTCCTTCATTCCTTCCTTCCCATTTGCCTTTCTTTGCTCTTTCCTTAACTGCCTTCGTTTTTTTCTTCTATCATCCTCCACACTTTAGTAAATGATAATGATTAATTCTAAAAAGATCCAGATGGAAATTCCTGTGAACAAAGAGTGGTAGGTTGCATGATGCTTTTCCTACAACCACCCCCACCCACAAATGGGCATGGCCTCATCCCTGAAACCTGTTAATATGTTAACCTTGCATGCCGAAAGGGGCTTTGCAGAGATAATTAAGGTAAAGGTCGTGAGATGGGAGGATTATCCTGAAGTATCCTGGTGGGTGCGGTGTAGACACTAGGGTTTATGTAAGAGGGAGGCAAGAAGCTCAAGTCAGAGAGAAAAAGATATGATGACAAAAGCAGAGGCTGGACTGCTGGGAGGAAGGAAGGCTTACAAGGGCAAGAATGCAGGAAGCCTCTAGAAGCAGAAAAAGGCAAGGAAACAGGTTTTCTCCTGCAGCCTCCAGAAGAATCTGGCCCTGTGAAAACCTTGATTTTAGAACTTCTCTCTTCCAGAATTGTAACATAATCTACTTGTGTTGTTTTAAGCTGCAAAAGTGTGACAATTTGTTAGGGCAGCAACAGGAAAGTAATACTGGGAACAACATATGCAACTGCATGAAAGTGTCGACCTTAGTAATGGGACATGTGAAGAAATGTAGCTAGAACATCAAATGGATGCAGAAAAATACCAAGTTATTAGGCACAATTTGCTCCATTTTTTTTTTTTTTTTGACCTGATTAGGTACCTCTGCTTTGGGTTCTCATACGCAATTTTCAGACCTGTTTTATTTAACTGATTGTTTTTCTGTTTCCTCTGATCTGTAAATTTACTGTGGACAAAGATCCGTGCTGTTTTGCTCACTGGTAGATTTCTGGCACCCAGCACAGGCCCTCAATTATGATATTCGTTAATGATTGAAATGACTTTTAAGTAGTTTGTTCTCAGAGAGGGGTCCAAATATTTATATGACATGTCTGAAAAAAAAAAGAATGTAATTTTCTACAACAGATAGTTTTCTCTTAATGACAGCAGGATAATTTTGATTTTTCCAGTGAAAGTTTTCTCAGGGAAATCTAGTTTAAAACAGTCTAGGTCAGGTGCTGTGGCTCATGCCTGTAATCCCAGCACTTTAGGAGGCTGAGTCTGGAGGATTTCTTGAGGCCAGGATTTTGAGGCTGCAGTGAGCCATGATTGGGCCAGTCCATTTCATCAAGGGCAAAAAGTGAGACTCTGTCTCAAAAATAAAGAAATAAATAAAATAAGAGAATAAAGAAGAGTCTAGTTTGTAAATTACTTAATGTTTCATGGTTTCTTCCTTTTCTGAAGTCCTTCCTTCTTGGTTCTCCTTTCCCAAGTGGCATCTGGGCCTTTGGGTTTCCTCATAATATTGGGGAAGTGCTAAGCTGTCTCATGCTGTCCCCCAGAAGCTCTCTGTAACCACGATGGAAGGGTTCAGGGTTTAGCTCCTGTAACAGCAAGCCCGTTTGCTCTTCATGACTGATGCTTAGTGGTTCTGATGCAATGACTCACTATGGCTCCTATGAGTGCAACTCCGCTTCCACAGCCCAAAGTTAGGCCCTCTTTGTCCTTGTGTCTATCTACTCATCGGATCCTTCCTAGTGGAGAACTCCCCTTCCACATCATTATTCTTCCATCTAGCTTTCTCAGTTTCTGGTTTTGCCCTAGTGGGGTATATGGGAAAGTTATGATCATCCATATGTTGTGTGTTGTCAGTGAAGAACCAGCAGAAATATCTCAGGTCCATCTGTAAAAGTACTGTCATCGGAATCAATATTCCTACATCCAGGCATTCCATTAGACTAATTGTCAGGGAAACTAGAATTTGCTTAGAAGGGCACAGACTTTCAGCATTGCAGGGATGGGAGAAATCAGCCTTGTAGTCTTATAAGCAATTGCTCTTTCAAACTAACTCTTTGCTAGATCCAGAAATAAAGACAGCGTTTATATTTACATTATGCCTTTTCTTTCCTTCTTCTTCCATCTTCTTTCTGTAACAAAAAAAAAAAATAGATAAGCATTTACCTTTTATTTTTCAGCAAAACACTCTCTAAAGCCTTTCCAGCTGCTTTATAGACTAAAACAGCAAACAAAACAAAGCAAAACAAACAACAAAACCAACAACAAAACTCTCAATGATCTTAGACAATTAGGCTTGGATCTTAACGTGAAAATTCCATTTTGGGTGAGAAATGTCTTTACCAAAGAATCGTAAAACATCAAGATCATTTGTTGGAACCTATTTTCTCACCTGTACTTTTAATACTCAACCCCGACACTATTTTGATGTTCACAGAGAAGCATTAACTTCCTCATAATCAATCAAATTCAGCCATCCCCATGAGGCATACCTTTTATCTGATGAGTTAAAAAGCCTTAAATCAGTTAGGAACTAGGAATTACCTGAAACACAAATGTTTTGATTTAACATCTTCTTCCTACACAAACTTTATTTATTTCGAAGGTGGTTGAAAGCCCTTGAAGGTTATTAAGCAGGTGACTGACATGGTCATAACTGTAGGTTCAAAATCACTGGCAGTAGATTGAAAGGAGTTACTGGGTCAGGATAAGCCTAGAGATGGAAGTCCATTCCATGCTAGATCTAAAATGCAAGTGGGAAGCAAGACTGCTGTGACCTAAGACAATGATCCGAAGACAGAGAGAAGAAGGTAACATTGAGATAATTTTATAAAAATGAAATGACTCATTGGATGTGGCAGAAAAAGAGCAGCAGAAGAGTCTATTGTAATTCCTTGGCTTTTGTGCCATTTAATGACACAGAAAATGGAAGAAAAAGAGCAGATTTTAAGAATACGGGCCGGGCGCAGTCGCTCACGCCTGTAATCCCAGCACTTTGGGAAGCAAAGGCCGGTGAATCACAAGGTCAGTAGATCAAGACCATCCTGGCTAACACGGTGAAACCCCGTCTCTACTAAAAATACAAAAAAAAAAAATAGCGGGGCGTGGTGGCGGGTGCCTGTAGTCCCGGCTACTCAGGAGGCTGAGGCAGGAGAATGGCGTGAATCCAGAAGGGTGAGGGTGCAGTGAGCCGAGATCGCGCCACTGCACTCCAGCCGTCTCAAAGAAAAGAAAAAAAAAAAAAAAAAAAGAATACAATTATCCAGTCTCCTTTGGACATGTAGATTATTAACGACATAGGAATTCAGATTTAGACTCAGAAATGGAGTCTCAGCAGGAGATATGAAGACTTGGGAAATATAAGTGTATGGAGAAGACAATTTTAAATTCAGGGACACTATTCATAGAAAACCTGATTTTTAAATATTTTATGAATAAAATCAATTTTACTTTATTATAGCATAAATATAAATTTCTAAATGGCAGTAGTCAACAAGCCAACATATTAGACGTATATTTTCCATATGTTGGAAAATATTTTTATATAGGCATAGATCACTATGGGCACAGTTATTTGCCACTTTTTATACATTTATTTTTCTTTGCATAACTTTCATAGCTCTAGACTTCTCTGGATTTTTTTATTCCTCATCTTCAACTCATAAGTCCTAAATATTTCTAATGTGGTCTAAGGTAGTTGCCATATGATGGTTTACAAACATGGCTACAAGTTATAGAACTAATAGATACATAGAAATCTATGGAACCCATTCATGTTAAGTGGACTTTTTGCTTCATTTTTTGTGTATACAACCTGGACTGCATGCAGCTCCTTTAGCTTCTTGAGTCCTACCTACATAAAAGACATTTTAAATATATTTCTGAAAAGATAAACATTTCTAAAAGTCTTAAAGCAAATACTTTTTTGAAAGCATAGTAATTAATTAGTAAAAATACATCAAAATGTATGCATGTAAAAGCAAATATACTTTAAATATGATGTAAAAAGAAATAAAAGTGCTTGTTTGTAAATTTATGCAATATTTTTAAAATTTAATTCATATATTGGTATTCAAATATTGGATGGAAAGTAATTTTTCAGCCTTTGATGTTGGTGGCATTCTTTTTAATACTGAACACATTTAGTAACTGTATAATTAAATAAATACAATATTACTCCTGCTATAATACATTCACCATCATTTTTCATAATATCTTAAAATGGGTGCCTTTATGATTAAGAATCAATCAAAGAAACAAGAAAGAGATCATATACACTTTGTTAGTCAAAAAACTGAAAGGGTATTTTATATTTCAGCTTTAGAGGAGGCATAATTTGGTGACATTTGAATGTTCTCTATATTTAGGACTTTGTCATGAAAATTGCCCTATTTTGTATGCACATTAATGTTCTTTCAGAGAAAACGTAAAATATTCCTGGATAAGTTCCCAGGTGCTGTTAAGTAAGTTCATTCTGCCTCATAATTTGTACATCGTTCTCTCACATGGTGCTATTTGTGTTATTGATGGGCCTATGCATTCTCAGTTGCAGACTTCCTGTCTTTGTAAATTCTTTAGATGATCCTGCTTGTAATTACCTTGTGCTGGGCCCTTTCTCTGTTACCTGAAGAAAGTTTTATAAATCACATTATGCATGCAGAACAGCAGTGCTGTGTGTGGATTCTATTCTTGTTCCATGTCTGAGGCCTCAACTGAATGTTGCAAAGGAGCAAAACAAATGGACAGTGACCCATCTATCTCCATTTCCTTCTGAAGGTGACATCAGTGGATCTTTTTGATATTATTTAATAACCTTCCAAGACCAACCTCATTGTTTAGAGATACATTTGTCCGTGTCTTATTTGCCTTATTATAAATTAATCATCCCAAATTGTATGTGGATATCATTGACATATCCAAATTTACACAGAAAATGAAATATAAATATATAAAAACTCATTATATCTAGATATAAACTCATTATATCTAGAATAATGAGTTTCACCTGTTTATTATCCTCTCTTTTAAGGAGAAATTTTAGTTCCTTCAAAATTTGTATAATCTGCTAAAATATTCCCAGTTGTGAGGATAGTAAGAGTTTCAATGTATCTATCAACTTAATATGTTTATAAAATTTCAACTAGTGAAATTTTTATTTTTTCTACTGAAATAAAAATATTTAGCTTGTTGTTCTGTGAATACCAGTATTCATTTTTTAACATTTCTACAATTCAGATTACCATACACCTAATATCTTTTAGCTGAGTTATGTCTAAAAGAAGCTCATTGTTGAATTCAATGTTCTGAATTTTAACTGTCTCTTTATTCTTAAGAAAGGTGGTCATTTAATTAATGAAAGATGCATTGAGTATTGAATACATACCATGTACCAAGCATTTTGCCATTCTCTGCAGATATTGTGATTTAAAACTTAAAAAATGAATGAGATAGAAATTACCTTTATTCTACTTTGCACAAAGCTTATAGTATAGTGAAGGACGTGGAAAGTTAAAGAGGGATGTTAATTTCCAATTGCTGTTGTGAAAAGTTACCACACACTAAGTGGCTTAAAATAACATGAATTTATTATCTTAAGTTATGGAAGTCAGAAGTCCAAAATTAGTTTTACTGGGTTAAAGTAAAATGTCAGATGGACTGGCTCTTCCTGGAGGCTCTGAGAGGAGAATCCATTTCCTCGCCTTTTTCAGGTAACAGTAGCTACCTGTATTTCTTGGCTTGTGGCTCCTTCTTCCATCTTTAAAATGTATTATTCCAGTCTCTGTTTCCTATCACCCTCTCTGCTGACTCTCAGTCCTCTGTTCTACCTGCAACGGTTATTATGATTATATCAAGGCTATGTATGTAATTCAAGATTATCTCTCCATTGCAAGAGTGTTGATTTAATGACATCAGCAAAGTCTTCTTTGCCATATATCTCAGTACGTTTGAGCTGCTGTAACAGTACACCACAGACTGGGTAAATCATAATGTGCAAAAATTTATTGGCTCACTGTTCTGGAGTCTGGAAATATCAAGTTCTGGTTTCTAATGATGATTTTCTTTCTGTATCATCACATGGCACAAGGCAAAGGGTGAGAGAGCAAGAAGGAACCCAACTCGCTCTTTTATGATGTTTTGATCCCAGCTATGAAGGCAGGGCCTTTATGTCCTAATCACTTCTTAAATGTCTTACCTCTTAATACCATTGAAGTGGCAAATAAATTTCAACATTAATTTTGGAGGGGACAAACATTTAAATCATAGCACCATGTAAAGTAACATGCACAGGGTCCAGAAATTAGGATCTGTATATATTTGTCTCAAGAAATAAACAGATGCTTGCAATAAAGGAAAATAAATTTTACAATAAGAAAAACAGATATTCTTATAGAAGCATAGAGGAGGGTAATCTAAAACAAGGATGTGGCAAAAAAACAAACAAACAGTATTTTCCTTTTGTTTGATTCGGTTCACTCTACCAAACTGTTTACATGCTGTTCTTATTTTGCAGAAGACTAGATCATTTGTTGTGGTGCTTTTGTACATTCTTCATAGGTGTAGCCCCCAGGTATCGGCTTCTGCCTGCGCTTCTCTCAATTAGCATGATTTCATTGCTGCTGGGCTGGTTGCTTGCAAGACCTGCTACATCCACTCCCTTAGATCCAATCTCATTATTTTCTAGCTCCTGTCAGAACTGTTGCATGCCGTCATATGCTGCTTTAAGAAAAACATCCATGTCCTTTGCCCACTTTTTGATGGGGTTGTTTGTTTTTTTCTTGTAAATTTGTTTGAGTTCATTGTAGATTCTGGATATTAGCCCTTTGTCAGATGAGTAGCTTGGGAAAATTTTCTCCCATTTTGTAGGTTGCCTGTTCACTCTGATGGTAGTTTCTTTTGCTGTGCAGAAGCTCTTTAGTTTAATTAGATCCCATTTGTCAATTTTGGCTTTTGTTGCCATTGCTTTTGGTGTTTTAGACATGAAGTCCTTGCCCGTGCCTATGTCCTGAATGGTAATGCCTAGGTTTTCTTCTAGGGTTTTTATGGTTTTAGGTCTAACGTTTAAGTCTTTAATCCATCTTGAATTGATTTTTGTATAAGGTGTAAGGAAGGGATCCAGTTGCAGCTTTCTACATATGGCTAACCAGTTTTCACAGCACCATTTATTAAATAGGGAATCCTTTCCCCATTGCTTGTTTTTCTCAGGTTTGTCAAAGATCAGATAGTTGTAGATATGTGGCGTTATTTCTGAGGGCTCTGTTCTGTTCCATTGATCTATATCTCTGTTTTGGTACCAGTACCATGCTGTTTTGGTTACTGTAGCCTTGTAGTATAGTTTGAAGTCAGGCAGTGTCATGCCTCCAGCTTTGTTCTTTTGGCTTAGGATTGACTTGGCGATGTGGGCTCTTTTTTGGTTCCATATGAACTTTAAAGTAGTTTTTTCCAATTCTGTGAAGAAAGTCATTGGTAGCTTGATGGGGATAGCATTGAATCTGTAAATTACCTTGGGCAGTATGGCCATTTTCACGATATTGATTCTTCCTACCCATGAGCATGGAATGTTCTTCCATCTGTTTGTATCCTCTTTTATTTCCTTGAGCAGTGGATTGTAGTTCTCCTTGAAGAGGTCCTTCACATCCCTTGTAAGTTGGATTCCTCGGTATTTTATTCTCTTTGAAGCAATTGTGAATGGGAGTTCACTCATGATTTGGCTCTCTGTTTGTCTGTTGTTGGTGTATAAGAATGCTTGTGATTTTTGTACATTGATTTTGTATCCTGAGACTTTGCTGAAGTTGCTTATCAGCTTAAAAAGATTTTGGGCTGAGACAATGGGGTTTTCTAGATATACAATCATGTTGTCTGCAAACAGGGACAATTTGACTTCCTCTTTTCCTAATTGAATACCCTTTCTTTCCTTCTCCTGCCTAATTGCCCTGGCCAGACACTTCTCAAAAGAAGACATTTATGCAGCCAAAAAACACATGAAAAAATGCTCACCATCACTGGCCATCAGAGAAATGCAAATCAAAACCACAATGAGATACCATCTCACACAAGGTAGAATGGCAAACATTAAAAAGTCAGGAAACAACAGGTGCTGGAGAGGATGTGGAGAAATAGGAACACTTTTACACTGTTGGTGGGACTGTAAACTAGTTCAGCTATTGTGGAAGTCAGTGTGGCGGTTCCTCAGGGATCTAGAACTAGAAATGCCATTTGACCCAGCCATCCCATTACTGGGTATATACCCAAAGGATTATAAATCATGTTGCTATAAAGACACATGCACACGTATGTTTATTGTGGCATTATTCACAATAGCAAAGACTTGGAACCAACCCAAATGTCCAACAATGATAGACTGGATTAAGAAAATGTGGCACATATGCAGCCATAAAAAATGATGAGTTCATGTCCTTTGTAGGGACATGGATGAAATTGGAAACCATCATTCTCAGTAAACTATCGCAAGAACAAAAAACCAAACACCACATATTCTCACTCATAGGTGGGAATTGAACAATGAGATCACATGGACACAGGAAGGGGAACATCACACTCTGGGGACTGTTGTGGGGTGGGGGGAGGGGGGAGGGATAGCATTGGGAGATATACCTAATGCTAGATGACGAGTTAGTGGGTGCAGCGCACCAGCATGGCACATGTATACATATATAACTAACCTGCACAATGTGCACATGTACCCTAAAACTTAAAGTATAATAATAATAAAAAAAAGAAAAACATCCATGTCAATATACTTATTAAAATGTATTTGATACTCATTGCCAAATAATAATGGGCAATTTTCCTGTAACAGGTATTATATAACCTGACTGTGACTTATACTTCTACCCTTTGCACTAATATATATCCTGAAGTTTAGCTCAACTTGAACAATATCCATTTGGTGTGAAAGCCTCCCATGTTCCTTCCTTCATGAGATTATAATTGTACACAGTTGCCTGGTTTTAAAAGCCCAGCCTAAGTTCAAATTGGCTGAAGATGACTTTCAAAATTCATCAAATCTGAAGTAACCTTTACTTTTTGGGAGTTCCTTAAATACGTCTCAATGTACCTTCTACCTTATGTTGTTATTATTTACATCAGTTTTCTATCACTATAACTGGTATATATGCTTTTTGAAACAATCCATGATTTATTCATCTCAGTGTTTTTCAAAACACCTAATACTACATTTTAGAAATAAGATATGATCAATAAAGATAGGGAGAATGAATTAAATCTATGATATATATTTTATTCTCAATTTATACTACGTTTACCTCCAAAAGGTATTTTAAACAACCAATAGCAGCCAAATATAACATAGCAAAGGAAAATAAATTTTAAAAATTGCTAAGGAGGCTGGGTGCGGTGGCTCACGCCTGTAATCCCAGCACTTTGGGAGGCCGAGGCGGGCGAATCACGAGGTCAGTAGATCGAGACCATCTTGGCTAACACGGTGAAACCCCGTCTCTACTAAAAATACAAAAAATTAGCCGGGCGTGGTGGTAGGCACCTGTAGTCCCAGCTACTCGGGAGGCTGAGGGAGGAGAATGGCGTGAACCCGGGAGGTTGAGCTTGCAGTGAGCTGAGATCGCGCCACTGCACTCCAGCCTGGGCAACAAAGCGAGACTCTCTCTCAAAAAAAAAAAAAAAAAAAAAAAAAAAAATTGCTAAGGAACCCAAAGGAAAAATAAAGACTATGAACACTAAATTAGATCAGAAAAAAATCGTTTAAAAATCCAGAGGTTATTATACTGTTGTCAGTAATGAATAAGTATTAATCAAATATCAATTTATTATCCAGTTTTACCATTAGGTAGGATTCCAGGGAAGAATGGCATAGGTAGAGTTGGGGTTGGAGGTGGGGGAAACTTGAGTTTGACCAGTGTAGAATATTCAACAAATAGCTCCCACCAGCATTGAGGAGGTAACAAGAGGAGGAATAAAGTTCAAAGCCAGTGTATAATTTACAACAAAATCATTCATCCAAAAAGATCAATAGAGAGTGGGAACCAAAGTAAGGAATAAGTTTGTGGTCTATAAAACTCAGAAAGCCTCATGCCTGTAATCCCAGCACTTTGGGAGGCCAAGGTGGGCAGGTCACCTGAGGTCGGGATTTCGAGATCAGCCTGACCAACATGGAGAAACCCCATCTCTACTAAAAATACAAAAAAAAATTAGCCGGGTGTGGTGGGCAGCCTGAAGTCCCAGCTACTCGGGAGGCTGAGGCAGGAGAATCGCTTGAACTCTGGAGGTGGGGGTTGCAGTGAGCCGAAATCATGCCATTGCACTCCAGCCTGGGCAACAGAGTGAGACTCCATCTCAAAAAAAAAAAAAAAAAAAAAAAAGAGAAGAAAAGAAAAAACAGGCCGGGGTGCGGTGGCTCACATCTGTAATCCCAGCACTTCGGGAGGCCGACTCTGGCAGATCACCTGAGGTCGGGAGTTCAAGACCAGCCTGACCAACATGGAGAAACCCCGTCTCTAATAAAATACAAAATTAGCCAGGCGTAGTGGCCTATACCTGTAATCCCAGCTACTCCGGAGGCTGAGGCAGGAGAATCGGTTGAACCTGGGGGGTGGAGGCTGCAGTGAGCCGAGATCTCACCGTTGCACTCCAGCCTGTGCGACAGAGCGAGACTCTGTCTTAAAAAAAACAAAAACAAAAAACAAAAAAACAAAAACAAAACACACACACACACCTCAGAAAGCAAAGTATTTCAATGTATGTAAAATGAAGATAGGTTTCAAGATGAATTGTCTTTTTATTCTTCTGCTTTGCAGATGTGCCTACTGGCTATCCTAGATCAACTGAAGAGAACAGACTTTGAGGGAAAAAACAAAGTTTTCTTTTCACAGTATTCTATTTTTTCTCCCCATGTCAACCACCACGAGAATGAACTGAATGGTACTGATAACTAGTTCTCTTGAATTCTCTGAAAGTTTTCTAGAAAATCGAAAGTTTATTTACAAATCTGAGTCCCAAAACAATGTATTTTAAGATGTGAAACACAAATACAGTTTGCCAGCCAATCTAACTAAAGAGATGTTACATTAGCTGCAGGATACAAACTGAACTTTTTGATATAAGCTGCAATTTTACCACTAGACCACAGCCAAAAAAGAAAATAAATCCTTATATTGACTTGAATGTTTATATAAGACCCATAATATGTTTTTTAAAACATTCAACACAAGTGACACATAATATTGAATTTGGTTGATGTGCCTGTTTTTAATATACCTCAATATTAAGGAGTTTAAGGTCATGTCACCAAATGTTACTCAGTCATCAAAATGACAACATAAACCTGATTGGATCTTCAGTATCTTTTAAAATCTGTCTATGAGGTGGACACACATTTCTCAAAGACTTATTTAGTGGCAATTATATGTGTGCCTAGAGTTTGACATGCTGCTAAATGAAGTTGATTTTATGCCTCCTTGTACCTACATATCTAGTAGGGGAGGTAAACAAGGCAGTAGCCAGTTATAATATTTTTAGGAAGCAAGGAAAGGGGATTATGGAAACAAAATAACAATTATTTCTTCCATCCAGACTAGAAAACATATTTAATTTTCAGTCAGAAAGAATAATTTTCTCTCTTGTGGAATTACTATGATGGAAATGAATTCATAATTTAACTTTTGTTTGCTTTTTATCTGAGTCCACTGCAGCAAATTGACTCAACACTTTCTTTTGTCTTCAACGGGTTGTAGCTTATGCATACACAAACATAGAGTCATTCACATACATGTGTACATACAAAATTTTGAACGTGTTCTCCGAACTGGTATATCTCTTGATTGTTAGAATAAGCATCTCATGTGGACAGGAATTATAAATGAGAGAAAAAAGCTACATTGTCTCGAGACATTTCTGCATCTTCACACTTAGACAAACTGAAGCAAAATTACTTTATTTTAAAATGAAAAAATGTGTCAAGAATCATGAGTATGTATTGTCACTATACGAAGTTTAAATTACTACTTTATAAGCATAGGGCAATCCAGACTTTATAAAAGTATATTTGTATACATTCAATTGCCACCCAACTAACATGCGCAAATAAAAGAAGCAATTCACTTTCAATAAACTGGTGTTAAAAGGAAAAATTTAAACCTCATTGGGAAAACAAATGACTTAAAATACCAGCAAACATAAGTGGGATGATCATAGCAACAAATAAATCAAGTGGTCCAATATTCATTGTTTGCAGGAGTCGAAATAGTGTATATAATTACTAATTTATCACACACACACACAAATTCACCAGCTGAGAAAACTCCTATTATATCCAAACAAATTCAAACTTGAGGAAGCATAATCAGTTGGATCATAATGGACAAAATAAGTGTCTGCAATTCTATTCTCCTAAGGAAACAAACTTAATTATAGCTATTAAATCTGTGGGCTATAGTACCAAACAGAATGATGCCAGATGATTAGTTCTGGAAGTTTTTGTGCAGCTGTCACCGAGGGTCCACTTGATAGTGGCGGACTTGGTATTTTGTATGCGTGATAAACTGACATGTCAGAATTGACCTGAAAATATCTCTTGTAAATCTAAATAGGTTTGATATTTAGATATAGTACAGAGTCAGAAAGGGACAAAATGCCAACTCTAAAACTAAACAAAACATCTCAGAAATTTTAAAACGATTGTTAGAGACAGGAAAAAATGCCTTCTTTACTAATTGGAAGGGAATTATCTGTAGTTAAAAATCTACCTAGATGAAATCATTTTACAAACAACATGTAAAGTCCTGCTATGCTTGGAAAAAGATAGAACCAAAGAAAGTTTAACTATGCTACATAATCAATTAACATGATTTTGGGAATTAGGAGAATAAAGTGAAATAGAAGAGGTTTATCAGTCAATGCAGCTGGCCCTAAAAGAACAACTAATACGAGACTGTTGTTCAGCAGATAAGCAAAAAAATAAAAAAAGGTCAGACATTTTAAGTATGTTGCAATGCTTTGACGCAAAGCACTTCTATTGCTCCCAATTTTCATTCTTATCTAACACACGCCCATTAGTGTCTTAAGTAGTGATAATGTAGTAATAAGAAAAAAAGACTCGAGGGAAAAACTAATCTCTGCATCAGTTTGGGATAGAAAAAAAGTGGAAGGAAGTGAGTCTGACTACCTAGCTCTACCAGGATATATACAAGTGTTTGAAAATAATTTTATTTTCAAAATAAATGGCTGTATTTTCCCGTAACATTTGCTGATGTTTCTATAATGCTGTATTTCAGAAAATTGCGTGGCCGTCCTCCTGTGCCAAAAATGGAAGTCCTGTTAGACTCTTCTCCTTTCCTCGTGCATGTCTTATCAGTCAGATTGTACAATTTTATTTTCTAACATTTTCTTAAATTCATGCTCCTTGCTTTCTGCACAATATTCTTGCTCTGATCATTTTCTCATGTCTCCATGGATTAATGAAACAACAATGAAAAATATTTGCCTCTATACAGTGTTCACAAATCCCCCCCACCCCCTCCACCACCACAGCTGCCACATGAATTACCATGAATGGGAGGCTCAATAAGCAGCTCACTCTTCTGCTTAGAACCCTTTAGGGACTCATTATTTCCAAGTGCTCTTTTTCTGGACTGGGTTTTATGACTAGTTGAGTAAAGAGTGGGGTTATTCTATTCAGGCAAACGTCAAACTTGCAAAAAAATAGATTTAGAGAAAATTCATTCTCATGTTTGTTTTGTCTTTAAACTTTTTCCTGCTCTTCATCTTTTCTTTTCTTTCAGCACCAATTAATATTTCATGGATTCCTGCTTACAGGAACATTATTGTAGAAATATGCCCTGGCCTAGACTATAAATTCTAAGTTATTTAGAGTGACATAAAAGGAATCTTGCCTTTGGCTAAAAATCCAATTATATCTCCTTTTAAACTTGACATTATAATTTATGTTTTATTAATGAAAACTGTTTTCAATTCTCTGTGAAAAGGATGCTGTTTCATGAATCTCTAGCCTAAAAACTTATCTCTTTTTTCTCTGCCCCTCTTCCTTTATTTGATGAGCTCAGCACTGTCAAATTGAACTTTCTGCAATGAAAGAAATTCTGTATCTCTTTGTAGCCATGAACAACATATGGCAATTGAATGCTTGACATGTGGATAGTATATCTCAAAGACTAAATTTTAATTATACATAATTATATATTTTATATAAATTTATATATATTATATATGTATATAAATTGCCAAAGCCACCTCAAACTTTAGCAACCACCATCCTGATCAGTCAGCAGCCATCAACTTGAGGCAAGACCTTCCACCAGCAAAAAGACTTTCTGAAGGCTTAGAAAATTGTTGGCATTTTTTAAGCAATAAAGTATTTTAAATAAAGGCATGTACAGTGTTATTTTAGACACAATGCCATTGCACACACACATACACACATCTCTTTATATATATAGTCTGTATATATGTGCTTTGTCTGTACATACATATATACACATATACAGGCATAGCACAGATATAATGTGGGTTCAGTTCCAGACTAGTATACTAAAGCAAACATTGCATGGTTTCCCAGTGCATATAAAAGTGATTTTGACATTATACTATAGTCTATTAACTGTGCAATAGCATTGTGTCTTAAATAACACTGTACATACCTTTATTTAAAATACTTTATTGCCTAAAAATGCTATTCTAAGGCTTCAGAAAGTCTTATTGATGGTGGAAGGTCTTATGTCAAGTTGATGGCTGCTGACTGATCCGGGTGGTGTGCTAAAGGTTCAGATGGCTTTGGCAATTAAAAAAAAACAACAGTAAGGAAGTTTGCCACACCAATTGAATCTTTCTTTCAGGAAATATTTCTCTGTAGCTTCTGATGCTGTTTGATCGCATTTTTATCCGCAGTCAGACTTCTTTCAAAATTGAGGTCAATCCTCTCAAACTCTACCGCTGCTTTATTAACTAAGTTTATGTAATATCTTAAATCGTTTTTGTAATTTCAACAATGTTCACAGCATCTTCACCAGAGGTAGATTTCAATGCAAGAAACTGCTTTCTTTGCCATCCGTAAGAAGCAAATTTTTCATCCTTTAGTTTTATTAGGAGATTGAAGGAATTCAGTCACATCTTCAGGCTTTACCTCTAACTAGAGTTCTCTTGCTATTTCTACCACATCTGCAATTACTTTCTCCATTGAAGTCCTGAACACTCAAAGTCATTCAAAAGGGTTGGAATGTACTTCTTCCAAACTCTGGTTAATATTTGTATTTTGACTTCTTCCGATGAGTCAAGAATGTTCTTACTGGCATCCAGAATGGTGAATACTTTCCAGAAGGTTTTCAATTTGCTTTGCCCACATCCAAGAAAAGAATCACTATTTATGGCAGCTATAGCCTTACAAAATGTATTTTTAAGTAATAAGACTCAAAAGTCAAAATTACTCTTTGATCCATGAGCTGCAGAATGGATGTTATGTTAGCAGGCATAAACAACCTTAATCTCTGTATAGATCTCCATGAGAGCTCTTGGGTGACCAGGTGCCTTGTCAATGAGCAGTAATATTTTGAAGGAGCCTTATTTTTTCCTGAGCAGTAGATCTTAAGAGTGGGCTTAAAATATCCAGTTAACCATGCTGTAAACAGATGTGCTGTCATGCAAACTTTGTAGTACAATTTGTTGGGCACAGGCAGAGTAGATATAATGTAATTCTTAAGGAACCTAAAATTTTCAGAATAGTCAACAAGCTTTGGCTTTAACTTCAAGTTACCAGCTGCATCAGCCTCTAACAGGAAAGTCAGCCTGTCTTTTGAAGCTTTGAAGCCAGACACTGATTCTGTAGCTATGAAGGTAGCCATGTAGATGGCATCATATTCTGTAGTTATGAAGGTAGCCATGTAGACAGAATCATAAACCAATAGAAAGCTGTTTTCTTTACATTGAAAATCTATTAGGTTAGCCATCTTCATCAATGAACTTAGCTAGAACTTCTGGATAATCTGCTGCAGGCTCTACATTAGCCCTTGCTGCTTCCTCTTGCATTTTTATGTTACGGATATGAGTTCTTGCCTTAAACTTCATAAACCAATCTCTGCCAGCTTCCAACGTGTCTTCTGCAGGTTCCCCACCTCTCTCAGCCCTCACAGAATTGGAGAGAGTTTGGGCCTTGCTCTGGATTAGGCTTTGGCTTAAAAGAATGTTGCACTGGTTTGCTTCTTTTTTTACAGACTACTGAAACTTTCTCCATATGAGCAACAATGCTGTTTCACTTTCTTATCATTTATGTGTTCACTGCAGTAGTACTTTTAATGTTTTCAAGAACTTTTCCTTTGCATTTACATTTTGGTTAACTGTTCTGTGCAAGAGGCCTAGCTTTCAGCCTATCTTGGTTTTCAACAAGGCATCCTCACCAAACTTAATCATTCCCAGCTTTTGATTCAAAGTGAGAAAGATGTGACTTCCTTTTATTTGAATATTTAGAGGCCATTGTAAGGCTATTTATTGGCCTCATTTCAATATTGTTGTGTCTTAGGGAATAGGAGGGCTTGATGAGAGGGAAAGAGACAGGGGATGAGCTGGTCGGTGGAGCAGTCAAAACCCAGACAACTTTTATCAACGCGTTCACTGTGTTATATGGGTGTGGTTTGTGATGCCTCAAAATAATTACAATAGAAATATCAAAGATCACTGACGAAAGGTCACCCAAACCAATATAATAATAATGTAAAAGTTTGAAATATTGTGAGAATTACCAAAATGTGACAGAAAGACACAAAGTAGATACATATGATTGGTAAAATGGCTCTGATAGACTTGTTTGATGCAAGGATACTATAGACCTTCCATTTGTAAGAAAAAAAAAAGAAAAAAAAATCTGCAAAGTGCAATAAAGTGAAACACAATAAAATGGGGTACACCTGTGTTTAGAATCTAATCTACTATGTATTCTTACACGAATAGTCCATGATTTGTAGGCAGCAGTCTAAATCAGAAGATGATAGGGCTGGTGAAGATGCTGTAGCATTAACAAACATCTCTTAACAGGACTTTTGTGTTGGTGGTAAACATTTCTGCACATAAGAAAAATCGAGGCAAAACAATACTGTGCATTATCTAAAATGGTCATAAAATTATTTCTGCTGTTCTCTCTGTTGAGGGCAACACATTAGGCCCATTTACCAAAGGACCTTGATGTAGAGGGCTTTCAGTTCTAGAAAAGGTCATTTTATTCCATAAGAATTTCTTCAGAATGACTATAATTTGCCTTGGCCAAATTGTAATGTAAGCTCACAGATTTACAATTGCTGAGGACTTCCAATGGTCTCTGACATTATTTGTTATCTAAAAACTTCATCTTTATCAATTAGTGTTTCAGAAGATTAAGTCTTAATGATATGAATTGTATTATATAAGTTCCTAAAAGATATGAAATTTTGAAGGGTAATTTCAGTGTCAGTCTAATTACACTTTTAATTCTCATATATTTCCAGGCAATTAAATTTAATTTTTAAAGTTCTGCTTCTTTGGTCACTTTATATGTAATGTAAAAATCTTTGTAAATTAAATTGAAAGTTTTAACTGGAAACCATTTAACTGGAAACCTAATATTCAAATAAAATAATGCATGAGTAGAGCCCAATCCACTTTATTTGATAACAGTTGCACTTAGCAAATGCATTTATGAAAATAATGCAAGCTTTAACAGTATATACAGTAAAATAAGATAAAATAAGCTTTAGTGTACGCATTGCCCAACCTCAACAACTCATTGTCAGTCTTGTTTCTACTATGTTCTCATTTTCTTCCCAACCTACAAGATTCATTTTGGAAGAAATCCCAGGCATATCTTTTCATTTAAAAACATTCAGAATACATCTCTAAATTACTATCATTCTTTAAAATAACTAAAATGTTATTAACCTTGATTTTAAAATTAACTGTAACTGCATCAATGGTCAGTGTTCAAATTTTCTTATCTGTCTCGTAATATTTTTATTCATATTACAATACAAACAAATCTATACTTTGCAAGTGGATGATATTTGTACGTCTTTTTCTCCGTCACCTCTGTTTCCCTCTAGTTATGAATACAAATTAAAACACAACATACTAAAACATGGAATGCGGCAGAGATGCTCCTGAGAAGTAAATTTATAGTAGTGAATGCCTACATTAAAGAACATACAGATTTCAAATAAATACTTAATCTTATACAATAAACAACTAGATTATCAGGAAAAAAAAATGAGACCCAAAGCTCCCAGAAGGAATGAAATAATAAAGATAAAGTTTAAAAATGTATTCAAATGAAATATAGAATGGAAAAACAATAGAGAAAATCAATGAAGACAAACGTATATTTTTTTGAAGAGACGAACAAAATTGACAAATTTTTAGCTAGATTGACAAAAAAAAGGAGAAGATTCAAATAACAAATTGGTAACAAAAGAGGGGACATTACTATTGACATTACAGAAATTTTTAAATATTTTAGAAATTTCCATATATAATTTTATATGTCAAAAATTAGGTAAACTAGATGAAATGGACAAATTCCTAGAAACAAATAAATTACCAAATTGACTCAAGAAGTGGAAAATCTGAACACATTTAGAATAAGCAAAGAGATTGAATCAATATTAGAAAACCTCTTAACAAATAAAAGTTCATGACCAGATGGTTTCAATTTGTTAACTTTACTAAACATATAAAGAAAGCTACTACCAATCCTTCTCAAACTCTTTGATAAAAGACAGAACCCTTTCTAACTCATTCTATGAGACCAGCATTACCCAAGCACTACAGCCAGATAAAGACTTCATAATAAAGGAAAACTAACAGACCAACATCACTTATGAATGTAGATATAAACATTCTCAAATACTAGTAAACCAAATATAACCGCATATTATATAGATTATATACTGCAGCCAATTGGGATTTATCTCAGGGATGCAAATTTGATTCAACATGAGAAAACCAATCAGTGTAATACACCACATTCATTGAATAATAAAAACAACAATTGATTATCTCAACTTATCCTGGACAAAAAATCCCATACTCTTCCACAATAAAAACACTAAATAAGCAGAAATAGAAAGTAACTTCCTCAATATGATCAAGCCCATATTTTAAAAATCCACAGCTAATACAATTGTTGTGGTGAAAATCTGAAAGCTTCCCCTAAGATCAGGAAAAAGACAGGGATGCACACTTTCACCACTGTACTAGAATTTCTACCCAGGGAAATTTAAAAAGAAAAGGAAATAAATGTCATTCAAATTGGGAATAATATAGTACAACTTTTTCTACTGGCAGATGGCATGATCCTAAATACAGAAAATCTAAAAAAATACACAAAAAAGCTACTAGAATTAATAAATAAAATCATCAGCATTTCAGGATACAAGATCAACAAGCAAAAATCAGTAGTGTTTCAAAATATACTAGAAATTAAAAATTTAAATTTAAAATTAAAAAAAACTATGATAGTGGCATCCAAAACAAGGAAATAACTAGAAATAAATTTGGTTATGTCTAGTGGGGTGTGTGATGGTGGTCATTAAAGATTTGTACACTGAATTTTTTTAATTGCTAAGAGAAATTAAAGAAAATCCAAATAAGTAGGAAAAATATCTTGGGTTCATTGATGTGAGACTTCATATTTATTAAGATGTCATTACAACCAAAAGTGATCTACAGAGTCAATGTAATCTCTATCAAAATTCCAATGGCCTTTTTTTGCAAAATGTAAAAATCAAATATCAAACTCATATGGAATTGCAAGAGGCACAAGATAAACAAAACAATCTTTAAAAAAAATTGAGGACTCACACTTCCCTGTATCAAAACTTACTATAAAACTATAGTAATCAAAGCAATGTAGTGCTGGCCTAAGGACAGACACACCAATGTAATAGAATTGGGAGTCCAGGAAGAATTCCATATGTTTATGGTCAGATGATTCAAAAATCAAGAGGGCCAAATGACTAAATGGGAAAAGGAAAGTCTCTTCAAAAATAATGTTTAGACAACTGAATATCTACATGCAAAAGAATAAAACTGGACTCCTACCTCACAACATATAAAAAATTAACTGAACATGTATCATTGCCATAAATATAAGCACTAAAACCATGAAAGCCATAGAAGAAAACATGATTAAATCCAAATGACCTTAGATTTGTCAATGAATTCTTTAGCTATAAGACCAACAAAATTAAGCAATAAAAGAAAAAAAACAGATAGTTGTATTTCATCAAAATTAAAACACTTTGGGCATTAAAAAAAAAAAACATGTATTGTTTTTCTAGGTTTCCTAAGACAAAATGCTACAGACTGGGTAGCTTAAACAATATAAATTATTTTCTTATAGTTTTGGAAACAGGAAGTCCAAGGTCAAGGTGTCTGCAGGTTTAGTTTCTCCTGGGGCCTCTCTTTTTGGCTTTCAGATGGTCACTTTCTCATTGTCTTCACATAGGTATTCCCCTATGAGTAAATCCATGGCTCTTCTTCCTCTTCTTATAAGGACACCATTCCTATCAAAGATCCCACAGGTATAACCTCATTTAACCTTAAATTCCCTAACTTCAAATACAGTAACACTCTGGGTTAGGGTTTCAACATACACATATAGAGTAACACATTTCACGTTATCAAGAAAATGATAACCTAGAGAAGAGGAGAAAATGTTTGCAAATCATATTTCTAATAAGTGCCTCATACCCAGAATATACAAAGAATACGTACAATCAACAACAAAAAGACAAACAACCCAATTTAAATAAATAAATCATGGACATGGGTAGACATTTCTCCAAAGATATACAAATGGCCAATAAACACATGAAAAGATGTTCAGTGTCATTAGTTATTAGACAAATGCCAATCAAAACCACACAAAGTTACTACTATCAAACCTGCAAAAGTGGCTATAACTAAAAACATGGAAAATAATTATTGATGTAGATCTGAAGAAACTGGAGCCCTCCTTAATCACTGGTGGTAATGTAAATCATTCAGCCTCTGTGAAAATCAGTCTGAAATTCCTCAAAAAGATGAACATAGAAGTAACCATATGACCCTCACAATTCCACTCCTAGAATAGAAAACTATGTGCACACTCATGTTCACAGTAGTGCTATTCACAATAGCCAGTGGTGAAAACAGTCCAAATGCCCATCAATGGTTAAATAGATAGACAAAATGTGATATACACATAAAATGGAATATTATTTGGGATATTATTCACCCATGAAAAAGAAATTACTGAGACATGTATAACATGGATGTACTGCCAAAACATGTTAATTAAAAGAAGCTATATAAAAAGGACACATGTGAGTATATTTACATAAAATATCCTAAAATCCATAGAGAAAGTGTTCAGATTGGTGGCTGTCAAGGAGTGAGTAGGATGAGAAACTGCTTAATGGTTGTTTTAAAATTTCATCTGATGGAATTGTTTTGGAACTAGATAGAGGTGGTGGTTGCACAACACTGTAAATGTACCAAATGCCACTGAATTGCTCACTTTAAATGGTGAATTATATGTTATAAAATTTTCACCTGAATAGGTTATTTTTTAAAAAAGCAGTGAGATTTCTTCTAATTAACCATTTTATGGAAAATATAAATGAGAAGTATCTCTATTCACATATGGCTCCTGAATCCCAAAGGAAAACCAAGTGCTAAAATACAATAAATAGTTTGTGAAAAGTAATCTGTGCAGACTCATATTTATAAATTCACTAAAAACCATCACAGGAACAAAATTCATATTTCATTTTAAAAAATCAATACTTCTCAAAATTTAGAAAAAAGAGGAACTCTTTCTAATCTCAGTGGAAAAGGAGCTCTACACAACCACACTCAATCAGAAAATACATTCAGGAAGTAAAATGACTTGTGCTCCTGGAATTAGATGAAAATGGATTCTGGATCAATGTTAGAATTGTGTTGTCTTCATGCAAAGGACTCTTCTATAATTTTGCAAAGCTAGTTTCTAGCATGATTTACCTGGAGCTTTTTTGTATATTTTGCTAGTGAGAGGCCTTATGTTTAGAGAGTATTGTTACCAGTTTATGGTCATTTACAAAATTAAGAGAACTTTTTTTCTGGAATTCAATTTTCTGTCCCTAGGATGTGCATCTCTTCATCATCAGACAAATAGACTTAAAGCCAACTCATTGTTACTCTCGTCATCAATAAAAGAAGAAGAAGTAAAGAAGGTAAAGGTAAAGAGGATGTAAAAGTTATCATTTCAGGACCTTTTCCAAAAGTTTTCACATAACGCCACTGTTTACATCTGACTTTCCATTATGTGGACACATGAACACATCTAGTTGTAAAAAAATCCTATTATTTGTCATTGTCACCATTACATGTGCCCATGTACCTAGGAAGAAATCAATGTCCAAATGTAGGGGGATTGGCACTGGGATAGGCAAACAGCAGCCTTTACCCATAGTCTGCTCCTTTGGTTACCAATATATCCATGGATATCCATTTTCCTGTATATAGAACACATTTGTCTGCTCCCCAAGGAGAAGAGTTAGTATGCCATCCATTACTCACATCTATTTGCAGCCAAGTGTTCACAATCACTGAGTAACACGCAGTTCTTTCTACTAGATGCAGATAAGAGATTGCAGTATCCTGAAACCAGATGCAGATAAGAGGTTGCAGTATCCTGAAACCTGCAAACTGAGACACTAGTTACTGGCACCATACACATGTAATAAAATGATGATATAAGAATACATATTTCATTGAGAAAACCTGGGAAACACATTAGCTGATAGCCAGTTGGAATTAGCAAATAATGTTCAGCATAAAAAATAGACACTCTACTTCAGTAGTAGGGCAAGTTTTCTGTTTAGACTACACTCTAAGCTTTTGATTCTTCTCTTTGGGAGGATATCCTTTCTCCATTGTACTTTGTGACCTCTTCATCATGTGTTATACATTTGCCTTTGGGTGCACATTCTTGAGGGACATAGAGATTTCATAGCCCATTTCATGCTGATGAAATCTGGACATGCTATAACATGGATGTACCGTCATGGGGATTCCTTAAGGCTTTTAATGTTGGGTCCAATAATTGGGTCCAATTCAGATTTATTTTTCAATAAAATTTCTTGAAAAATGTAGTAAATTTCTATTTGCTTCTAGTCAATTATATACGCAAATAATCACAATCAAAGTCTTTGTCTAAACAGATTTTTTTTTAAGTGTGAAATCTTCCTAAATACTTATTTTAGCCTCTTGGCTCTGGCCATCCTCCTTGTAATGTGGATGCCATCTTTATTACCAAGCTCATAATCTTTACAGAGGGGGATGCAAGTCTACGAAATTTGTGGCTATGCAGACACTCTCTCTTTGGTTACAAGTTGAGATAACAGTGAAGTTAGATATTTCAACCCTGAAAGTTTTAGAATCTCCTATTGTAGATTTCAGGCAGAGAAAGGCTCCTTTAGCAAAGCTCTGTTTTCTTTCTCTCTTTGTATTCCATCTACCCTAGGCATCAATCACTCAATCATTTGTAGGATTTTTCTAATAGATTCAAGAAATAGCACCAATAAAATTTCAAAACTAAGCAATTATTTTTCCTAATACTATATCCTAAGTTAATATGTAATTTGTCTTCCAAGGTGAAAAGATAACTTATTCAATAAAACATGACAAGGGTCACCTGCTTTCCTATCTGTGATATACATGCTCCTACCTCCCACCACCCTACTAATTACACAAACCAATTACATGGCTTAGTTTTCTTGAAAAATAGCTCTACTGGTACCATATTCTACAATCGTATGTGTTATATTTGGCTGTGAATAATAGAAACACAATAATAGTGGCTTAAAATCTAGAAGTTTATTTCACTCTTACAGTAATATTCACATGTAAGCAATCAAGTCAGCCATGAATCAAGCTACTTTCTACTTCCTTCTCTATCGTGGCCATCATAGATCTCACCCTTATGATCCAACATGAAACTCTGGCCTTCACATTGGCTAATTGCAAACAGCAGTGTAGATGATGCAGCAATACACTTCGGGAGCTCTGTAGAAAATTTCTCAGGAGGAATTGTTATGTAATAGTTCTACTTTCATCCTTTTAGTCACATGCCACTACTCAATGCAAAGATGAGAAATGTATCTTTCATTTCAGTTGGCCATGACATCAATTAGAAATTAGTGGTGTTGTTTGGAGGAAAATTCCATAGGGAAGACAGCTGGCAGTCTCTGCATAGATTTCTTCATTGTTCTTTAAATCTGCCGTATTGTACAATCATTTTAACAATTAATGAAATAACCTTGATATTAGGAGGCTGTAAAAGGAACTTGACCCACCTGACTTTGTACTTTTTGAAATGCATTTCTATTTTATAACTTTTATCCATCACCGCGCCCTGTTTCTTGTGATATTTCATGGGTCTGACCTCAAACATAAGGAGAATATTAATCAAATGATCTTGATTATTCAGTTGGCAAATATTAAAGGCAGATGTAACATAGATTGAAAAAAATGAATTTTTATATGAACAAATGGAGACTGAGTTATTTAACTAGATCTTTGCTGATGTGATGTAAAACAAAGAAAACAGAGATAAAAACAATGTTTAATATACAATTTAATTATTCTTTACCCAGTAAGAAATAAAAATTAATTTCTCGATATGTAAGTGCAAATTGACAATTTTCTGTGGTTATTTAGAATATATACGTATGTTATAAACAGTGAGATTATTGGCAGATAGAACTTAACTTTCTCGAGTTAAGCATTTATTGCATATGCAATCTGTGACAAATGCTATAATAGGTAGCAGAGCTCATATGGACCAACATATACATGTGCCTGCCTTTTATCATCATTTTTACATGTGGTTCAAGGTGCGCTTTTTGACTCTATGTCCCCAACATGCTGCCTCCAAACAGTTTCTTAAAAAGTTCTGTTACTATTAAATTGCATGAAATCTTAGAACTTCATATAGTGCTTCCATGAGGGAATCCCTCTCTTGCATTAACGAGGAAACTAATCTTCTTCCAAATCTTCAATCCTGAAAATATGAGTCCAGAAATTTGAAAATTATAAAAAATTATTGTAAGCTTAGCTATCAATATAGAGAGGTTGATGGACCAAGAAATTCACTGACATCAAATAAAAAGCAAAAACAGGAAGTCTAACAGGCAGGACTAACAGGCTAAGCTCACCCTTTCTGGGAAGCTGGAAAGGATCACCTAACAGAGACGCAGTCAGAATCTAGTCAGTTTTGCTTGCAGCCTTTGCACTATTACAAGAGTGGGATCCAGGCCCGCTTTGCTGCTAAAAGCGAGTCAATTTTTTTTGTGTGTGAATAAAACCAATAGTAATAGATTTGTGCAGGTAGCATTTTTTATAAAAACCTATGAGTGGTGTTCCAAGAAATAAGTTTTGGAAGCAAAATATGACCTTAATTAGGCAATTCTGCATATGAGTATGTGTAGGAGGCTAATGCTGCTAAGAGATGCCAATGTTGCAATAATCAAACACTATCTTGAGTGTTTCCTGGAACTTTCAAGAATTTGGGTATTACCTGTAGACTATAATTTTTTGTAGATACTATTAAATATAATTTATTAAGCATTCTTGATATCCATGTTAACGAGTAGAATATAAAGAACACTGAAAATATTTAAGAATAATTTATGATTTTGTGATTCTCTGATAATTTGGGAATTCTGATATCTCCTCCATGAATCCTTAAAATTAGTATCTGTCAGGAATTTGAGACACCATGAACTCCTCTGTAATTTCTGTTAGACTATAATTCTGGTAGACCGCAGTTATCATTTGTTTGCAGCCTTCCCAATCTCTTCTCTAATTTGAATAACTCTATTTTCTATTTAAGAAATGGCCCTTTTGCCATTGCACATGGTCTTCACCTGATTAACTGTCATTTCTCATTTCCGTGACCACAGAGGATAGGTCAATGCCCCACCTGTGGCAGATCATGCCTGACTCAAGCATGATCTACCATGCCTTTCCCTGGATGCCGAACTTAGCATCAGGTTCCTTCCAGAGCCAATAGTGAGACAATACCAATAGAAATAAAAGTTTAAAACCAGAGGAACAACTGGCCTGAGTATACAGATTTTGCCTTCTTGAGAGATAGCAGCTACAGCAATGAGCATACTGTCTTGTTTCCCACACTCTCCCGAGGCCCATGAGTGAAAATCTCAACACTCCATAGCACCAATAGTGTTCTGTTAGTTGAGTGAATGAGGGAGAGAGTATAATGATTGGCAAGATGATGACCAAGAACATATCCTTGAGAAACTGTATTATGAACCCAATTTAAGATTGATATTGGTGTAATCTCTCATTTATAACATAAAAATATTTCCATAGCAAGTAAAATAAAATTTTGTCTGTGTGTATATTCATTTTCTTTCCACTTGCTGGAAATGAAATCAAGTCCAAGAAAGAATAATATTGAAGCTAAATTGATTATTGCATATACAAAGTTATTCCAATTGCTAAAAGTAATTTCAGGAGTATGTTTGAGTAATGAATGTCTCTCTTTTTAGCCTGACTATATCCATAATAAAATATCACTAAACATATCTCTATTAATGCATTTTCTTCTTAAAAGATTGAGGAATTAAACTGGATGTGGTTAATGAAACTTACTTTAATCCATCTTGTAAAACACACTGATAAAAATCTGTTAAATTCCTCATTTAAAATATCACACGTATTTCATTTAGCTACTACGCTCCTGAACTTTTTATTCACAAACTAAATTAAAAGTAATAATAAATTAAACTAGTCTATAGCTTTAAAAGAAGAAAACTAATATGATTTTTTGTTCAGTTCCCATATGTTCTTAAGTATTGCCGTTTGTCATAAATTTCATGTTTTCCTTAATTAACTCTATAAATAACATATTAAAGTGAAATACTTGATGAAAATTAAAATTAAGGACTTGTAAAAGCTATACCTGTCTAACGGTTTGTCAGCTAAATTATACCTTCTACCATAGGTGTCAGTATGATGCCTCAGTTGTGTTTCAAAATTAGAAAAACAAAAGACTAAAAAGACTAAAAGCTCTTTTTTTTTGAGATGGAGTCTCCCTCTATTGCCCAGGCTGGAGTGCAGTGGTGCAACCTCGGCTCACTGCAACCTCCACTTACCAGGGCTCAAGCAATTATCCTTCCCTAGCTTCCCGAGTAACTGGGGCTACAGGCACCCACTTGGCTAGTTTTTGTATCTTTAGTAGAGACAGGGTTTCACCATGTTGGCCAAGCTGGTCTGCAACTCCTAAACTCAAGTGCCGCCTTGGCCTCCCAAAGTACTGGGATTATAGACGTGAGCCACCATAGCTGGCCTAAAAACACTCTTTTTAAGAGAAATGCTATAAGTTAATACTTCGGTCATGTTACTTCTTCTTTTCTCTTTATAATTCATATACACCTTTAAAGAAATATTTGAAGCCTGACTTCACCTATGACTCTAGGCCTTATTTTCATCTTACTAGTAGTGCCACATAACAGAGTTTGCTTCTAAAATTATAAATTATTTTTTAATTTTTCCTCTTTGTAGCTCTCCAATTATATTCCCAACTATTTGAAGACACTGACTTAGGTAAATATTATTTAAGAATCTCCATTGTGTCTGATATAAAACATAAAAATATACTTCTTAAAATAGAAGTATTATAGAAATACTATAGTAAAATAAAAGTATAATATAGAATACGTTATGGGTGATTTTAAATAATGTTGAAACAGGAAAATTATTTTTCAATATTAGAAAATCCCAGAAGTCATGAAGATTCATAATTTTGTCTATATAACATTTTTAAATCCCTCATTTGGAAAAAATTATAAATAATTAGAATAAAGTATAAATGATGGTTTGGAAAAATATTTGCAATTATCTCAGAAACCAAAGGGCAACTTTCCATAATACAGATTTTTAAAAATGTTATACATTACTGAGAAAAAGAATAAATTTACCAATTACAAAATTGGTGAAGGGAAAAAAATAATTGGGCCTTTAGTAAATAAAAATGATATTTATGATCACTCCTAATAAAATAGATGCAAATAAAAACTATAGTAAAATATAGCTATTTTAAGAAGTAAATGATTAGCAAAGACAGAAAAACGTGGTAACAGATAACAAAGTTTAACACAATTTAAAATAGTAAACTTTCCCTCAGCTGCTCTTCACATGCCAATTTAAAAGAAAAATTTACTCCATAGCACCTATCAACATCGAACATACTACAGTCTATTGAAATAAGCTGCACATAACAAGTGTCACATAGCCTACATAAGCACAGTTTTTCAACTTTGAGGCTCCACCTTTCTCTAGATTAGTCATGAGCTTCAGGCCCTGGGGCCAGGAATGACAGTGCTTCTATGCCAGGCCTTCTCCTCCTCCTTCACTCCCGTCTTCCTTCTTTCCTCTGTCTTCTTTTTCCTGTTCATCTTCAACTTTATCTCCTTCCTCTTCCTTATCCACATCTGCTTTGCATAAAACTCTTTTGTCAAACTGGTGAGAAACAAAGCTTCCTTGAAAAAATTATCCACAAAATGCAAAGCTCATTGATAATGTAAAAAGTTAAATTCTAAAACTCTGTGTTGAGGTGAGACACAGATTTTCATTTTCTTTTATTGTTTTATGGCATAAAATAATTCTATCAGGGAAGGAAGAAGATAGATGGCTGCTGTAGTTGTGCTGGTATAATCTGGACTAGAACTCAATAGTTTATAAATGTGAAGTTAACTTACAAGCAACATTCTAGTGAGTCTGCTGTCAGTAGAACTCATGGTAACTCTGATAATTTTAATGATCATAAAAGTGAGGTAGGAAACAAATATGACCATTGTGTTTAGAAACCATGATCCTTCAAAACTTGTATTTCTTCCTAAATAAATACTAATAGGGACTAAAAAATTAAAATTGGTAGTGAAGTCTTTACCAATTTATGTGATCAGTGGTATTCTCTTAATATTAACATAAATCTTTATTGATTCATTAGACATTTTTAGTTTTAAATAAAATGATCAGAAATGTCAGCAAGGGCTATGGGAAAAAAGGGCTGGGTAAGAAAATTTGAAGTCTCACCTAACTGGAATGTAGCAATTGCAGATAGATTGGTTGGGATTTATTTTATATGAAATATAAAATATATAAAGGCCACTCTGGTCACTTACATAAAATACTCAGCAGAAGCCCTACCACTTTATAATAATTCAGTAAGTGTTAACATCTTATAACTAAGGTATCATTCAATTCTAAAATCATCTAAGGAACTTTTGAAATGGATGTAGTGCGTATATTTCCAGGTTAAAAATGAAGCATTTTTAAAAAAATTACTTTTATTTATTTTAACTCCTTTGAAGTACTCTTTGAAAACAATAGAAGTAAGGAAGAAATTTTGGGATAGAACAGAAAGGAATAAACTAAACAACCAACGGAGTTACTGGAAAGAGTTCACCTGTAACCAGATAAGGTCCGCTCTCAGACCAAAAACTTGCTGTGTTCTACCTCCCTCTCAACTCTTTCTAGGTGCTCTTCTGTTCTGTTTTCATAATCTCACCTTCAGTATTATCAAATATTGTCACAGAATGGCTGGACTCTCAGCTCAACTCCACCCTCTAACCTAGAACCTCGGCTCTAAGTGAAAACAGCTGACCCCATTTTTCGGCCCAAATGATTGCCCTTTTGGCCTGCCCCGCCCCCTATCTTGTGAGTATAAAAAGACTTCAGCTGGCCAAGCAATAGAAGCAGCTGGTGCAACAGGTTGGGGATGCAGGCTGCTGAGTGTTGAGGATACAAGCGGCTGAGCATCTCAGACTACAGACAGACGGAGCTAACTTCAGAGGGTGCGGCTTCAGGGAAAGATCACTTTCTTCCCGCACCATCCCCTTTCCAACTCCCCATTCCACTGAGAACCACATCCATTGCCCAGTAAAATCCTCTGCATACACTACCCTTCAATTAGTGACCTGATTCTTTCTGGACCCCGAACAACAAATGGGTGCCAAGAGGGCAGGGGATTGGATGCTGCTGTGGAACGCATAGAGCCTGCTCCTACCAGAGAGAAGCAGCTAGCTGATTCCAGTGTTCCTTTCTTCTGGTTCCTGCACTTGCTTGCTCGCACACTCCCTCTTGCAAGGAGTGGCCAGCAGCAGGCTAAGGGTAACAGGCCACTCCACTTCCCGCCCATGAAGGGAGGTCAGGGGAACAATCCTGTCTCAATATGAAATCTAATTTCAATAGAGGATTAAGTAGCTACCAAAAAATGATAGATTAGATAGAGACATAGATACAGATAATATTGATAGATATAGATATAGATATAGATATAGATGTAGATATAGATATACTGCATCCATCTGGTGATAGATTTCTGTCTTCAGAGTTGGAAATAACAGGCGAGATGGGGGTACTAGATCACAGAGATCTCAATTGTTTAACTCCTCAGTTTGCACACCATGATAATGAGGGACAGAGGCTGTATTTTCCATAACATATTCAATGACTTTATTTTGCAAAATCTCATTTCTTATCATTGATCATTTTCCAACATCAGATGCTAACTTTTTCTCTTGGACCAAAAAAAAATATGTTATCATGTGTTCTTTTCATAAATGTTTCTTTATTTCAGTAAAAAAAAAAAAAAAACTATTAATTTCAATGATGAAAACAAGGTAACACATTAAATTACGGAATGCCATACAAAGGGGGTATTATTTGTCAGTTTTAATATTATATATGCGTTTCTAGGAGACAGAAATATTTCTGCTTCAGTTATGTTTATTTTACTGCACTGTTCCATACAAGAATACATTGCAGGGTTAACAGTTTTTAAAGTGACTCACAATTTTGTGCACATCTCTGCTATATTATTGCAATCTGCATTCTGTTTAAGTTTTAAATTTAAAAATAATTGCTTCTTATTAAAATCTCCCACATTGCATTATTGCTGGTCATGCAGAAAATTACTTTGCTGCAGGAAACAAAACTATCCAATATAATCTTTTCTCCTTATAGCAGAGGAGATAATTGGATTAATCACAAGTCAAAATCTTGGAAGTAGAGTACTTGGTTGGCTAAACTGAGCCATGCCTGTTGGCGATGATAGATGATAGAGATTCGATAACGCTAGATAATCGAGTGAAGCTAGTCACCATGATAATGATTATTTTTTAAAATACTGGAATTTGTTAATTATCCACCAAATATGAGGAGAAGCTGGACTTGCCCTTTGAGGGAACTAGTTGCCTTGTTAAGACATCATCATATATCCACGTCCACTTAGGCAACTTGCTCCTCTGCTTATCTAGAACTATTCTGTCAATGTTGAAAGCTTGTGATGAAGTAGAGGTCTCTCATATTGTGAATCTTAGCGATGATTACTGCAAATGTTAATTTTTTTGCTAAATTTTTCTTCTTTTTCTTCTATTAAGCCAATTCAAAGTGTGATATATTTCTTGAAACTGTCTTACAGCTCTTTAATGTTCTCTTTTGTTTTTGTTTTTTTTTTTTCATCTTTTTTTCTCTTCTCATTTCAGTTTGGAAATTTTCTATGGGCTTACCTACAGCTCACTCATTGTTTCTTCAGTCATGGAAGTTGATTAATAAACCCATCAATGGGCCTATTCTTTTTTCTCCCTTAGCATTTTCTTTTGTTTTTTTCTTAGTTTTTTTTTCTTTTTTCATTTCTCTGTTTATATTACACACCCCTATTTTTTTTTCTGTTAAGAGCCCTTAATATAGTAATCACAATTATTTTAATTTCTCTGAATGATGATCCTAACAGTTGTGTTGTACCTAGGTATGGTTCTGATTCTTGTTTTGTGAAGTAAAAGTAAAGGAGTGACTTGATGAAAAATTACAACTGCAAATGCTTATATTAAAAAAGAAGAAAAAAGAATTAAAAAATTAATGATTTCAGCTCCCACCAAAAGAAGCTAGGGAAAGAGGAGCTTGATTATTAAGTAAAAGTAAAAAATGGATAAATAAATAGAAAAGACATCTCTGAAGGAAAAAACAAACTAATGATAAAGTAAACAAACAAATGTTATTTTAAATAAATTATTAAAAACAATTTTTAAAACTAGATTGCTCAAACAAAAGCAATGAAAGAGTAGGTTGCACTATATTTGTAACACACAATGGCTAAGAGAATATTATCTTAACAACTTTATGCTACCAAGTCTGGAAACTTAAAGAAAAGTGGCAAATAGCTTGAAAAACACAAGTTATCCAAACTAGTTTAAAAAGTAACTGAAAAGCTAAGTAGTCCTATTTCTGGTAAAGATATATAACTGATGATTAAAATCCTTTATACAAAGAAAGAAAAAAAAATAAACAGCCTTATGTAAATGTACTGGTAAATTTTATTAAATATTTAATGAATGAAGCATATAACTCTTAGTTGATAAAGTACAGTAGGAAATGTTTACTTAATTATGATTACCATAATACCAAAATTAGAAATTCAAATAAATATTTAATGGATGAATCATATAAATCTTAGTTGATGAAATAGAGTAGGAAATGTTTTGAGGTGGGAAATTAAAGAAATAAGGAAAAATAAAATTAAAAAGAGAAAGAAATAAGCTTTCCTGTATTAGGCTGACTGGTCCCAGAGGCAGCAACAGGCACAGCCCAGACCCAGGAAAAGGCTTGGTAAACACTATCTAAGAAGCTAGGACACAAAGGAATGTGCTCTGGAGACTCTCCCAGCACTCCTTCAACACATGGAGACAAAAAACAAATTTTCCTTTGCTTTATGGTATTAGTTTATAGATTCTTGTTTTCTGTAACTGGTAACTTCAAGTATTCTGTTTTATCTAAGAAGTACAGTGAAGGTCATGAGAAGCCTGAGCAGGCCTGAACTACAGGTGTCTGGGCACCATAGTGAAGTTATGCGATAAACCAGTGCAAGACTCTTTAGAGCAAAACCTGGATAACAGACAAATGGGTTGCTTGGCAATGGTCATGTGTAATCCGGAGTTATGAACCTGTCACAATTTAATTAATTGTTCTGACTCTGTATCCTTGCTTTCGCGCCACTGTAACTGAAAGCCTGCTTCAAGGTAGTCCACCCCTTTGTGAAGTGTGTATGAAAGTCAAATGCTGTCTTTGTTCTGGACCCAGTCTTTGGATGTTGAGTTTGCTGGGTCTGACTGCACTCAATAAAGATATCCTCCTGTATACACCCCAAGGTCTCTTTCTGGTCCTCCTGATTCCACAATATTTCACTTATTTAATTATGATTACCATAATACCAAAATCAGAAAAATTAGAAAACACAGATGTAAAAATTGATACATACATAGATGCAAAATTGTAGAACCAGAAAAGCTTTAGCAAAATATTAGCTAATTGAAATAAGAAATACTGGTTTAATATTGGAACATCTATGGCTGTATTTCACCATTATACTAGAGATTCTAGCATGTGCATTAGAGCAAGGGAAAAATATGTAAATTAAGAGTAAAGCTGCAAAACACTATTTGCATTTGACATTATTGACTTTGTAGGAAATTATAAGGAATCTACAAAAAATGTTATTAATATTTAAAGAACATAGTGGGTTCAGGCCAGGTGCGGTGGCTCACGCCTGTAATCCTAGGACTTTGGGAGGCTGAGGCGGGCGGATCATGAGGTCAGGAGATCGAGACCATCCTGGCTAAAACGGTGAAACCCCGTCTCTCCTAAAAATACAAGAAAAAAAAAATTAGCCAGGTGTTGTGGCGGGCGCCTGTAGTCCCAGCTACTCGGGAAGCTGAGACAGGAGAATGGCGTGAACCTGAGAGGCGGATCTTGCAGTAAGCCGAGATCTCACCACTGCACTCCAGCCTGGGTGACAGAATGAGACTCCAAAAAAAAAAAAAAAGAAAAAAAAAAAAAAGAATGTAGTGGGTTCATAGGAAACGTGGCCATCATACAAAAATCTGTCTTTCCATGTCCTACAATTACAATTAAAATACAGAGTAAATTACAATTTACAGTAGCATCCAATACAGAAAATACTTGGAGACACATTTAATGTAATATTTGTAAAAGCTCTAAACTGAAAACTGTGATACATATCTGAGAAAAGTGAAAGAAAACATGAGATGGAGTGATGTATCATATTCATTGACTGTAAGACTCATTGTAAGATGTCACAAATCTATAAATTAAATGAAGTTTGGATCAGAGTCCTGGGAGGCTTTTTTTGTAGATTGTCAAGCTGATTCTAAAATGTATGTAGACATTCAAAGAACCTAGGAGCGCCAAAATGCTTGCACAGGAAGAACAGATTTGAAGGTCTTTTGCCGTGTGACTGCAAGCCTTAGTATAAAGTTACAAGTAATGGGTGGTATTGCTGTGAGGGCAGACATAAAAATAAATGAAACAGCATAGAGATTCCAGAAATCGGGCCATGGATATTTGTTGAGCTGACTTTCAAAAAAGGTGTCAAGTCAATTCAATGGGGGAAAATAAAATCTTTTCAACAAATGTTGCTGGGACAAGTGGACATGGAAGAAAAGAAAAGTTTAAAGTCATGACACATACGACATTACTTAAATTAATTCAGAAAAATATCTGTGAATTAAGTGTTAAGCTGTAAAATGTCTAAAAATTATTTTTGTGAGTTTTGAATAGGCAAAGATTTCTTACACAATTATTACAAATGTGAAAAATAAAAGAAAAAAACAAATTGAACTTTGTCAAACTTGCATGGAAATTATACTTGTCGAAAGGTGATTTAAAAAATTAATCCAGTGATAGTACTGCAAATTATGATAGAAAAAGAAATACATAATGTGACTGAAAATACCCTAATAGAGAAATGATGAAGTTTCCCTGTGAGAATATCTGAAAGAAAACATAAACTGCAAAGACAATTACCCAGTTGAAAAAATAAAATAAAACAAGATTGGAGGCAGAAATTTAAAATAGCTTTTAAAAATGCATGAGATAAAAAATGTGGAACAAGGGTTTAGCCCTAGCAATAATTTTGAACTATATTTTTTAAAAACAAAGCAAAACAAAACTTGCATATCTGAATAATTTGTGTAACAGACCCATCAAGAAATGTTTCTTGTGGAAAAGCAAGGCGTGTTCTTGTTAAGAACTTTCCCTAAAGCAATACTTTGAACAAAGCAAACTTTCTCTACACAAAATGGGTGAGTTCTACAGCTGATGAATCATTTTTAGTTCAGCATTATGCTTATAACTCAAAATCTGTTACTATTCATGGCCCATGGACTCATGCGTGACTCTCTTAGAGGGGAAGCTACAAATTTTGATTAACAAAAATAACAGGAGAGTTTTGCCACAATTTCTCTGTAAGTTACTAAAGCACTATTAAACCTACTTGATAGAATGTGCAACGGACAAATGCACAAGTGAGGGAGGAAGCCAGTTCCTACTCTAGATTTCTTTTGGTGTACACTGAAACATGGTAATAGCATGGTTTCTAAGGATATGGTGGTGGTTGGCAATTGGCAGACATGGCAACTAGTTTATACTCTCAAATGGACATTCATTCTTTGAGCGTGTACAAAATCTTTTTTCCCAGCTTGTCTCTTTCTCTAGAATGCAGGGCCTTGTCTAAGTACAATAATGTGCCTCAAAGAGGCCTTGCTTCATAGCAAAGGCACAATCTCAGCAGGACCAGGGTATGTATCAAAATAGGACACATGTGCTATCTGGTATCATTCATGTAATTTTCAGGAGGTTTTACCTGACGGTATATATTAGGTTGCCATGCAAATTATTACCTCCAAACCTGATCAAGGCACCCATCATACAGTCAAATCATTGCCTTATATCAAACACTATCTGCTCATTTTTACAGAGGAGTCCTTTTTCTATCAATGAATCTTCTCAAGTCCTAAGAGGAAACTCCTCCTCTGTTTCTTGCATCAGTAGATTGTTCAGCCTTTACCCAAGAAATCTAACTGTTCTCTACTTTTTTTTTGTCATTTCACTTACTATGACTGCAGACTTCTGAGTTCTGGTCATCTTGGAGTTTCTTCAAGTTTTTATGCCATCGGCAACACAATGGTGTGCTCTGTGTGTTCAATTCTAAGACTGCATATAGCCATTGGAATATACTTAGTGAGATCTGCTAGATTATAATACAGTCATAATTAGGTTCACATATTTGGGGAATAAGAAACATCTTCGACATCAACAGGGTACTGGTTAGTTCTGTACCAATGTAATTCTACATGGGTTGTCAGATCTAGGACAAATATAATTTATTGGCTGTTCTCTTCTTTTGACACCAGCCACTGGAGGTCATTCTCTACTTCTAGCCTCAGAAGCTTATGTTCTTTTTAAAAAAAAATCCAGAATCTGAATCCCATTGCTACAGAAACTGATTTGTCAATGCATTCTGAAACTGTGCAAAAGGGACAAAGGAAATACAAAATACAACTCCCACTCTATGTTCCTGTATTTCTTTTTTATTCCCCTCAGAACTGAATTTGCAGGATTTAATGGCTGGATGACAGTCCCATCCTAAGGCACTTAAAAATGCTCGTGACAATGCTGTTCATTCATTATGCGAATACAAAAACTGTGCAAAAAAAAGCCTGGAACTCAGCTCACGGATAATTGCTTCTTTATTTTCCTGAATGCTTCTTTGCTAGAATAGCCAAATTTAACATCCTGGTTTCTCTTTAGCTGGTTACAATCTAACTGTTCCCTGAACAGTGTCTTTCTAGCTGTACTCAGGAAATGTAGACTTTGCCACTTCAACTCCATTGGACTAGCACTGCCATGCAAGAATATTTTAATAATTTCTTTTGATTATTTTGATGCTTTCCTTATGAAACCAAATATTTTTTTTTATTATACTTTAAGTTCTAGGGTACATGTGCACAACGTGCAAGTTTGGTACATAGGTATACATGTGCCATGTTGGTTTGCTGCACTCATTAACTCATCATTTACATTCGGTATTTCTCCTAATGCTATTCCTCCCCTTGCCCCCCATCCCCCAACAGGCCCTGAGTGTGATGTTCCCTGCCCTGTGTCCAAGTGTTCTCAGTGTTCAATTCCCACCTATGAGTGAGAACATGCAGTGTTTAAAACCAAATATTTCTATTAGAGGTCTATCACTTTCTGTAGAATTGATGAATCTTCATAGAAAATGTATTTTTAAAGCAAAATCTGTTAAGTCGGTTTTCCATTTTGGGTGTATATATATATTTAAAACATTCTTATTTACTTTCCCTATTTCGTTGATATTTTGCACATAATTATTTCCACCAGGATATTGAAAATTAAAATATAATACTTGACTCTTCTATTAATTTTACTCAATATAACATTTCGACAATTTTACATAAGTTATTGTGGGTTAGCTGTTCTAGATGTTATTCTGTCAAGGCTCATTGTCCCAGGTAAAAACATTTGCAGATTTATATTTTATAAAAATATTTTATTCTATCATCAATTTTGAAAAATAAAAACAATTCCAAATGCAATATTAAACCTTTTCATTTGTATTTATTCTTTGGATATGATAATCTCTGTTTTCTCAGATAACCAGAATGACAACTACATCATCTTCAAAACGTTGCCACATACCCACCACAATCTGCTGAGTTTTAAGAGTACTCTTTTCCTATACTGCTCAGTTGCATTTGTATCTTTTTTGACATTTTCAAGCCACATGTTTTTCAAGTAGTTTGTTACGATCATAGTTACTAATTATTATTGCATCTATATTTTAGTAATGGAGAATGCTATTTGTGATGACGTATTCCAGCAGTACTTTTCACTATGAATTCAGTAAGAAATTATTATTTCTTACATATTACGTAAGAACTATTTTATGTTTTTCTCATAAGATAGAATTTTTTAAACTCACTTATTTTGGTGCCCATTTAAGTCATCAGTATAGATGCGATTATTTTATATACTTTGTTTTAATGAGTCATACAACTACCAGCAGAAGAAAGATAAAATTGTTAGTGTCAAACATGATGACTAAATGTCCTTTGGGTGAAAATATGAATGTTAAAATATTAATTGTGATCTGAAGCCATAAAACTTTCTACTAACAATGGAGTTTGTCAATTTATGTGCTTTATTAGGAGTATTTTGAAGCAAAAGGTATGACTCAAAAGACATTTTATAGTTTTGGATTTGTTGAAGATGCTATCTTAAAAATCTTTTAAATTTATGTGAGAAAGCTATCCACTAGTTTTTATTTAAGAACTCTTCAAGACAAACATTAATTAACATGTTCGAGACTTGTTGAGAACATGATTGGAAAATGCTGTCTCTGAACCAAAGGGCCTTGTGGCATTGGCTCTGTGATAATCCTTCCTTCTACGAAAAATGGAATGAAACTTGTCACTCTTTTTTCTGATACAAGATGCTGCAAATATCTCTAGACAATTCAACCCTGGAGAGATAATTTGTACATGTTTCAATAAAGTAGAGTGAATGAAAATTTATTATTCTTGGTGACATTCTTACGATATATTTGTTCTGACCTGAATAATCATATTTGATACTTTGATGTTTTTATTTTTAATAGCAAAAAAATCTCAGTGACTTGAATAAGGAAAATGTATTATAATTATACAGCATCACTGTCCATAATGTCTGCCCCAGTGTAAGTGATTAAAAATAGAATACTTCTTTCCTTTGAAGCTGTCATCGTATTCTGCTTCACTGGGTCGGGGAGGCAGATGCCTTTTTATTGGGCACCTTAACTCAATTCTAAGGATATAAGATGTTTCTTATCTGCTAGTTCTAGTTTTTAAGGTTTTTTTTTTTACCTAGACAATCCCTTATTACTCCAATCCTCTGTTAGAGTTAATTATTTTAAATACAAAATTCTGCCTGTGCAAACTATTTTATGGTTTTGCTCTGCTGATAGGACCTTTTTTGATAGAGTAGAACATCATAATTTATTGAAAGGAAGAACTACAATCAGTAACAATATGGGATAGCAGGTATTTGATACTGAGGTAAGTAGTCTCTAAATATGGCAGCCAACAATTCCTTCCATCCTGGTACACTCATGCCCTTCCTCAGGTAACAGATGAGTTTATTTATATTATCCTTTATTTTGGAAGAAATTATGTCCGGATTTGACAGACAAAATGTGACAGAAGAGTGCACTGTTATGGAACCCAGAAGACATGCCGTTTGGAAGCCAGGCTAGACTATTGAACAATTAAAGACTATATGGAGAGAGACAGAGAGTGAAAAACCATCTCCCAAACAGTCTTTCAATCTAGTGGAATTATGTCAAAGACTCCAAGTGAGACCAGCAGAACTTCAAAACTGACCCTGGGTAACTCAAAGAATCATAATTAATAGTAAGTTATTATACTGGATTGTTTTGTAAAACAGAAACAAATGATTCAAACAGTAACCTGGAAATCATAGGTAAACGTGGGTATTACTATTCTCAGAGACTTGAGTAGGCAGGAACGAGACAACCAGCCTTCTCACAGACCAGACCCTCACCCTTCTTTCTTTCTTCTTCAAGAAATATCTGTCTTAGGCAGGAAATGTGTAAAAGTTTATGTAAACACCCAGAATCCTACAATAATTTCTGTTACTCACCTGGTACACCAATAATTAGTTAAAATATATTGCCGGTTTCCTGTAGGCATGGCAGGTGGCATGCTAATCTGCTGGTTATAAAATTAAACAAGATACACAGATAAACTGAATAGGGTTGAATTAGGGGCTTTGGAAGACCTCAGTAAGGATGCTCCCACAATGGCAATACAGCTCATTAAGAGATTAAGTGCCCAAGGCTGGTTATAATGAGTAGTGAAACAGCAAGAACATAATGTCCCAATTTGTAAATGTAATAGTGCTGTGCCTATGGAAAACCTTTACTATTTTAGAAGGTTAATGAAAGAAATCCCTATGCTATATCCATCACCTTGATTCGCTTATTAAATGCCCAAGATGATTCACATCTCACTGAAATTGAAATAGATTTGTTTTCTTAAATACACCTTCCTGGCACCTTTTAAAGAAGGCAAAGCTAAAGCTGAGAAAGTTCACAGGAATTGGGTAATGAAGAATTTGCTCAGCTAGCGTGACAGTCACATAGTCTAGATGGAGACAAGTGTCTGCTCAGGAGTCATTAGTTTAGGAACTCCAGGCATCAGGTCTTGATTGGCACATGTGATCACTTCTGCTTACAACAGCAGCTATAGTGGAGTAGCCTGCATGCACCACAACAGCCACACTGGCGATTAGTTCTCCTAAAGCAAGACGCCAAAGGGAAGAAAATAAAAGAGGTTGCTATGTATTTAATTGTGTCCCTAAGAACAAGATATGTTCTAGTCATAACCCTAAGTACCTCAAAATGTGAACATATTGGAAATAAGATCTTTGCAGATGCAATGAGTTAAATTAGAATGAGGTCATGTTGAAGTAGGCTAGTGTCCTAATCCTAGAAGCCTGGTGTCTTTAAAGAAGGCAGAGACACAGGCTCTGTGAAGACTGAGGATTGGAGTGATGACTCTACAAACTGTGGAATGTCAAATAGTGCCAGCCAACTACCAGAAGCCAGGTAGAGCCAGGAAAAGATTCCCTTATGTTTCAATGTGAGCATGGCCCTGCAGATACTTTGATTTTGGACCTCTAGTATCCTGAACTGCTAGACAATAAAATTTTTTTTAAGCCACCTAGTTTGTAGTACTTGGTTACAGCAGCCCTAGGGAACTTAATACAAAGGTCAATCTCTGCCTGTACAACATAAACAAGAATAATTACAATCCCCAGGCCCCCAATCCACACACACACACACACACACACACACACACACACACACACACACTCCCTACAGAACAAGAACAGTAGCAACAACAACAAAAATGAAATGTACCTTCTTTTGATTTATCCTCATGTCTACTCCTCGAGAACAATCACATAAAAATATTTTCACAGAAGCTGTAACTCTATGTCCAAGTCCAAATGACCCTAAGAAACATTAATATACCAAAAATTGAGGAGCTTTTGAAAGTAGTGATTATATAAGTAATAAAGAATCTTGAGGAGAAAGAAGTTGAAGCTACAGAATTTTATCAAGTGTCCAGGTTAGAAATAAAGAACTAAGGCAATGAAGCTGTCCCCATTCCTTCAACTCCTACTGATAATTTGTTGTTTATAATTCTAGGGAAAGGATTCTTAAAAGGACAAAAAGAAGCAGTTCAGGAACTTCATTATAAATCATAATCATGAAATTATAATGCAATATTTTAAGGAAGACATATAATGTTTTAATTCTAATATGGAAATCACAGGGGTAGGTTATATACAATGCCAATAATCATCCCAATTATGGTCTCAGTTTGGCTGGTACAAAAGTCAGATGGGTTCTGGCAACTATTTGTAGAATATAAATAGAATTATTTATAAATTTTAAAAAAGGTTGCAGCAATTAGATGAAAACTGTGACCACATTTCTACATTGAAAGATGATTTTTAATTTCTGATTGGTATGCAGCCATTGATTTGGCTTATGTGATCTTACGAGTCACTGCTAATGCTGGATATCAAGAGCAATTTGTTTTTCTCTTTTATGGCCAGAAGTTTGATTTAGTGTTTTCCGAGCCACCTGGATATTTAAATTATCTGGCATGATATCATAATCCACTAAGATGAGCTTTAAACAGATGGCCTCAACCTAACTCAAATGCTAAAGTTGCTCATTACATTGGTGCCGTATTAACAGCAGTAATTGTGAAAAAATTGTGTGATGCTCTGTCTTTATTGATTTTATTGCAAAAAAGGGTGTGTTATTACATAGAAAATCATATACATGGCTTCCCAGACAGTATAGTCCCAGTTATCAGGGACAAATATACTCAAGACTAGACAGAAACTATTATCCTTGAGCCCCCTAAATACCAAAACTAATACTTAGAAAGAAACTTTCTAATATATTTTTAGGAGCAGCATTTATCACATCTAGTATGATCATGCCTCTTAATATGGTTGCTTTAAAATTTTTTAAAAAAATTTTTAGATATTATCTCATTCTATCACCGAGGCTGGTCTGAAGTGGTGCAATCATGGCTCACTGAAGCCACAACCTCCTAGACTTAAGCGATCCTCCCACCTCAGCCTCCTGAGTAGCTGGGACTAAAGGCACATGCCACCATACCCAGCTAATTATTTAAATTTTTTATAGAGCTGGCATCTTCCTATGTTGCCCAGGCTAGTCTTGAACTCCTGGGAACAAGCGATCCTCTCGTCTCGGCCTCCCAAAGAGCTGGGATTACAGGCCTTTTTATAAGATTAATAAAATGTGTCAAAATCATTTCAGTTATGAGCTATGTGGGGTCTTAAGATAACAAGATGCCTCCCAACTTTTGTGTTCACTTACTCATGTATTCAACAAGTATAAGCACTTACTTAATGCAAGTGCTGATCTAGAAACCAGGATCATAATAATGAAAAATTAAAAAGATATTCTCAAGGAGGTTATATTCCAGTTGAAGACAGACAATACATTTTAAAAATACATATGTAAATGCATTACATATCACAGGATAATGAACACCAAAGATAAAAATAAAGCAAGAGACAGAATTAGGATGTAATAAGAAAGATACATTGCTTACTAATAGAGAATTGTCAGGAATGGGTGCACTTACAAGTGGTATTTAAGTAGAGATACCACAGTGGCCAGAAAGGCTACAATGGAATGGAATGAATGGGGTGGCCAGAAAATGAAAACTTCAATATGAATAGATGTGGAACACGCAGGATAGGACAAAGCGTGGATCCACAACTTGCCATTACTTCCCTTGATATTGGCTAGTCTCCCAGTACAGCACTGGCAGGGATCATTATTGCTACCTCTTGATATCCTAGGAACTTTGTAGTCATCCTCAGAAATGTTGCCAAGCTCATGGATTGCTTTGCTAATATTGCTTCCCAGATCTTTGCAAATGACGAATCAGCCTTGTAGGGGCACAAAGAATTGAAAATCATTTTCATAGCATGTATACGCATCCTAAAGTGTTAAAATTATTGAAACATATCCCTAGTCAGGAGCCAATGGATTGTACTATATTGTTCTGGTCATTGGCCTTTCAAAAACTGGAATTATCTATCTAAATCTCTGTGAACAGCTCCTTCTAGGCTCACTTGGCTGACATGTGTGACGAAGTTGAAACCCTTGGTTCCTATGTAGATTTTGTGGGTGAAATTTCATATTAAATCAACACTTGATGCTCTGACAAAGCCAAAAGCTTTTTATGAACAGTCAGATCCACAGATACAGTCCAAAGAATGCATAAGTGGGTTGCCCATGGATGAAGAACTGCTATTCAGTATCTATAAAACCCAATTTAGAAGTTTCTGCATGTATCAAAAAAACAGTTTCAAGGTACCAAAGATGGCAACAGAACTGATTGTCTTCTATGGGTCTATAGTTGGTTTAGTGCCTGGGACCCATGTCTTTATAGGGGCATTTTAGGAAAGGTATTAATATTACATAAATATATACAATAATCTGGTTGATTTTCCTATTTATAATTTAGATATTTATTTTCAGACAGGTTGCTGCTACTTCTCAAAGTATAAATAAGCATGTGAGGTGTTGCATAAACATTAAATACCTTAATTTCACCATGCCATAATATACACATATGTCAAGACGTCATGTCACACATCATAAATATATACAATTTTTGCTGGTAAATTAAAACTATTTTAAATCAACTGTATGGTTTTATTCATGTTTGTGGCTATTTCTCTTAGACCTAATAAGGCTTTTAGCAAACATTTGTTGAATGCATGGCTAGAACAAAAACATAATTAATGATCGCATTCATTTTCTACTTTTTCTTTATGTAGTACATTGCTTTGTTTTATTTTCCTGTGACTTCCCTTCGTATCTCTTGGCAGAGAAACCTCAAAACTTTGTCTCCAGTAATCATTGTCCTGAAGTCCAATACTATATTTCTAATAGCCCATTTGACAAATATAATACATTTCTCTATGAAATGCAGAAAGCAATTGCAACAAAATCAAAAATTGACAAATGGGATCTGATTGAAGAGGTTATGAATAGCAAAAGAAACAATCAACAGAGCCAACTTACGGAATGGGGGAAAATTTTTGCAAACTATGCATCTAACAAAGGTCTAATATCCAGTATCTATAAGGAACTTAAAGAAATTTACAAGAAAAGACAAACAACTCCATTAAAAAGTAGACAAAGGACATGAACAGATAATTTTCAAAAGAAGACACGCATGAAGCCAACAGTCATATGAAAAAAAAAGCTCAAGATCACTAATCATTAGAGAAATGCAAATCTCACAGCAGTCAGAATGGCTATTATTAAAAAGTCAAAAAATAACAGATCCTGTCGATGTTGTGGAGAAAAAGGAATGCTTATACACTTTTGGTGGGAGTGTAACTTAGGTCAACCATTGTGGAAGACACTGTGGCAATTCCTCAGAGACCTAAAGGCAGAAATACCATTCGACCCAGCAATCCCATTACTAGGTATGTACCCAAAGGAATATAAATTGTTCCATTATAAAGACACATGCACTTGTATGTTCATTGCAGCCCTATTCACAATAGCAAAGACACAGAATCAACATAATACCCATCAGTGATCAGTAGATAAAGTAAATGGGATACACATAAACCATGAAATACTATCCAGTCATAAAAAAATAATGAGATCACATCATAAATTGTTCCATTATAAAGACACATGCACTTGTATGTTCATTGCAGCCCTATTCACAATAGCAAAGACACGGAATCAACATAATGTCCATCAGTGATCAGTAGATAAAGAAAATGGGATACACATAAACCATGAAATATTATCCAGTCATAAAAAAATAATGAGATCACATCCTTTGCAGGGACATGGATGGAGCTGGAGGCCATTATCCTTAGCAAACTAATGTAGGAAGAGAAAACCAAATACTGCATGTTCTCACTTACAAGTGGGAGCTAAATAATGAAAACCCAAGGATACATAGAGGGTAACAACACATGCTGGGGTCTGTTGGAAAGTGAAGGGTGGGAGGAGGGAGAGAGTCAGGAAAAATAACTAATGGGTACTAGGTTTAATATCTGGGTGATGAAATAATCTGTACAACAAACCCCCATTACACAAGTTTACCTATATAACAAACCTGCACATGTAACCCTGAACTTAAAGGTTAAAAAAATACATAAAATGTACCGATGAATGCTAAAAAATAAAATAAAATAAATTCTAAATCCATATATCTTAAAATGAAAACTTGAATGACAAATTAAAATAATTATTTAAAATATTTTGTCACACTTTCCTCAGTATAAGTTTGTGTAAATTCAAAATGTGCATTCTGTTTTTGAAAAAAATCTCATATAGTACATTGTTTTCCTTATTGCTTAAAACACGTTTGTAGGAGGAATATAATGATATTATAAACCACTTAACTTTCATTTATTGGGATAATTAACATTTCAAAATAATTAGTTTTAGATGTGGTTTATGGGAAATATGCTTTCGAAGAATGGCCTGAAACTTTATCTATTTGGATATTTTGTCATAGCATTTTAATAAAGAAACAGACTGATTTTAAATGACAGTTGTAATTTTCAATTTCAGTTCTGAAAAGCAGGGTTTTATAATCTATTTTTCCAAGTCATATATCTGAAATACAATCTCCATTTTTATTTGCATTTGGTTTATATACTAAGTATAAAAAGTTTGCTTTTACTTACATAAAAACATTAAAGAAAATTAAATAGTATACATCAAATGTTAAAATAAAAAATTTAAATGTTTTTACATATTATAATAGTATTACAATATAGAATTAAGAAGCCATATAATAGTATTTTGTAACATGCTCATATAAGATACTGGCTTTAAAATTAACATCATGTAAAAATGATAAAGACATATAAAAATTCCTTCCAAATTTGGTAAGATTTCATATTGCTATAATATACAAAAAATCAGGAAATTTTTGCTATAAGCCAAAGTATAAGTAAAATTTTTGCTATAAGTGAAATTAGATAATGTAATTATTTATATGTTGGAAAAATCTATCTTAGTGCATGTGTGAATGCGTCTCTAGATAGATAAGAATGTATTGTAATTTTTGAGACCAGGTAAAATATAAGCCTGAATTATGACACTATAGTGACAACGGGGATAGAAAATGATTCAATATATAACATCTTAAGAGGGCAGGACCTTTAATATTATAGTAATGACTAGCTATAGCTTTAGGGAGAAAGATTCTAGAATGTGTTGCATTTTTGCTTCTTTAATTTGGCTTATATTCTCACTCACTCAAATAACCCATGACTCAGAATGTTTAGAGAGGACCCTGTATCACTGTAGAAGGAAGGGAGGAGAAAGAGCTAGAAACAGATGAATTATTATGAATTTAGTTCTGAACTTGCTGAGTTAGAGATTCTATGAGACATCAGGTTGTAGTTGACAAATGTGTGTGTAGGAAGTCAAGCTTGGGATAGAGAATTGGGAGTTATGGTGGTCATTAGTATTGCTTTCTGGGTACTATGCTGTGCTAATTATTTTATATTTATTATTTCTTTTAATCTACCAAATGGATTCAGATGTTAAACTCTATTTTCCCATTTGAGGGATGAATTCTCAGATGGACATGGATATAAAGTGTGTTTCCCAAAGTTGCAAAGTTGAGTGGTAAATGGCAGAACTTCAAGTTCCGGTCTATCTTATGCAAATTCTGTGTGAGTACCCCCTGCAATATATGGATCACATTTAGTAGCACGAAGACATGAAGAGATGAAATTAGCTCTGGGAAATCTCAGCATTTAAAATGCGGAAAGAAACATCTGCAAAGAAGACAGAACATTAGGGGGAAACCCAAGAAAGAGAAAAGTCTGGAGAAAAAAAGTGGAGTGGCGAATATGTGCAATTTTTCAGTGAGCTTGATTTTGAACACCAAAAATAAAAAAGAGCAAAATAACGAAAATATATTGCAGAGAATGAACACAATGGCCACGGATGACTATGTTACAAGTTGAGTCTTCAATTATGACATAAACTGTGATAGAAGATTATCAAAAATGTTTTACTCTTTCAAGTAAGTTGCAAGTGTCCTCTGGTGAGAGACAGTTCTCATCAGTCAGAACAGTACACATTCTACAAGTGACAGCCTTCTATTTTTGTTAAAAGTGAATATATTCTGTTTTTGAATAAGGTAGGTTAGAAATAAACACAGGTGATAATACTTTATTCTAAATTTTCTACTGTTTGCTCAAAAGATTGCAACTGTGTGTGGCCAAAAGGCTTAGGGATACAATGATGTCTATTATAGACATATCTGCTTCTCTGGCTCAAAAGCCAACTTTTTCTAATATTACACACTGAAAACAAAGGATCTTTATTTCTATAAATTTTTTTTTTCTTTTTCATAGGCACAATTCAGGTGCAACATAAAAGGAATTTCTCTTCTGCTTAAAATGGTCTAGTATTACTTTAATGTAAAATGTTTCATGGAGGGTGACAAAATTTAACAGATTGAAATTTGAGAAATATGCTGCTGTAAATGAGAAGTCTTGATATACTAAGAACTCAGAGAGCAATGATGAATTTCAATCTTTACTTTCTGTTATTTTATCTCTGATTTTATAAGTTCAAGTATCAAGCTTTTCCTAATAACAGCTCCTAGTACTTATTGGGAATTTAACTCTCTTAGGTATTCTTTATTTTTTATACATCCATGTTTTTTTTCTTTTATTAAGACAATTAATAAATCTAAAAATCCATATATTTTTGGTGGTGCTTTGGTATATGTATACATATGAAAGATTAAATCAAATTTAAATCAAGCTAAGGGACATAACCATAACCTTACATATTTATCTTTTTTTGCTGTGAGAACATTCAAGATCTACTTATTTACCAATTTTCAAGAATACAATGCATTGTTATTAAATCTACTCACCATGCGATACCATAGATATCCAGAACATATTCCTCCTATCTGACTGAAGATGTTTACCCTTTGACCAAAATCTCTGTATTTCCACTCCCATCCCCAAGATCCAACAACCACCCTTCTGTATCCATGTGTTTTCATCATTTAGCACCATTGTGTCTGCCGCCTGTATGAATTCAACTTTTTTATATTCCACGTGTAAGTGAGATCAGGCAGTATGTCTTTCTGTTCCTGGCTTATTTACATAGCATAATGTCCTTCAGGTTTCTCCATGCTGTTGCAAATAACAAGGTTTCTTTCTCTTTTAATTCCATTGAGTGTGTGTGTGTGTGTGTGTGTGTGTGTGTGTATCACATTTTCTTTTTCCATTCATTTGTTGATGGACACAGGTTGATTTTATAAATTGGCTATTGTGAATAATGCTGCAATGAACATGGAAATGAAGATATTTCTTCAGCAAATGGATTTATTTTCCTTTGAACATATACTCAGCAGTAGGATTTCTGGATCATATTGTAGTTCCAGTTTTAATGTCTTGAAGAAGCTTTATACTGCTTTCCATAAATGCTGTACTAATTTGCAATCCCAAGAACAGTATACAAGGTTTCTCTTTTCTTCACTTCTACATCAATACTTGTTTTCTTTCATCTTTTTGATAATAGCCATTCTAACAGGTGTGAGGTGATATCTCTTTGTGGTTTTAATTTGCATTTCTCTGATAAATAATGATGTTAAATATATTTTTATATATCTGTTGGCCATCTGTGGGTCTTCTTTTGAGAAATATCTATTCTGATTCTTTGCCTATTTTTTAATCAGGGCATTTGGGAGTTTTATTTGCTATTAGAGTGTGATTTGCAAATACATTCTTCAGTTCCCTAGATTGTCTCTTCACTCTGCTGTTTCCTTTGCTGTACAGAGCTTTTGAGTTTTAAGTTTTATTTAATTCCATTGGACTATTTTTGCTTTTGTTACCTGTGATTTTTGGGTCATGCCTCCCCCCAAAATATTACTCAGACCAATGTTCTGGAAGTCTTCCTGTATTCCATTAGTGATTTCATAGTTTCAGGTCTTAGGTTTAAGTCTTGTCCATTTGGGGTTGATTTTTGTAAATGGTGGAGATAAAGGACTGTCCTTTCCCTACTGTAGATTTTTGGTAACTTTATCAAATAAATCCACTTACCATAAATAAGTGGATTTATTTAAGAGGCTTCTCCTCTCATATTGGTCTATATAACTGCATTTTGTCAGTAGAATGTTGCTTACATTTTTATAATTTTGTAGTAAATTTTGAGATCAGGTAGTATGATGTCTTTAGCTTTTTTCTATTTATTCAACAGTGATTTCCCTATTTAGAGTGTTTATGGTTTCATACAATTTTAGAATTTAGGTTTTTTCTATTTCTGTGAAAAAACTGAATTTTAATAAGGATTACATTGACTCTGCAGATTACTTTGAGTATTTATGGCATTTTAACAATATTAATTTTCCAACTCATGAACATGAGATCTCTTTCCATTTATTTGTGTTTTCTTCATTTTCTTCTATCAGTGTTTTATAGTTTTCAGTGTATAGATCTTTCACCTCCTTGGTTAAAATTTTTTCCTAAGATTTTTTAAATACTACTGTAAATGGGATTGCTTTTTTGATATCTTTTTCAGATAGTTTGTTGTTAGTGTACAGAAACACTACTGAAACTTTTATGTCAATTTTATATCCTCTACCTTTACTGAATTTATTAGTTCTAACAGTTTTTTTGGTGGTGTCTTTAGGGTTTTCTGTATAAGATCATGTTATCCGCAAACAAGGACAATTTAACTGCTTCCTTTCCAACCTGGATGCCCTTTATTTCCTTTTCTTGCTTGATTGCTCTGGCTAGGACATTCAGTAATACGCTGAATAGAAGTGGCGTGAGCGAGTACTCTTGTCTAGTTTCTAATCTTAGAAAAAGATTTCAACTTTTCACCTTTGAGTGTGATGTTAACTTTGGGTTTATAATATACGGCCTTTATTATGTTGAGATAGATTACTTCTACACCTAATTTGCTGAGAGTTTCTTATCATGAAAAAACGCTAAATGTTGTCAAATGCTTTTTCTGCATGTAGTAAGATGATCATTTTGGTTTTGTTCTTTGTTCTCTTAATGTGATGTATCACATTTACTGATTTACATAAATGGGAACATCCTTGCATTCTAGTGATAAATCCTACTTGATGTTGAAAGATGTTTTAACGTGTTTTTGAATTCAGTTTGTTAGTATTTTGTGGGCAAGTTTTAGAACTATGTTCATCAGGGATATTGATTGGCCTGTAATAGTTGATTTTTTTCTTGCAATGTCCTTGTCTGGCTTTCATATTAGGGAAATTCTGGTCTCACAAGATGAGTTAGAAAGTGTTCCCTCCTATTCAATTTTTTGGATGAGTTTGAGAAGGACTGATATTAATTCTTAATTGTTTCATAGAATTCAGTAATGAAGGCATCAGGGTCCTAGAATTTACTTTGATGGAAGATTTTTATTGCTGACTTAGCCTAGTTACTTGTTATTGCTCTGTTCATCTTTTTTATTTCTTAATGATTCAGTCTTGGTAAGTTATATCTTTCTACAACTTTATGCCTTTCTTCTATATTATCCAATTTGTTGGTATATAATGGTTCATACAAGACTTTTATGGTTCTTTATATTTCTGTGGTATCAATTGTAGTGTCATCTTTTTGATTTCTGATTTTATTTCTTTGGGTCTTCTCTTTTTATTTCTTAGTAGTCTAGCTAAGGGTTTTTCAGTATTGTTTATTTTTTCAAAAAATAAACTTTTAATTTTATTATCTTTCCAGTCTGTGTTTCACTTACTTTTGCACTGATAATTGTTATTTTTTTCCTTCTACTAACTCTGGGTTTACTTTGTTCTTCCTTTTCTAGTTTCTTGAATTGTACCATCAGGTTATTTGAGAGCTCTCTACTTTTTTAATGTAAGCATTTAATTTATTGGGTATGTATTTATTTATTTATTTTGAGATGGAGTCTCACTTGGCCACCCAGGCTGGAGTACAGAGGCGCAATCTCAGCTTACTGCAACCTCCGCCTCTGAGGTTCAAGCGATTCTCCTGCCTCAGCCTCCCCAGTAGCTGGGACTACAGGTGCTCACCACCGTGCCCGGCTAATTTTTGTATTTTTAGTAGAGATGGTGTTTTGTCATGTTGGCAAGGCTGGTCTTGAACTCCTGACCTCAGGCTATCTGCCTGTCATGGCTTCCCAAAGTAATGGGATTACAGGTGTGAGCCACTGCAGCCAGCTTATTGTTATAAACCTCCCCTTTAGAATGGCTTTTGCTGCATCCTATGTTTCAGTATGTTCATTTCCTTTTTTGTTGACCTCAAGATACTTTAAAATTTTTCTTTTACTTTCTTCTTTGACCTACTGGTTGTTCAGGAGTTTATAGTTTAATTTCCACATATTTGTAAATTTTATAAAATTATATCCTTTTGTTTATTTCTACTTTCATACCTCTGTGTCAGAAAAAATACTTGATATGATTTCAATCTTCTTAAATTTGTTGACTGATTTTGTAGTCTAATATTCAATCTATCCTGGAGAATATTCCATTATACTTGAGAAGAATGTGTATTCTACTGCTGTTGGATAGAATGTTGTGTATATGTCTGTTAGGTCTATTTGTTCTAAAGTGTAATTTGAGTCCACTATTTTCTTATTGATTTTCTGTCTGGATGATCTATCGCTCTTTAAAATGCGTACGAAAATTCCTACTATAATTGTATTTCACTTCTCTCTCCCATTGTATCTGTTAATATTTGTTTTATATATTTAGCTGCTCCAATATTGGGTGCATATATATTTACATTTGTTATATCCTGTTCATGAATTAACCCCTTTATTTTTACATAATTATTTTCCTTGTTTCTTTACAGTTTTTGATCTAAAGTCTACATTGTCAGATATAAATAACTTCCCCTACAATATTTTGGCTTCCATTTGCATGAAATATCTTTTTCCATCCCTTCATTTCCAGTCTATGTGTTCCTTATGGGTAAAGTGAGACTTTTGTAAGCAGTATATATTTGGGTCTTTTTTTTTTTTATTTTTATACATCCATTCAGTCACTGTATGTCTTTTGTTGTACTTACTAGTGAGTATTGTACTTTCATGTTACTAATTATCATCCATTTTTTTTCACCTTGAAAAAGTCCCATTAGCATTTCTTGAAAGGCATATCCAGTGATGATGACCTTCCTCAGCTTTATTTGTCTGGGAAAGACTTTTTTTCTCCTTCATTTCAGAAGGACATCTTTGTGAGTTAAAGTATTCTTTCTTGGCAAAATAACCACATTCTTGTTCCCTTTCATCACTTCAATTAGATAATCCCACTGTTTTCTGGCCTGCAAAGTTTCTGCTGATAAATCCACTGGTTGCCTTATAGAGGATCTCTTATATGTGAATAACTGTTTTTCTCTTGCTGCTTTCAATATTATTTCTTTGTCTTTGATTTTTGATAGTTTGACTGTAATATGTCTTGGTATAGCATTCTTTGGATTGTACATGATTGAGACATTTAAACCTCCTCTGGCTAGGTATTTATATCTTTTTGCAGACATGAAATGCTTTAAGTCAATATCTCCTTAAATATACATTCCGTCCATTCCATCTATTCTCTCCTTCTTTTTAAAATTCTATAATGTAAATGGTAGCTCTCTTGCTGTCCCATAAATCTCATAGGCTTTCTTCACTTCTTTCCATTCCTTTTTTCCCTCTGACTGTGTACTTTTAAGTAATTGTCTTTAAGTTAACAGGTTCTTTCGCCCACTCGATCAATTCTGCTGCTGACTGACTCTTTTTCATTTTATTCATTGTATTCTTCAGCTTCATAATTACTGTTTGGTTCTTTTTGTATAATGCCAATCTCTCTGTTAAACATTTTCTGGATGTTGTTTAATTGTCAGTTTGTGTTGACTTGAAGTGTGCTGAACTCCTTAAAACAATTATTTTGAATTATTTGTCTGACAATTCACATATCTTAATTTCTTTGGTGTAAATCACAGGAAAATTATTGTGTTCTTTTTGTGGTGTTGATTCCTTGGTCTTCTATAGTTCTTGTTACCTTTCATTAATGTATGTACATTTCACCCCTTGCCAACTTTATGGATTGATTTTACACTGGAAAGTCCTTCCCTACAGGTATAAGTGATGGCACTGTCTAGGATGGGTGCAGATGTTCTGGCTCTGATGAGAATGCAGTGGTCATAGTCTCTGTGAAGCTTATCAGCTGATGTTGGTGTCAGCAAAAACCCCAGGGATCTTTAACAGCCAAGGCTGTGGCTATCTGCACCAATAACAAAGGCTTTTATAGTCTTTTTTTCTTCCATTGGGAAGTCATGGCTAAAGGAGTCTCTTCGCGTTGGGTCTAGCTTGTGGTTGTGTTCCCAGGAACACTGGCAACAGTGTCTAATGCACAACGTCCTTGGAGTGGCCACAGACCTGAGGCCTGAAGCACAGGTCTGAAGGGACCTAAAAGGCCTGAAGAGACCAAGTTTCTAGGTCCAGGGTGGTGGTGACACCAGTGTTTGTGACAGACACACCTGCTGTGACACTGGTAACAATGTGTGAAGCACAAGTGCTTGTGGAGCATCTGGGAAGCCAGAATCGAAAGTGTGAGCATGCGCTGAGTTACAGTGACTTGAAGCCAGGGAGATGAACTAGCCCATAGCAGCAATGACTCTGGCATCTGAGGTATGGTGCTCACAGTCCATCTCCAGAGCCAATATATGCAGTGCAGGCACATGAGGAGCTACGGTGGCTCCAGGGACTAGCTTCTTGTGATGATAGCTCAATTGTTAGCAGCGCAGACACTCACAGAAAGGTTGTAAAACTGCTCTCCATAGTGTGGGTGCACAGAGCAACTGGGGTCCCAAGGCCTGGGAAAGTGTTAGCCCTATCAGTGGTGGCTTCTTTGTTTGAAGTATGAGTTCATGCAATGTGGCCACAGACCTGTGGTTTTGAATGTAGGCAAGCACAGAACATCTACGGACAAGTGTCTGGGGTGTGGGCTCCCACAGGGTGAATATAGCCCTGGGACTGGGGTGCATGCAGGGTTGAGAGGGGTATTAGTTTCTGCCCCTGAGTTGCCACGACAGCAGTTCTTTTTTCAGTGGAGAGAACACAGCACTGTTTCCTTCTCAGGGGACTCTATGATGGAGATGGTTGTCTCAGTGATGAAAGCAGGCAGTGTCTTCTGCAAAGGTGAGTTCTAGGGACTGTGGTGGCAACCACTGTGTGACTGAGGCTGTCAGCTTACACACTTCTTTGTTCCCAGGGATCTCCATATATCTCAGGTATGACAGACTCCTTAGTGATCATTTCTGTGCTTATATATAAATATATATGTATAAATATGTTGTGTGTATATGTGTATACATACATGTACATATGTGTATTTATATATCAATATATATATTGATTTTCTTCTTTATGGTTCAATACGGAAGGGTCAAATTTGCTATTAGCTATTAACATTCAATATTATTATGTTATAATATCTAAAGTAAGAAACAACTTTTGACCAGTAAGATTATGTGTAGATGTATCATGTATCACTATATATTAAGTATTACAAATTTTAGAAGAAGTAGAATGAGGGAAAATCAGTTGGAAAGGTTTCTGTTGCAGGCACACAATTGGTTCCTCTAAAAAAGGAAAACATATGTTTGTTTGTTTTTCTTGCTTTCGTACGACCCAACTTTCATTACTACCAATGGAACTGTAGTTTGAAGCCTATCAGTTTCAATTAGTTCACCTCAAACCTGGTCAGAGAAGACAGAATACAAAAAAAAAAAAAAAAAAAAAAAGGTTATTTCTCTCTTATGCCTCTGAAGACACATATCTTAGTTTATTTTCTGCTGCTATAACAGAATACCACAAACTGTGTAGCACTGTAAACAATAGAAGGTTATTTGGCTCACAGTTCTGGAGGCTGTCAAAGAGCATGGTGCTGGCATCTGGTGTGAACTTCGTGCCACAGTGAAAGGTGAAAGAGAAGGCAGAAACAAGCTCAATTGACAGAGAAAGCAAGAGAGGAGAGGCTCCCTCTCTCTCTCTTTCTTTTTTTGTTGTTGTTGTTGAGAAGGAGTTTCGCTCTTGTTGCCCAGGCTGGAGTGCAATGGCGTGATTACGGCTCACTGCCACGTCCGCCTCCTGAGTTTAAATGATTCTCCTGTCTCAACCTCCTGAGGAGCTGGGATTACAGTCATGCGCCACCACGCCCGGCAAATTTTGCATTTTTTTTTTTTTTTTTTTAGTAGAGACGGGGTTTCACCATGTTGGGCAGGCTGGTCTCGAATTCCTGACCTCAGGTGATCTGCCTGCCTTGGTCTCCCAAAGTGCTGGGATTACAGGCTTGAGCCATCGCACCTGGCCCAGGCTCTCTCTTATAACAATGTGCTTTTGTGATAACTGACCTATTCCTGCAGTAACTATTATTCATTATTCATTAATCTAATGAACTATTATTCATTAATCCATTCATGAGGACAGAGCACTCATGACCCAATAACCTTTTATTAGGCCCCATCTCCCAAAACTTGGGATTTGCATTGGGGATTAAGTTTCCAACACGTGATTTTCACGGTGGGGGCACATTTAAAACCTAGAAACATATATCTTCAGAACTATTAACCTTGAAAACAACCAAATTCTGTAAAACCTTTAAATATATATAAAAGATTACTGATATAAATTGATAAAAAATACTTTACTTCATTTGTTAACAGGTCAATGTTTTTAAATTATTGATTCATTCAATAAATTTATTAATAAACACACATTGTGTATATAACTAAATGTATGTTGACAAAATAAATTCTGTAGTTTAATATTATTTTATGTATAAAATGTTCCTTGAAGTCATGCAGGCCTTCTGTTTCTAAGGTTCACCTTAGCAGTCCAGAAAAATCCTCATGAGTCAACAACAGGAATCTGTTGTTGAGTTGTAGAGTTTGAAATAAATAGTAATAAATAACGAATTTTGTTGCTAACTGGATGGTAGGTATTTTCTCATTTTTGTAAGACTATTGAAGTTCAAATCTTGTAGAATTTGCTGTTACTATAAGATAACTTCATTGGGAAAAGCAGAGAAGAGCAATTGGGTGTTCATACAAATAGAACTAAAAAGAAAACAAAATATTTTCCTCCCTTTGTGGATTGAAAGATTGCATGGGTGAAAATGATCAATTTTATTGACTCTAGTTTCCTATCTAAAGACTCCCAGACCTTGCATCTATGATGTAGTAGAACCTGTTAGAAAGGAAAAAAAAAAGTTTCAAAAGTAAAGACAGCTGGCATTACATGGTGATTTATTGGAGTCTAGCTTACACACACTGTTTCCCTTACTGATGGTAACTGGTCTGTACTCCTGAGATTACTTTTGGTAACCTCTTAGTGACTTCTACTTGACTTATAAAAATAACTTGGCTAAATTATTTGATAGTCTTTGTGTTGAAAATTTATTATTTTTTATAATATTTAAAGAACTGAAGGGCATCTATATTTAGAAACACTAAAATCACTTCAAAATAAACAACACTATATTTAACATATATTTAGGAGAAATTAAGAATTCACATGTTTTCACAAGCTCCAGAGTGAAAGAAACTATTTATTTTGAAGAAAAGGGGATTGACCTGATGATCAGGAATAAAGCCAGGGGCAAAAATTCAATCTTCATTTCTTCACATATTCAAAAGGGATTGTGCTAAAAATCTATCCTTTCACTTAACTATTATGTGAGTCTATGAAATATCAAGGAATTGTGATCTTTAGTTCTCTACAGATGTTTGAAATAAATCTGAGATTTAGTGTATTTTTTGAAGATAAATTCTAACGAGGTACATATTATCTTTTCATTTAAGTGAAGTAAAATTTATTTTATTAATAAAATATACTAGTAGAATATTATTACTAAAGATGAAACTAAATATGCTTTTTTTTTCAGTTCTTAAGTCTCTGAAATACAGCAGGTGTTCTAAATGAGGCAATAAAATTGGCACTACACCTCACAGTATTATTGTTCAGACTTAATTCCTGAAATAAAGCAATGACACATGAAATATATTCAATAATGTGCTCTAGTTTGTCTTTATATTGTATAAAAATAATGTGGGCCGGGCGCGGTGGCTCACCCCTGTAATCCCAGCACGTTGGGAGGCTGAGGCAGGCGGATCACCTGAGGTCAGGAGTTCGAGACCAGCCTGGCCAACCTGGTAAAACCTCCTTGTTAGTAAGAATACAAAAATTAGCCAGACGTGGTGGCTTGTGCCTGTAGTCCTAGCTACTCGGGAGGCTGAGGCAGGAGAATAGCTTGAACCCAGGAGGCGGAGGTTGCAGAGAGCCAAGATTGTGCCACGGCACTCAAGCCTGGGTGACAGAGTGAGACTCCATCTCAAAATAATAATAATAAATTTTTAATAAGTCTGTGTATTTAGTCCATTATATTGATGATTGAAGGGATATAAAAATGATTCTATCACTATCTGAAAAAAGTTAATTTATAGATTTACTAATTAATTTTATTTCTTACAGAATGATTTATATGATATTTACTTTCAGAATTAAATGAGAATGTTTGTATTTTTTAAAATTTAAAAGAATTACTTTATTAAATAGTATATATTTTTTATCTTTGTTGTGTGACAGTTTGTTTATATACCCATTTAATTAAGCTTATTAATGCATTTTTTTTTAGATATTCCTTATTCATTACCAATGTATTCTTGGCCTATCAGATCATAATTTTTTACTGTGAGTATGGATGCTTTCTAACAGTTCCAAAAAGTTCTGATTTATTTTGATACTGTTAGATGCACACACAGGTTTATGAATGTTGTATTTTAAATTATTTTAATAATAAGTTACTAATTTTATTACTATTTTGCTTCAGTTTCGTTCATGATCAATGTAGGAATAGAAACTCTGAGAGGCTATTTCTCAAAATATTGACTTTTTCAAAATCTTTTTCCTTTGCAAAAACACACTTATTCTCTACATTGCGTCCACTTTATACGTTTCGGTTTGAGTGATTTTCTTAATAACAAAGTTCACATGTTCACTGAATATCTACTCTGTGCCAGGGACTGCTGTTCTACATGCTATCAGTCATGTCAACAAACGTGTTTGCCTCCATGGAACTTGAATTCCAGTGAAGTAAACAGAGAATAAATGGTTCAAACAATAAAAAATAGAATACAATTGATGACAATAACTGCACTAATAAAGTCAGAGGAAGGAAATAGAAATGTCTGGTATGAGGTTGGAGACTCCAGAGTTTAAGTAAAGTGGCTAAGACTACACTGAAAAAAAAAAAATGACGTTTAAGGAAAGACCCAAGAAGATGAGAGCTAAGGCAAGAGATATCTAAGGCAAACTGCTCAACTTAAAGACACAAAAGAAGCCAAGGCTCTAAGCTTTTGGGTCCTTTTTTAAGGGCTGGATAATAATACCGTATGCCTGAGTCACAGATGTAAGAGTCACACTAATAGACAAAAAAGGTAATTTCACCGATAAAATTAATATTGGAGAATATGGCTTAGTTTTTGCAAATTAAAGGCCAAATCAATATTACTCAAAGTGTAGACAGAGCCAATGCCACTAAGAGAGTGCATGGCCAAGAGCAAACTAGAACATATTCTCTTAGCAGCTAACAGATTTCAAAAGAGAAGAGAAGAGGGTGCTAACTCATGCATTTTAAGTCTCTTTTCCCCAAACAGCCACCAGAAAAGATAATGGGGCATGAAACCACAAGTTTAGGAAGATCCATCCCCTAAGAGCTCTATGAATAAACATGCCAAATTACATGACCAGAACATTTAACTTGTAATCTAATATCAACACATAGATTTATGGTAATTCTTACAATTTCTTCAAGAACAATGAGTAAGTAGCTGATTTTTTCACACAGACACTGTGATTTACAGAAATAAGAAGGAAGACAAAATAAACACTACTTATAGTCCACTCATAATGGTATGGAATTACACATAGAATTTAGGAACTTTGTTATATTTAAATGTGTTTATACATTTAACCACATACAGTATTTTAATAACAAAATGAAGTATAAAGTATAATTTTAATACTAGTTCCTAAAATATTCCATTTTTAAATAATTTTTAAAACAATGTTAACTTTTCATGTCTCCTGTCTCTATTTTTCTATTATGCTTCTAATCAATGTCCAAAAGTATTTTCTTATATTCTTTTTTATTTTATTTATTTATTTATTTATTTTTGGGACAGGGTCTCACTCTGTCGCCCAGGCTGGAGTGCAGTGGCACGATCTCGGCTCACTGCAAGCTCCGCCTCCCGGGTTCACGCCATTCTCCTGCCTCAGCCTCCCGAGTAGCTGGGACTACAGGCGCCCGCCACCGCGCCCGGCTAATTTTTTTGTATTTTTAGTAGAGACGGGGTTTCACCGTGTTAGCCAGGATGGTCTTGATCTGCTGACCTCGTGATCCACCCGCCTCAGCCTCCCAAAGAGCTGGGATTACAGGCGTGAGCCACCGCGCCCGGCCATTTTCTTATATTTCTATTGGAATTTTCGGAATTTTCTTCTTAGTATCTGCTTTGAGTAAACCAGACTCCAGCATGCTACATCTTCTGCTCAGTCTGTACAAGTATGTTATTAACATTTCCATGAAAAAATAAACCCAGTATATTAGTCAGAGTTCCCTATGGAAACACAATCAATGGGATATTGATATTGAAACAGAAACAGAGATTATAGCCCTTGGCTTATAGTTAAGGCCAAGAAGTTCAACAATCTGCCAACTGCAGGCTAGAGAAACAGAAAGCTGATGGTATGATCCAGTCCAAGTTCAAAGCCCCAAGAACCAGAAGCTCTGACATCTGAGGACAAACAGAGAGAGTGAATTCACCCTTTTTCTACTATTTTGTTCTATTCAGGCTCTCAACAGGTTGAATGATGCCCACTCACATCTTTATTCAGTCTAACATTTGAAACCGTCATAGACACATACAAAAATAATGTTTTTTCAGCTATCTTGGCATCCCTTAGCCAAGTCAACCTGACATATACTACTAATCATCACACCCAGTAATCACAGTTTAAGTCAGTTAACTAATACGTAACACAAGATGTGCTCTTACTGTATATGAAATGATGGGAAAAGACCAAAGATTATTTTAGCCTCACTGATGGAGAGAATATATGCTGTTAATGACCATTTTTTTGTTTACAGTTGTGCAAACATTTCTTATTTACATAGTAAAATATTTTTCAATAAAGTGTTATCTGAAATTGTTTTATATGACTAGGATAAATATAAGAAAATGTTGGTAATAATAACAATATATTAAACAACCTTGCTAATCTACCAAAACACAAAACTAAACGAATAAATTTGGCCTTAAAGAAATGTACCCCAGATATGAAAGACTTCAGTATAGAAAAAAATAGCAATACTAAAGAAGACATTGATGTCAATTATTTGGTGTCAAATTTGGTGTAGGTTATTGATAAAATATTTACTGTACTTTCTGATATGTTTACAATACTCTAAAATGTGGAGATTTAATGTTCTATCTAGACTATGTTTTGAGTAATAAACATTTAAAAGTTATTCTAAATATGTTTATTTAAAGTTGACTTGAAAAACTGGCAATAGATGGTAACACTTTATGGCTTATTTTAGTTAATTTTGGTAATTTAAGAAAATTTTTAGATTTTGGGATAAGGTCTTCGGACATTACCTAATATATTTTCTATGAATATAAAAGAATATCTTTATAAAAAATAAAGCTCACTTATCACATTTATAAGGTAACTTTACCAAATTGGAAATATTGAGAAAATAAACTTGTTTGTTCATTAATAGAGGAACTATCTGATAGATTTACGGTTTTGAACTACCTTACATATAAATAGATATAGCACCTTAGTCTACATTGTCATTTATTATTAACAATAATAACCATTTACCTTATTTTTCAACTAACATATAACAAGTATGGATATGTATTAATGATTGTAAGTCTATAAAGAATAATTAACCCCGAGGAAATAAATGAAACAAGAGACAGATGGAAATCAATGGATGAGATACAGAGTTGCTTGCCTTGTATTTGAAAATTTAATTTGGCAATGATACTTTTATTGTTGGTGCCTAAATATATTTTTCTTTCTAGGGATTTGAATGTTCAATGAATAGTCAAGCAATAAATAATAAAAATAAAATATTACTGTTTCTCAAGCAAATGGACTATTTTCTTTAAAATTCCTTCATTTTAACAAGGTAACTATAGGCATTCATATCTATTAGGCTCAGGAGGATTCTGGTCCACTTTTAATACACTCTTTGGTTAGAATTTTTTCCTCTCTGTAAATAATGACTTGAGAAAATTAGATTAAGTTCACTATGTTTCTTATCACCAGAAAAGGACATTGAAGGTAATTTCAGTTGATAGTTAAGAAGTTTTTCTTACTAAATGTAAAATGTGAATAAACTCACATTATTCATTTTGTTCATGGGCCTCAGTAATTAAGGCAATTACCCAATTAACTATGTCAAAGTATTAATTCTCCACCCCTTGAGTCAGGGTTTAGATTTCTTTATGAGCGCCATTCAATGAAGACTAATGTCTCATATACTTCTCCCATTTGAGGTAATATAGTGAGCACACAGTAATTGTCATCAGGGAGTTTATCATCTAAGAAAAATGATGAGCTAAAATCAGCAACATAAAATAATTTAATGCAAGCCAAATGCAATAGTTACCCTTGCGAATTAAATGCAGTTCATTGACAGCAGTGACTCTGATTGAATGAAAAAGTGATTTGCTGTGAGCAATACTGATATTGGAAAAGTGTAATCTTCCTATTTATTCATTATCCCCCACATGGGAAGGGCATATGCTAACATAATAAGGTACTTAAATTTAAAATATCTAATAGTTTACATAGAAAGTGTTAGATATTTTCTAACTGCTTTATATAGTAACACTAATTGTGTGGCATTCAACAATTTAGTTCAGCAATACATGATTATTACCATTTGGGGGCACTTATTTCATGGTGACATTTTATATTTATTTGATAGAAAAAAATCAAGAAACACATCCAAAGAAGTTGAGATATTTATTGATATTTATACAAATATATAATTATAGAAATTATTCCTTAGGTGTTTTAGTAAAGTCTCATCATTGATACTGTCTAAATAATAAAAGGGTAACTAATATTAGAAAAAAATTATGTAATATATATGTTATATTTATGATTGTCCCTTTTGCAGTCCAAAGTCATAAATAACTGAAGTATGTTTACAGCTGAGGGAGTATGCATATGTTAGTATATGCACATATTATACTAATAGTTTATAATAATTTTTGAAAAGAGAAGATTATGGGATTTTTATCTCAGTGAGAGTTTTACATTGCATTTATAGAACACAGAAGAAACACATGGAACCAACACATTTCAAAAATAATTATGTGTAATCATTACTAATAAATAACTTGAAGTATGATTTTAAGACTAATTGCCATATGTTTTATATATATATATGTGTGTGTGTGTGTGTGTGTGTGTGTGTGTGTGTGTATAGTATACATCCTTATTATTTCTAGTGCTGGAATATTGTCTTCACCTGACAGGAAAGAGAGGAAAATTAGCCTTATTGCTTTAATATTGTTCTAAATTGTTTTAATGTTTAATAGTTAACTGTCTGCATTTAATAAATGTAACTCAGCTAAGATATATTGCAATTAAACAATGAATAGAGAAATTTTCATAAAGTATATTTTTATTTGTGATGTAATCCAAAAATATAATATGCAATCAAGCTCCTACTTCCATTTAAATTTTTGCTGTTGAATTAAAAATAATTTAAAAGAATTCATTTTGGAAGGTAGGTAATGCTATTTTTAATGAGTAATTTGATATATAATTACATGGTAATTTAAAGTATAGTGTGCTTTTGAGACATATGATTTTGACATTAACTAGATATGTTGCTCAATTTGTATTATGTTATGTATTTCAAAATTAAATGACAATAGGAATAATTTTATGATGTTTATATTGCTTTATCAAATTATCTATAATTCTATGGGAATCCCCTCAAGACCATTCTGGTTATAAAAACACTCAAAAATTTATTGAAATCTGTAGAAGAATGTTGCAGATGTAAATAAGTAAATGATTTAAAACTGTAGTTAATAATTAATGAACCTCATTTGCATAGCCTTTTTATTATGAAATAGCAATGAGAAAAACTAGTAATCAGAACTCTAACACAATTGATTCAGATGAGCTCAAAACAAAAATGTAACTATATTTTATCTAAAATGTTTATTAGCAGAATTTGCTAGTAGTTTTTGGCTTGAATTTTTTTTCATCAGTATGCAGCATTTTATAACCTATTGTCTATTAGAATCTTGATTTAATAAAAGGCAAAAATTAAGTATATTAACAGTTCGTACCTCTAATAAATGTGAAAGGCTGATTTCTTTAAAGGTGCAAATTCAGAGCCTTAGCAGAGGACTTTGCAATCCATTGATATTTATTCTGAATTAACTGTGGATAACTCAAGGTTTCCTTGAGGATAGTCCTGCCTTTATAACAAGCACAATTTCTTGTGCAGAATGTAGTAGTATATATGTATGCAAAATGTCCATAGGTGCTAATTTGTTACCAATGAAGGGAGCTCTCAGCTTTTGGAACTTACCTAACTTTATTTTTGCTGCATCTGAAAGTGAACATATTGATAGTACACATATCATGGCAGGTAGTCCACAGAAAGTCTGTATTTCAGATATTGTAGATGTGGGAGTAGAGTTAGAAGGGATCTTTCTTACTAAAGAAGAACAAAATTGAAATAATGCCATAGTTTTTCTTCCCAACCATTTTTATTTAAATGACTAGGATATTGTAGAATCAACACGTTCTAACTCCAGATATACTAACAGTAAAAAGAACTGAGAGAGACACACCTAAAACAAGTGCAATTAACAGTAATAATGAGATAAAAACAGATATTACTAAGTGTTTCAATATGTTATCTCATTTGTCTCTCAGAAAGACTCAGCTCTTCTACTCTCGTTGGTGGACCAAGGGATTTTGACCCTGTAGTTTTCCTTGCAGTGATGTTGGCCATGTGACTAGGTTTGGCTAATGGACCGTGAGTGAAAGTAATATTTGTCACTTTCAGTTAAAACAATTAAATCTGATGTGTCTGATCCATCTTGCTCTTTTGTTGGCCATCATAAAGTTTACATAAGCTAAAGCAGCAATATATATGCAAAAATTTCTATATTAAATTTTATTAACCTGACTGATTTTCTGTTCTATGTCTAATGCATAAAATTTTAGATTTGTATAAACTAAAATTTTTAAAATATTAACAACTGTATCTTTTAATAAAGATGTTTGAAGCATAAGATTTGTTTTCTATTATTTCTCAACTTTTTAATTTATTTCATTAATATATAGTAATAGATGTACATATTTTGAGAGTATATGTGATAATTTAATACAACGATATAATTTGTAAAGATGAAATCAGTATAACTGGGGTAGCCAATCATCTCAAATAAATTTCTTTGCCTTATGGTAGACACAAACTATAGCTATATCTTCTAGCTATTTTGAAACATACAACAGATTAGTGTAAACTATAGTCCCTTAAAAATGACTCTTGAGAGCTCTTTCTGTCCACCATGTGAAGCTGCATTGAGAAGGCAGCAGTCTGAAACCCAAGAGAGCTCTCTCACCAGAACCCAATTATGCTGGCTCTCTGCTGTTGGACTTCCAGCCTCCAGAACTGTGAGATGTGCATTCCGTTATTTAAAAGCCACTCAGGTTATGGAACTTTATTAAAGCAGCCTGAACTGCTGAAGATGGAAATTGATCATGAGAAGTGGGAGTGCTGTTATTATAAATACCTAAAACAAAGTGAAAATGGTTTTGGGCTCAGTGATTGGCAGAGATTGATGAGGTTTTATGCAAAATGCTAGATTACTGTGGAAAAAATTTAAAAGCCAATTCTCGTGAGGGCTCGGAAAGAAATATAGAAGAAAACGCTGTCTTCTCAGAAAATAATTAAATAATCATGAACAGAATATTGATAAAATATGGACAGTAAAGGTCATTCTGTTGGAGTCTCAAATGGAAATGAATATGTTATTGGAAAATGGAGCAAAAGCAATCCATGTTGAAAAGTGGAAACAAACTTTTTTGAATTGTATTCATGCTCTTGTGTTTTGCGGAAGGTGGAACTTGTGTGCAGTGAAATTGGACATTTAACCCAGCAGATTTCTCAGCAACATGTAGAAGCAGCAGCTTGGTTCCTTCTGAATCTGTAGAGTCAAATGTAGAAAAAGAAAAAGGTTTGAAGATGGAATGGTTAAGGAAAAAGTAACCATAATTTAAGATCTGGGAAATTCTCAGCCTGTCCATATTGCAAAAAAAGCGAGAAAGTGTGTTCTGAAGAGAACATGAGGAGTGTTTCGGACCCTTACTGATTTGATTAATATGGGTGTGAACCATAGGCTTAATCAAACATCTCAACACAAACCATGACTAGAAATGGGATTATACCAGGAGAAACACTGCCAGTTGGGACTAAAGGAAACAGAGATAATGGGACGAAATAAAGGAAGACATTCAGAATGCTTAAGCCCTACAGGCCTGGACCCGAGAGCAGAGAGCTATTCAGTTGTGGATGTGTGCTATTCTCTTCTTCAAAATTAAGGAAGGGGGGCTCAAAGGGGATTTGGAGACAATTACAGCTGCTACTTTTAGCAAAAATCCAGAGGGTATGGCAAGGTGGGCCATGGTTGCCTCCATTCTGATTTCAAAGGACAGAAATGATGCTCAGAGGAGCTGTGTGGGAGGGCCATCCAGTGAAGCCCTGGGTGAGTGACCTCAGCCCTGACAAAAGACTGTGCCATAAGTGGGTCCAGTGCATAGAGTCAGCAGCGAGGAGTGCCTCACTGAGCTGTCGGGGACTGTCTGGAAGGTGAGTCATCAAGCCAAAGAGGATGCTTCTTGAACCTTAGGGTTTGATGGAGTTTGCCCTGTTAGGTTTTAGATTTACTTGGGATCCAGCATTCATATATTTTATTTTTTTCGAATAGTGGTTCTTTTTGGAATGGGAATGTTTATCCTATGCCTGTCTCACCATTGTATTTTGAAAATTCATATTGTTTGATTCCACAGGTTCACAGATGAAGAGAAATTTTGTGAGAATGAACTGTACCGTGAAGCTCACCTGCATCTGATTTAGGTAATATTTAAATAAGACCTTGGACTTTAGACTGGACTTGAGGCTGGAATGAGTTAAGACTTGTGGATTTGTTGGAATGGAATGACTGCATTTTGCATGTGAAGACATGAATTTTGGGGAACCTGGGGCAGAATGTTACGGACTGAATTTTTAAAGTGTACCCTCAAAATCTGTATATTGAAATCTTAACTGTCAATGTAATGGTATTAGTATGTGGGACCTTCAGGAGGTAATTAGGTTGTGACAGTAGAGGCCTCATGAATAGGCTTAGTGTTCTTATAAAAGGGACCTAAGAGAGCTCTCACTTCTTTCCCCATGTGCTTATACAAAAACCCAGCAGTCTGCAGCCTGCAAAAGGGCCCTCCCCAAAACCAGAACATCCTGGCACTCTGACTTTGGACTTCCAACCCCTAGAACAGTAAGAAATACTTTTTTTGTTATTTGTAAGCCACTCAATCTATGGTATTTTGTATAGCAGCCCAAACTAAGACACTCCTCTACACTACAGTGTACACCACATTCTTCTGCCTCTTAGTATGCTTCAGTCACATTGAACTATATTTTGTTTACTAAACATGACAAATTTATTACTGCACTATGGTTTTGCCATATAATTTTTCCTGTCTTTTCAAACAGAAATTATTTCACAGCATACGCAGCTATAGGCAATTATCTAGCTTATGTATAAAATTACTTTCCTGATATTTGTCTCATTTTTTGTTTTTAAATGTTTTAAATAAATAATAATTGTTTTGAGGGGTACAGTATGATGTCTTCGTATATATTTATACTGTGGAATGATTAAATCAAGCTGCTTAACACATCTCTTATGTCACATATTTATCTTTTTGTTGTGAGAACACTGAAAATGGACTTTTTAGCAATCGAAAAAAGGCAAACCCTTAAAAGTAGAGAGTAGAATGCTAGTTAATGCTGGAGGCAAGGGATAGGGAATGGGGAGATGTTGTTCACAGGGTACAGTTTCAGTTAGACACAAAGATTGAGTTTTAGAGATTGACTTTATAGCAGAGTGACTATATTTAAAAATGACTTATTGTACATTTCAAATTTTCTATTTAAAATACACACAGTATCTGTATTCCCAGTTCTTAAAACATGACCTATTAAATAACAGATTTGCAAGACTGAATGATTTTTTTTTACCTTGTCCTGATCTCTAGATTTTTTTAAAACTTTATCTCATTAATTGCTAATTCTCTCTTTATGAATGTTAAATACTTAAAATAGCACCAAACATAACTAAACAAAACAAAAACAAAATTTGTTTTTTATTTCAAATGGCATGTTCCATTGCGTTCTAAGACTGGACTGTCTTGGAGATAAAGGAGACTTCATTATTTTATGTAATATTCCTTTGAGAAATCCTGAGCTTTGTGCAAAAATGACATACTTCATTTTTTTTTGCATAATTTTATCACTCCATAGAGCCCAGATCGAATTCCTAAGTTCTCACTAAGGCACATGGGTCTAATTCCATTACATTTTTGGCCTGTGTCAATTAATTTTCTTTTCTCAGATAATAAATTTACACTCCTATTCCACTTCTGAGCAGTTAGACATTTTCAGCATGGAACATTCTATTAAAATGAAATGGCAAATTGCCTTGTAGCACACACATTTTCAAAGAATGTTTTGTCTGATAATGTAGTTCTTATGAGTTTCTTTCCAAAGTAATCCATTTACACAAAATACATTATTAATTTTGTGCATTTACAAACTACACATAATTTCAAAGTGATGTCATTGTTCCACAAATACATCTAGGTTTTAAAGTGATTGATTAAATTCTGTTTAAAATTTTGCACAGAAGTGCAGTATATAATCACATATCCCTCTGTGCAGGATATAGTTTTCTAAATCATACTCCATTGTCAGGAGCATGTTCATCTTCCATACAGAACACACTGACTGAAAATAAGATCAAGTCTACACATTTGGGATATAAATTTTTGAGATTACTGCTCTTGGTATAATATATCTCTCTTGTACTTGAGCCTCTAGATCTTGCTGTTTTTAACACTTTTGTGCTCGCAAGATTTACGCTTCTGTATACTTTGTTTATATTCAGCAGCTAAGTATATTTTGTCCTGTTATCATGACTTAACCTGTGATTTGTTTCAAAAGTGCAAGTAAGGTTTTAAACATAATTATAGTGTAATCTCTTTAAATTTTGCTGCATTATCACTCAGAATGAGAAAAATCTAAATTAAAAGTGTGTGCACATGTATACACATTTTTCAATGTACAAACTTAGGTATCATGTTAGATTCATCACGATTTGAAAATGAAATTTGATTATAATACTTGCAGGATGACTTACAAGTTAATATTTATATGTACACTTACAATTTTTATAATTTTTAAAACCATCCAATATGTTAGTTTTCTTTGATTTCTAATGATAACAGTAGAAATATCTGGCCCTGGTTATCATATCTGGTTGTTATGATCAATAGAAATGATATATGAAAAAGCAAATACATTTTAAAACTTTTTAATATTAATTTTTATTGTTACATATTCTGAATAATGCAGTTTTATAGTTATTATTATAACATGACACAAATGGTAGAGATTTTGATGCCTACATTTTTAATAAAAATGTTCAAAACCACATTTCACAAAATGTATCATGCTGTAAGGTTGCAACAGCCCTCTCAAATAGAGTTCTGCCTTTCTCTTGCCATTTAAACTAATGCTATCTGAGAGTGCAACAGAAGGCCCTCATTACATGCTGGTATCTTGATCATCGACTTCCTTGCCTACAGAACTATCAGAAAATAATTTTCTATTTTTTATAAATTACCCAGTCTCAGGTATTTTGTTACAGCAGCACAAAACAGACTAAGACATAAAGTGTAAAATTATCCTTCCATATTGCTGCAAGTGAAATGATTTATTTTTTATAGCTGTGTAGTATTCATTGTGCGTGTATGTGTGTGTATATATGTATATATGTATATCACATCATTTTCTTTATCCAGTTATTTGTTGATGGTCACATGTTGATTCAATATCTTTGGTACTATGAATATTGCTGCTATAAATAAATGAGTGCAAATATCTTTTTTGGTATAATGATATTTTTTCTTTTGGGTATACACCCAGTATAGGATTGATAGAGTGAATTGTGGCTCTTTAATACTTGAAAAAATTTTCATACTGTTTTAATAGAGGTGGGACAAATTTACATTCCTTCTAATTATACTATAAGGCTATAGTAACAAAAACAATATGATACTGATATAAAAATGGACACAATACTCAATAGAGCAAAATAGAAATTCCAGGAATAAAGTGACAAAGGCACTTTGTCACTTTATTAGTGGATATTTATAAAGGGACCTACCTACAGTCAATGGATGTTTGACAACATTGAAAAAAAATACACTGGGAAAAGGATATCCCCTTCAATAAATAGTGCAGGGAAAATTGGAAAGCCACATGCAGAGGAATAAAACTGGGCCCCTATCTGTTGCCATCCACAAAATTAACTCAGGATGAATTAAAGAATTAAATATAATACCTGAAGATATAAAAAGTACTCATAGAATACCTGGAAAAACTCTTCTAGACATTGGCCTTGGCAAAAAATTTGTGACTAAGACCTCAAAAGCAAATTTAGCAAAAACAAAAGTAGACAAATGGGACTCAATTAAACAAAAAAGTTTCTGCACAGCAAAAGAAATAACTGAGAAAACAGATAACCTGAAGAATGTGAGAAAATATTTGCAAACTATGCATCCAACTAAGTACTAATATCCAGAATCGACAAGAAATTCAAACAACTCAACAACAACAACAAAATAGATAACCCCATTAAAAAATGGACAAAATACATAAACAGGCATTTCTCAAAAGAAGACATACAAGTGGACAGCAAACATATGAAATAATGCTCAGTCTCATCATCAGAGAAATAAAAATTAAAACCACAATGAAATGTCACCTTATACTAGTCAGAATGGCTATTTTTTAAAAGTCACAACACATCAGGTATTGATGAGAATGCAGACAGAAGTGAGTGAATCCTTATATAGTATAGGTGACATTTTTATTTATAGAATATCAAAATAGTTACTTAAAATTCATTTGAATTATAAAATATTAAAATGTAGATTTATGAATACTTTGTACTTTCTAAGTTTAACCACAATAAAAATCCAAACTACCACTGTTGTGTCCATAATAATTCATAATTGTATGTGATGATGTTGAGAAATCTTCCTAAATATCAGGATTCGAGTCCCTCATTTATTTTAATGAAAATATCATTCTTAAAAGCATTTCAAGGAATATAGCTCAATAATTCAACAAATAACATTTGCAAATTGATAATCCATGGTTCAAAGATGTCAAGATGAACTCAAAGTCTACAGGGATACCCTTTTGATTCAAGGAAATAATGTTACCCTAAATGAGAGAAGATAGGGAAGACCATGTCAAATGAATCACTTTTTGATGTGGTTTGGCTGTGTCCCCACCCAGATCTCATTTTGAATTTTAGTTCTCATAATCCCCATGTGTCATGGGAGGCACCTGGTGGGAGGTAATTGAATCATGAGGGCGGTTACCCTCCGTGCTGTTCTTGTGATAGTGAGTGAGTCTCACAAGATCTGATGGTTTTATAAGGGGATTCCACATTTGCTTGGCTCTCATTCTTCTCCTTCCTGCTGCCATGTGAAGAAGGACTTGATTGCTTCCCCTTCCACCATGATTGTAAGTTTCCTGAATGTTACCCAGCTGTATGGAACTGTTAGTCCATTAAAGTTCTTTTCCTTATAAATTACCCAGTCTCGGGTATTTCTTCATAGCAGCATGAGAACAGACTAATACACACTTCAATATTGATTTACATTTCTATGATCATCAGTGACCTTGAGTATTTTTTAATGTTTGTTGGCAACTTGCATGTCTTCTTTTGATAAATGTCTGTTTATGTCATTTGCCTACTTTGTAATGACATAATGTGTTTATTTATTTATTTATTGAGTTCCATGTAGATTCTGGATATTAGTACTTCGTTAGACGCATAATTTGTGAATATTTTCTCCTGTTCTGTAGGTTGCCTGTTTACTCTGTTGATTATTTCCTTTGCTGTGCAGAAGATTTTTACTTTACTTAGGTCCCATTTGCCTATTATTATTTTTGTTTCATTTGCTTCTGATGACTTAGTCATAAATTCTTTGTCAAGGCTGATATTCAGTAAAGTTTTCCTAGGTTTTCTTCTAGGAATTTTACAGGTTTTTACATTTGAGTATTTAATCAATCTTAATTTTTATATATGGTGAGATATAGGAACCCAGTTTTATTCTTGTGTATATGGATATCCAATTTTTCTAGTACAATTTATTGAAAAAGGTATCCTTTCCACATTGTTTATTTGTGCATGCTTTGTTGAAGATTAGTTGGTTGAAGGTATGTGGCTTTATTTCTTGGTTCTCTATTTAATTTTATTAAACTATGTATCTGTTTTTGTATTGGTACTATGCTGTTCTTGTTACTATAGGTTTGTAGTATAATTTGAAATGGGGTGAAGTGCTGACTCCAGCTTTGTTCTTTTTGCTTAGAATTGCTTTGGCTATCCGGGTCATTTTTTCAATTCAGGATTTCATATACACTTTGGGATTGCTGTTTTCTAATTCTGTGAAAAATGACATTGGTAGTTTGATAGAAATTGCATTGAATCTTTAGATTGCTTTGGACACCATGGTCATTTTTAATTTTTTTTAACCCATGAACATGGGATATTTTTCCATTAGTTTGTTTTATTTCAGGTTTCTTCCACCCATCTTTTGTAGTTCTTATTGTAGAAATATTTTACCTCCTTGGTTAAACGTATTTCTCAGTTATGTGTGTGTGTGTGTGTGTGTGTGTGTGTGTGTGGCTATTGTAAATGAGATTGAGTTCTTGATTTTGTTCTCAGCTTGAATATTATTGCTATATAGAAATACTACTGACTACTGGACATTGACTTTGTATTCTGAAACTTTATTGCAGTCATTTGTCAAGTCTAGGAGTCTTTCGGAGTCTTTAGGGTTTTCTTTGTATAAGACCATGCCATCTCTTAATGTAACTTCTATCCCAACTTTTGTGGTAATTTTTTTCTTGCAATTTTTATAATTTTATTTTCTAATTTGTTTATCCAGAAATACCATTTAGTTCTGTTTGGTATTAGACTTGGAAACAGTGCAAATTTTCTTTCTTAATAAATAATGAAAATAAATTTCGTTTTTGAAATTCATCCATGTTTTTGCATAGTTCATTCATTTTTATTGATGTATTGAGTAGTCTTAAGTTACCAATTTCATTTTTAATAGTTATGCTTTTTCCAAAAATTTTATAATAATTAGTAGTTTTATCATGACTATTCCTATATACATATTCATATAAATGCATAACAAAGAGTGCAATTGCTCATTTGGAGGGCATGCCATCTTTAGCACTATGACTATTAAATAAATTGTTTGCATTGATTAAGAGAGTGATATTCCACATCATCACCAGGACTGTGGATTATCAGACATTTTAAGTAACTGTGGCTCCCCATACAGGATAACTTGGTTAAACTTGCTATTCACTTGGCATCCCTAGCATTATATTATTGTCATCATAAGAATGGAACCCAAAGTTCTAGAGTTTTTAATCAATTATCAAACAACAATTAATTGAATACCGTGTAAGTTCCTAACCTTGTGCTAGCCGTTGTCCTACATTTGTGATAAGAATAGATAAAGTGCCCTTCTACCTAGCAGTTTAGACAATAAACAAGGAGAAAAGAAATTAAATGTGTATTGTATGATAGCAGGTTAGTGATAATCACTAATAATCCAATGAGTTTATATGATACCAAAATATTGATTAGATCAGGAAATCACTGCTAAAGAGGAAACATTATTTGTCAGTATGTTTATAACAGATGGAGCAATGAGTATAAAAGTCATGTGTTAGGGTATGCAAGATGATGATATAGAGCAGAGTAATCAAGGCAAAGGATAATGGTAGGTGGAGAAGCCAGCTTATAGTTCTGAGCAAGATTATATCTTTAGCTTTTATTAGGCATGTAAATGAAATACTTTTGAGATTTTCAGCTGGAAAAATGAAACTAATGTGAAATGCATTATATTGCCAGAGGTGACTTCCATTGCCTGGTGGGGAAGAGACTGGAGGAAGGATGGATAATGGCAGCACACAGATGCTGCTGAGAAGCTATTTTAGTAGTTCATGTAAGAGACAATTGTCAAATTTGCAATAAACTTCCAGGTGAAATGGAATTGACTTTCTAATGGCTTGGAATGGTGTATATAAAACAGCTGGTAATGACTCCATGTTTTGAAGCTTTAGAAAATAGATTAATAATGGCTCAAATTACTGAGTGAAAAATTACTGGGAAAGAAGCAGGATTGGCAGGATGCAGATAAAGAATTCTGTTTTACTTACTAAGGTTGAGAGGCCTATTTGATATTCAAGGCAGTTGCAAATGAGATGAGTGTTCAGGAATGAGATATCAGCTAAAGATATAAATTTTAGTCTTGTGCCCATATCTTAGCTGCAAGGAAGGATTTTATGAACTGCTGGTGAGACTGTAAATCAGTGCGATCAATGTAGACAAAGAAATAAATGCATACACCATGTCATCTTGTAATAACTCCCAACCCCCAACACCTAAAGAAGAGACTGTGTGTTTAAGTTGGGAGTGTATTGTGGAGTAAGAATAAGAAACAGGATGGGTGCTATAGGGAGAGAGAGTAAAATCTAGAACACATTATTAAGTTAGGTGATGTAATACTATATGACCATTCACTGAAGTGAAACAACGGGGGAAATATGTATCCATCAGCTCTAGGAGTTCCATTTTTCAAGCATAGCCTCATGGATGCTAACTTCTCAATGTGTCTAGACAGTGCATTTATGAGTACCAAGCAAAATGCCTACAACAATCCACACAACATTGTCTGAGAAATCCCACAGCAGAAAGTGAATTATTGCTTTAGTCTGAAGCCACATACTATCACTTCCATCTTTATGAAACTGACCAAAGTCTACATAAAAATAGTAACCAAGGCTCTGACTGGAACAAGAGGTAATGCTGAGAGGGTCTGCAGTGATGTAAGATCCAATACACCCTATGATTTTTAAATTTTGTTCCTGGGTTTATATCCTAGAGAAACTCTGACATATATATGTGTATATATATATATATACATTTATATATATACACATTTAATATATATATACACACATACACATTCATAGCAGCTTTTTGTTGAAATAGCAAAAAATGAGAAAAAAACTAAATGGCAATATAATGAACAAAAGGGAGCTGTGTTTTGATATTTTTATATAGTACAATGCTAAACAGCATTTGAAATAATTGATAAGAATTATATGCGCCAACATAGATGGACATCATCAATGTCATATAAAACAAAATAAAGCAGAAGGTAGATAGACACTTTTTTTTTGAGTCGGAGTTTTTGCTCTGTTGTCCAGGCTGGAGTGCAGTGGTGTGATCTTGGCTCACTGCAACCTCCGCCTCCCGGGTTCAAGCAATTCTCCTGCCTCAGCCTCCTGAGTAGCTTGGATTACAGGCGCCCTCCACCACGCCTGGCTAACTTTTGTATTTTTAGTAGAGACAGGGTTTCACCATGTTGGCCAGGATGGTCTCGAACGCCTGACCTCAGGTGATCCACCCGCTTAGGCCTCCCAAAGTGCTGGGATTACAGGCATGAACCACCACGCCCTGATGATAGACACGTTTTTAACTTCTAAAAATATATGATCATGATTAAATTGTGTCTGTGGAGACTTGCACATATACTAAATTTTAAACAATTAGAGATATTTGTTCATTACCACATTTTAGGAGTCATTATTTCCTCTATGAAGAGAGAAAGGAATTTGATACAAGTTCACAGGGGCTTCCAGTAGATTGAGACTTTTATTTCTAGCTGAGCTGCTGATGTATGAATTTTTTTTGTTATTATGACTTTCATATGTATTAAAAATAAAATGACAAAACAAGGATTAGGTGAGGAACCTATACGTCTCTAATATGCCGAATACCACAGAAATAATGACTGTTGGGAAATTAGGCCTTAGCTCTGATGTTTGAACCATCCCCTCAATGTTTCCCAGTGCTTCTTAGAGTATTTTGATCACCTCTGTGTTGGTGCTTTAGAACTAGAGAAGCCCGTTTTGTTAACTTTTTTTTTTTTTTTTTTTTGAGACAGAGTTTCACTCTTATTGCCCAGGCTGGAGTGCAGTGGCACAATCTCGGCTCAGTGCAACCTCTGCCTTCTGGATTCAAGCGATTCTCCTGCCTTGGCCTCCAGAGGAGCTGGGATTACATGCCACCACATCTAGCTAATTTTTTGTATTTAGTTGGTCGGGCTGGTCTTGAACTCCTGACCTCAGGTGATCCACCCGTGTCAGCCTCCCAAAGTGCTGGGATTACGTGCGTGAAACACTGCACCTGGCCTTTTGTTAACTTTTAGTTTAAGTTCAGGAGTACACGTGCAGGTTTGTTATACAGGTAAACTCGTGTCATGGGGATTTGTTGTACAGGTTATGTTGTCACCCAGGTATTAAGCTTAGTACCCATTAGTTACTTTTCCTGAACCTCTCCCTTTTCCCACCCACTACTCTCAGGTAGGTCCGAGTGTGTGGTGTTCTCCTCTATGAGTCCATGTGTTCTTATCATTTGGCTCACATTTATAAATAAGAACATGCTGCATTTGTTTTTCTGTTCCTGCGTTAGTGGGAGCTGAGGATGGGTGGAGCTGAGGATAATGGTCTCCAGCTCCACCCATGTTCCTGCAAAGGACATGATCTTGTTCTTTTGTATGGATGAATACTATAAAGTCTTCCAAACTGTTTTGGTTTTGGTTTGTTTTCTTTCTTGAGAAAGGAAAGACAAAATAGAAATAAAAGAGTAGGCCGAGCGGGGTGGCTCACGCCTGTAATCCCAGCACTTTAGGAGGCTGAGGCAGATGGATCACTAGGGGTCAGGAGTTTGAGACCAGCCTGAACAACATGGTGAAATCCCGTCTCCACTAAAAATACAAAAAATCAGTCAGGCATGGTGGCACATACCTGTAATTCCAGCTACTAGGGAGGCTGAGGCAGGAGAATCGCTTGAATCTGGGAGGCAATGGGTTGCAGGGTGTGCCGGGATGGCACCACAGCCTGGGTGAAAGAGTGAGACTCCGTCTCAAAAAAAAATAATAAAATAAAAAAGGGAGAGAGAAAGAGTACCAATGTATGGCAGAAATCAAGAGAAGAGTTTGCTTTTTTGAATAACTACACCCTGGACATTAGTTTCAAGAAACCGTCTGCTGGAAATATAACTATATGTTTAAGTTGATGGATCATTATTACACGTAGCATAAAGAAAGTCACTCCTTGCTAGAAAGCCCTATGTAGGTCATTAGGCATCACAGTGTGGAGTTATCTAAGCAAGCACCAAGATAGGATATCTGAATAACTGGTTTATTTCCATGTTTACTGAGAATATTCATTGCAACAAGTCAGTAGAGAAACAGTAAAGAGGGCAGGCATGGCTATGCTTCTATAGAATCTAGTGAAGAGGAGATAATTTCAAATAACCCAAGAAGGTAAATGAGTAGTCAAATTTTGAAAAGGACTATTAACTCACAAACAGGAAACTATAATAGAAAATAGTTGGTTGAAGGCAGAATGCCCAGTTCAGAAAAGATTCCTCTGAAAAGCAATATATAAGCATAGACTTCGAGGATGAAGAGTCACTCATTTTGAAAGAGCAGATGAAGAAAGTTTCAGGACAAAGAAACAGCATCTGCAAAGACCTCAACAAAGATATCACACAGAAAATGCCGTATTTAATCTGTTGCTAGACAAAAGTGAGCTAGGGATCACATGGTCTTGGATGAGGGAGACAGATGATATAGTTTGGATGTCCCGCCCAAATCTCATGTTGAAACCAGATCCCCAGTGCTGAAGGTGGAGCTTGGTGGGAAGTGTTTGGATCATGGGGTCGAATCCTTCGTGGCTTGGTGCTGTCTCCATGGTAGTGCACCTACCCCAACACACTCTCTCTCTCTTGTTCCTGCTTTCACCATGTGAAGTGCCTGCTCCTGCTTTGCCTTCTGTCATGAATAAAAGCTCCCTGAGGCCTCTCCAGAAGAAGATGCCGCTGTGCTTCCTGTACAGCCTGCAGAACTGTGAGTCAATTAAACATTTTTATAATATCCAGTCTCAGATATTTCTTCCTAGCAATACAAGAACAGCCTAATATAACAGATAAGCAGGGACTAAAGTCATCAAAATTAGAATTGTGCATTTAATTTTGATTGCATTTAATTTTGATTGCATTGAAAAGGCAGATGCTTTGAGGCTAGAATGAGGTAATAACTGTTTTGTTTTGTTTTGTTTTGTTTGCTCTTAACAAATTAGTCTGAATTCAGTCCATAGTAAATTGGAGAGGAACTGGTAGAAGATAAAAGAACTGGTAAAAAGCCATTGTAAATACTCAAGTTTCAAAAACAATTTTGTGGTAAGGGCAAATCCTCAGGTCAAGAAAAGTGTGTTACTAAATTCTGTTACTTTCCAGAAGAAAGATAAAGTCATATGACACAGATTTTACTCCTTACGTTAGAGAGTGTGCTAAGGATACCACCCACATTTTCCAACATTTATTTCCATCATGTTTTATGATCTTCATCTATATTCCATCCTCATTATTTCTAGCAAGTCTATGAAATTTCTTACATTAATAGAAATAATGTATTAATATTCAGCAATGTGCTAAACATTGTTGAAACATTGTCTCAATATTACTCTTGGAAGAGCTCTGAGGTAGACAATATTTCCAATATATGAGTCATGAGGAAACTGAGGAATGGAAAGATTAAACAACTTGTTGAGGGTAGCATAATTGTAAATGGTGAAGACATAATACAAATCCTAGTATCTATGACTCTAATGCTTTAAAAAATCATTATATACACTACGCTGTCTCTGATGTGTGAATCTACCCACTTCTAATTCATTATAACAAGTATTTGTTGCCAGGTAGCATTCTAGGCTTTGGGGATACATCTTTGGAAAAGCTTATAGAAATCTCTGTCCTCAGGGAACTAATATTCTAGGGACTATACAATAAACAATAAGCAAAAATGTAACATGTATAGTGTGTTAGACTGTAGTAAGTACAATGGCAAAAAATTAAGAATGGAGAATGTCTAAGGGGACAGATTGTTTGGACTTTGAATAAAGTGGCTATGGAAAACCTCACTGGGATAATGGCATCTGACCAAAAGCATGAGGAAGATATAGAACAAACCGTATCTGTTGCATGTTTAGTAATAACCAAGAAAATACTGTACGTGAAGCTGAGTGAGAAAATTACATAGTGGAAGGAGGGAAGTCCATAGAAGAATTGGGGGCTTCATGTGGTGGAGCATCTATAAAGCATTGTGCATGTTCTGACTTTTACAATGAATGAAATGAGAGATCAGAGTTTTACACAGAAAAAGGTAATAACCTGATACATGTTTTAAAGTGATTATACAAATTGCTCTTTTGAGGATGTACTGAAGGGTGCCTTATGCAGAATCAGAAACACCTGTTTGCTGGCCATTTCAATAACCTGGGCAATAAATGATGGTGGTTAGCACCAGGATGCTAGTGGTGAAAGTAGCAAAAATGATCAGAATTGAGCTGCATTTTGAACATACAGTTAATAAGTTCTGTGGCATGACAGAAAAATGATTCCATAGTATTTGTATTGAGCAACTTTGTTGATTTGATATTCATACTAAGTCCTAATATTAAACAATGTAGGAATTTCAATGAAAATATGACCAAAGGGAGAAAATGGCTCCCAACCTACTGTAATTAAAGTTCCCTTCTGTTGTTTTAAAATGCTACTATGGATAGAGAAAACAAGATATGGATTTGGAAGAAAATTACCCACAGTCTAATTGTCAGATTTATTGACTTAATGTTACATGGCAATAAAGTTGAAAGAAAAATAAGAAGAAATTCTAAAAGCCAGCATGTTAGATTTATTCCCTCCACAAAAAGAATTGCTAATATTTATAAAGTGAGATAATATGCCAAATACTTGTACTTGGCATAATTGCATTTTCTCAACAAATCCTATATAATCAATATTGTTTTATTTGTATATGTGTGAAAAATCATGACACCTGCAGTTTAAGTTACATTTGTATGAAACAGTCAATATGTGGCAGAGCCAGAATAAAGCCCACGTTTAGATTAAAGGAATTCTCTTTCCATTGCACCACCCCATATTGCCTGTGGAAACCCTAAACAAGCCATTTAAATTTGTTGGAATTCCGTTTTTCAACTTTTTAAAACTAAGAGTCCAATCCTAAATCAAGTTAATGTTTAAATTCTTCACTTATGCTTAGTATGTACATTATTCCAAAATGTGAATTGGTCCCAAATATCATATTCATTCTAACAGAGGACATTAAAAGTTTAAAAGATATCTGTTATATGGCTGAACTGATTATATTTTATCGGAAAGTGAAAGGAACTGAAAGGAACTACTCAGCATATTTCTAATGAGTATACAGAGGAAAAGTATTTTGCCTCATTTAATTTTGTAAAATCTCTCTCTGGCACATAATTCACAGTCTTTTTTTGCCCACAGGAATAGTGAGGCAGATATGTATTAATTCATGTCATAATACAAGAATAGGTAGCGATAAAACACTGGCATTTTCCAAATTGCCAGTATAAAGAATTGTCAGAAGAACATGGGTATTAGCTTCAGATTCTCCAAGGGGTTAACATTTATGTTATCTGTTAAATATGAATTATGTATTAACTTCTCATATTTCATATATAAAACTTTATGCTTTGGTCCTGTTCCTCGGGATGACCTTGATGTAATCAGAAATAATAGTGTTCTTTACCAAAGACATTAATCAATAACTTTATAATATGAAGCACTATGAATATTTAATGGCTTCAGCTTGAATAATTCAAATCCCGTATTACTAAAAAATAAAGTCAATTGAGTGACTGAGAGTTCCATATTCCACAATTCCTACTCTGCTTACTACCTATTCTATTTACTATTCTCTTTACTATTTGAGAAGGGTATGGAGTTGTGTATGTTGCAAACATCACGTATCTTTTGTTCGACTTTCTTGAACACGTCATATTATTTTTTTTAGTTCATTTTCTGAATATAAGTAATTTTTGGCGAATTAATACTTTAAACAAGAGTTCACCTGGAAAGCAGTAGGCAAAATTTCATTAAAAATATTATTTTATTAACATACCTTAAAAATGTAATAGGACAATGCCTCAAAGAACAATTTCAAAATAAAAACACAGAAAACAAATGACCAGCAAAATTGCTCTGAAGTCTTAAAAACAGAAATAAATACTTCAATAATCATAGGTAATATGGAAATCCAATGTATGACTTACCTATAGAAAACCCTTCTGGAATTTCATTTAAATCTAACGTCAATATGAGCTATGTAGGAAGTCCATTAATAAATAAGAATATTATATAGGTACACATGTATATATTAATTTTAAGCCATATGCAGCCCTATTTGAAAATGTTAAAAAAAAATCATCAGGATTAGTCCATACTGATTATTAAAAAATAAAATTGTCATTGCTTATTGTAGAAGATAAATGTCAGCTGTGCAGCAGATGTGTTTATAGCCACCCAGTAATCCTATCGCCTCAATAATGCATTTCCCTTTTTTTAGTTAAAAACTTAATTACATTAAGAAACTGTATGTGTTTAGGAATATGAATATAGAAGGAGTAATCATCGTTTAGTAAAATAAGTTTTACTTGCGTAGTAAAATTTACTGTGTTTGTGAAGATGCTGATAGTACATTACATATGGAGATCCAAGTGCACATAGTCACTAATTCTTTAAACTATGTTTGATATTAGTAATAATTTACTTTACATATATATCGGAATTTAATTGAAAAATAGTAAATGACTGCTAATATACATTATTCTTCTGAGTTGCATTTTTGCTTAATGAAATAGAATTTTTAAAAAAATTGTTTATCTTTATTCCTACTAGATTATACATTTCATGAGAAAAGCATTATCTCTTTATTAGTATATTTGTTTACCTATATTAGAACTTGACTTTGAAATAAACCAGATATAATACCATTGTTGTAGATGTATTTATTGTAGTAAAAATAATATTCTGCATCTGAGTTTTGAGCAAGGAGATTTTACAATCTCCTTTCAGTTAGAAAACTACAAGACCCTCTTAACTGATGTTGGAAATGTAAGTAAAGAAGATAAAAATTAAAATGATAAAGAAAAGCATTTGGGGTATAGTATCACTGTGCTTCCCAGGAGAATGAGTTGTAAGTGCTCACTCCGCATTTTTCAGTAACATATACTTAAAGTAAGCACACAGGGGCTACAGATGCTATTTTTTGGTTCAACATGACCTGAGCAGTTAATTATTTGTAAAGGGAAGAAGCAAGAATAGGCTCAGGGAGGGAGACAGAGAAAGATTGGGTGGGGCGGGGAGGGAGGGAGAGTTTCATCTGTATCTAAAACAGATCAGAAGCAATTTCTTCCTCCAACTCCTCACTTGTCTATTTCTACTAATAAAGAGCAAAACCAGACAAAATAGATTATTGTGTCATTTTTGTTTTCTTATTTTGTAATACACAGAAAAACTCAAGCTGGAGACGGAAATGAACAGATGCATATGGCTGGAAAGACTCAGTGCTAATCTCTACAATGTTGTTTTAATAGAATGGAGACAAGACCACATACTTTCTTACAATAATGAGGATCAATAAAGACAAAACTGACACTTTGTAATGAATAATGATCTGAACAATCACCTGAGAAAGTATCTCTTTGTTGCAGGTTTTTGGAAATGGGCTATATTTTTTGAATCATAACCGATATGTACTGCCATAAACAAGAGGATTTCAAGCCAGCTCCATCTGGTCGAAAATTATTTTATTTATTACTAAGAGAAAAGTGTAAGACAAGTCCTGTGGTAAAAACAGATTTATTGCCTCTGCTATTCACCTGTGTTATTTCTTCATATATTACCATTGACATATATTATCCATTCTTCACAGCAATGGCTTTGCCGTGGCAAATTAAATATCTCATTGTCCTTCTCTGGCCATTTTACATTATAATGTTTCTGAGTAGACTTTTATAGCTCTCTCACAGAATTATAGCAAGTCTTTAAATAAAAACAAAATTGAAACAAAAATTTTAGACTCAACTTAAAATCCCTCTTTATTTTATAATTTGGATTTTTAAGTAAAATATGCTATATCCTATTTAACGAGAACTTTCATATGTAATGTATCAATGGAATTATCTAAAGCTCATTTGGTTTTGCATAAAAACACAATTAGAGTAAAAACATTCTAAAATGGACACTGGAATAAAAACAATGAAAGCAAAACTATTAATTTTACATTTTTCATTCAAGTATTTTGATTTTTACTATATTATATTATTATATTAGGTATTAGAGTAATCATTGATCACTTTCAAAACCCTGCTCCTTTCTAGGTGCAATGAAGAATTTTTATTTTATTGAAAAATTATCTTAAAACGTAAGACTGTGAGTGATAGTAAAGATTTAGTAGACCCAATGTATTCTCAGATAAATGTAAAATAAGCAAGATATGAATTAAAGGGTAAATATAGAGTTTAACAGCATAGATCTTAAAATCCATTATCATAAGGTAGAAGGATGTATAATTTATCATGATTAAAATATACTAAATATTCATATCACAGCATTCTGATTTCTGATATCTACAATTTAGGTGACATATATACATATGTGTGTATATATATATAACTGTATTATTTGATATTTTAAAAGTTAAAAGAGTTATATATTCAAATACCAGTCTAGTTGTTGCTCTGAAAGTATTTTTAGATGAGATTAACATGAAAATCAGTAATTTTTGAGTAAAGCAGATTATTTTCCAAAATATTGTAGGGCTCATCCAGTCAATTGATTATATTAAAAGACTGAGATCCCTGAAGGAAATAATTCTGCCTGCAGATTGCCTTTCGTCTTGAGACTGTAACATCAACTTTTCTCTAGGTCTCTTGCTTGCTAGCCTACCCTGCCAATTTTTTATACATTAAAAAATATTTTTCTCAAATACTGTAGTTCTGCTATTTCCAGAAACGCTTGAGGATTGTACTTCCAAGTTCTTTTAAAGTTGATCATGGTCATGAAACTCATCATCAAATGGCATTTGAGCAAAATCTTTATTAATTAAACATGAGTGGAAGTTTCAAGGCCAATGCACAACTCACTCAGGCATTGTGAACTATGTGTGCAGACAGATCACAACTCATCCTTGGTCTCTGGGTGTGTCTGCGTCTATTACTGACTTACTCTGGATATGTAAAATGAGTAAGAAAAACTTTTTGTGTTAGCCACTGGGATTTTTGGTTTGTGTATTACTTTAGCATATTATCTCATTTTGAATGCTATAGTTTAGGACACTAGTTTAAACTACTGAAGTTAAAATGTTCTCCTTATTTCAGAGGATAGAAGGATCTTACAGTGACAGACATCCATTAGTAAGAATTAATTTCTAGAGATAAAATGAATTCAGTAACCACAGTGTCAGTAGAGTCAGCATGGTCAAAATAGTCTACATGGGAAATGCTTGGTGGCTCTTAGTTGATCATGGAGTCTCTAGAACCAAAAGTTATGAATGCCAATTAAGTTTCTATTTGGCTTATATGATCTCAAATCTTCAGGTTTACAAAACATATCTTGAGCCACCACCCAGCTCTGTCACCCAGGCTGGAGTGCAGTGGCACCATCTCAGCTCATTGCAGCCTCCGCCTCGGAGGTTTAAGCGATTCTCATGCCTCAGCCTCCTGAGTAACTGGGACTACAGGTGCTCACCACCATGCAGGGATTTTTTTTCTATTTTTTTGTAGAGACACGGTTTCACCATGTTGGCCAGGCTGCTCTCGAACTCCTTACCTCATGATCCGCCCACCTCAGCCTCCCAAAGTGCTGGGATTACAGGCATGAGCCACTGCACTGAGCCTACAGCTCATTTCTTAACACACAAAGCTTTGCACCTCTCCACAAAACTGCCATCAGGGATGTCCCCAGAAACCATTCATCCCAGGTGCCACGCAGAGAAGAGTTTCTTGTTCTCCTTTTCCCTTTACCTCTTCCCTCTCACCTCATCATGTTCATTCATTCATCCCTTTTCCATTCTCACTTTTAAGCTTTAACCTTTCAAAAGCCTATCTTCCCCTATAAGTAATGTATTGTAACTCCCGCCATCACCATATCCTTCTCCAACCAACCAAACTGCCATCCTGAGTTTATGGAAAGTCCATAAACTAAGAAGAAATGGGAAACATTCATTGCTAACTTGGCAGCCCCTCATCCACCCTACGTGAGAGCACAGATCTTATTGTCTTTGAAGACCCTTTCTTTTCTTTTTTTTTTTTTTTTTTGAGAAGCAGTCTCACTGTCGCCAAGGCTGGAGTGCAGTGGCACAATCTCGGCTCACTGAAAGCTCCAACTCCTGGGTTCACGCCATTCTCCTGCCTCAGCCTCCCGAGCAGCTGGGACTACAGGCGCCCGCCACCACGCCCGGCTGATTTTTTTTGTATTTTCAGTAGAGACAGGGTTTCACTGTTAGCCAGGATGGTCTCGATCTCCTGACCTCATGATCTGCCTGCCTCGGCCTCCCAAAGTGCTGGGATTACAGGCATGAGCCACCGTGCCCAGCTCCTTTTTTTTTTTAAAGACAGGTCTCACTCTGTTGCCCAGGCTCAAGTGCAGTGGTGTAATCATGGCTTACTGCAGCCTCCATCTCCTGTGCTCAGGCTATCCGCCTGCCTCACCCTCCCAAGCAGCTAGGACTACAGGCACACACCACCACACCTAGCTAATCTGTTTAGTTTTTGTAGAGATGGGGGTCCTGCTATGCTGAACAGGCTGGTCTCGAACTCCTGGCCTCAAGCAATCCTCCCACCTTGGCCTCCCAAAGTGCTGGGATGACAGGCATGAGCCACCATGCCTGGTCTGAAGACTTTTAAATGCTGCCATATTCAAGACGCATTGACACTCACCTGTATTCGATGAGCCTACTTTTCGCAAATGAGTAACATAAAACAGACTGAAATACCTTAAGCTTCTCAGCCTTTTACCCTCCTCTGGAATAATGAGTGTATCCCAAAAGTAAATCCATAATGAGGTCCAGTTTTTCCTTCATCCTTGGCTATGAAATAGACAAGAAAAAGGCAAGCTAGCCATTTCCATCTCACTATAGCAGACTCTCATGTTTGCTTTTTGACCGTATGTGGGAAGCGGGGGCCTGACTGCTTTCCTACTTCCTAAGCACAACTTACTTTTCCTAGGAAATTCTCAACACAATCTACATGGATTAAACCAGCTTCCCCCCTTTGTTTCCAATATTCTTACAGCCAAAATGTCCAGAATGGGCAAGGCAACCTGAAAAAATGAGGACGGGTACATTATCCCATGCGCTAAACTGCCACTTACACTGGTTAGTCATGAAATCGGCAAAATTCCAGATGAGCTCTCCAACCACGTATTTTCTGCGTTTTTGATTGAGACCCAGATGGTACTGCTCTAGCAGACTTTTCTGGTACTCTTCACTGAACATCAAGGTGGATCCTGGGATTCAAGGCAAAGAGAATTAAGAGTAAGAACTGGCAGAATTGTAAATGTTAGGTAAAAATAAAGATCCACTTGATGGTGACCAAAATATCTGTCCTCACTGGGGGCTGTAGTGACTGCAGGACTCACTGATGCTAGGGTAAAGACAGCCAGGGAGAAATTGGAAATCATCATTCTCAGTAAACTATCGCAAGAACAAAAAACCAAACACCGCATATTCTCACTCATAGGTGGGAATTGAACAATGAGATCACATGGACACAGGAAGGGGAATATCACACTCTGGGGACTGTTGTGGGGTGGGGGGAGGGGGGAGGGATAGCATTGGGAGATATACCTAATGCTAGATGACGAGTTAGTAGGTGCAGCACACCAGCATGGCACATGTATATGTATGTAACTAACCTGCACAATGTGCACATGTACCCTAAAACTTAAAGTATAATAATAAAAACAACAACAACAACAAAAAAAAAAGACAGCCAGGGAATGATGTAACCCAGAATTAAAAAGGAGGTTTAAAAAAAAAACATCAATTAGTAACTGCTTTATTTATAAATATAACCTGATACTCAATTTTTATTACTTTTCCGTCTCTATCTGCTGATACAGTCTTAAAGCTGAACTACACTAAAAGGAAAAATATGTCTTTAGGTCAGGCGCGCTGGCTCATGTCTGTCATCCAAGCACTTTGGGAGACCGAGTTGGGAGGACTGCTTGAGCCTAGGAGTTCAAGACTAGCCTACAAAAAGTACAAAAGTTAGCCAAGCATGGAGGCACACACCTGTGGTCCCAGCTACTTGGGAGGCTGAGGTGGGAGGACTGCTTCAGTCCCGGAGGTCAAAGCTGTGGTGAGCTGTGTTTGCACCACTACACTCCAGCCTGGGTGACAGAACAAGACCCTATCTCATGAATGAATGAATGAATGAATGAATGAATGTAAAATGAAATTAAACTAAACCAGGCTGGGCATGGTAGCTCAGGTCTGTAATCCCAGCACTTTGGGAGGTCGAGGCAGGAGGATCACTTGAGCTCAGGAGTTCAAGATCAGCCTAGGCAACACAGTGAAACCCAGTCTCTATAAAAAGGCTAAATATTCACTAGGTGTAGTGGCGCATGCCTGTGGCTCCAGCTACTTGGGGGGCCGAGGAGGAAGGATCACTTGAGCCCAGGAGGTTGAGCAGTGAGCTGTGATTACGCCACTGCACTCCAGCCTGGGCAACAGAGTACGGCTGTCTCAAAAAAATTTTTTTTTAATTAAACCAAATAAATTCAGTTATCCTAGTCATATATCAAGACCTCAATAGCCACATGTAGCTAGTGGCTACCATTTCAGACAGTGCAGACATGGGGCATTTCCATCATTGCAAAGGTTCTTTTTTGAAACAAGGTCTCACTCTGTCACCCAGGTGGGAGTACAGTGGTGCAATTATGGCGGACTGCAGCCTTGACCTACTGGGCTCAAACAGTCCTCCTACCTCAGCCTCCCAAGTAGCTGGGACTAGAGGCAAGCACGACCATACCCAACTATTTTTTTTTTTTTTTTTTTGAGACGGAGTCTTGCTCTGTCGCCCAGGCTGGAGTGCAGTGGCACAATCTCGGCTCACTGCAACCTCCACCTCCCCAGTTCAAGCGATTCTCCTGCTTTAGCCTCCTGAGTAGCTGGGATTACAGGTGCATGCCACCACACCCAGCTAATTTCTGTGTTTTCTTAGTAGAGACGGGGTTTCACCATGTTGGTCAGGCTGGACTTGAACTCTTGGCCTCGTGATCCACCCACCTCAGCCTCCCAAAGTGCTGGGATTACAGGCGTCAGCCACTGCACCCAGCCACAACTCATCTTAAATATTTTGTAGAGATGGGGTCCATGTTGTGCAGACTGGTCTCAAACTCCTGGGCTCAAGAGATCCTCTGACCTCGGTCTCCCAAAGGGCTAGCATTCCAGGTGTGAGCCACCACACCCAGCACTGCAGAGGTTCTATCAATGCTCACCTAGACCCTCTCGAGTTTCTTAAGAATTCAGAACTGGGGCTGGGCATGGTGGCTCATGCCTGTAATTCCAGCACATTGGGAGGCCAAGGCAGGTGGATCGCTTGAGGTCAAAAGTTCAAGACCAGCCTGACCAACATGGTGAAACCTCATCTCTACTAAAAAAAAAAAAAAAAAAAAAATTAGGTGAGCATGGTGGTGCATGCCTGTAATCCAAGCTACTTGGGAGGCTGATGCAGGAGAATTGCTTGAACCTGGGAGGCGGAGGTAGCAGTGAGTCAAGATTGCACCACTACACTCCAGCCTGGGCGACAAGTGAAACTCCTCCTCAAAGGAGAAAGAATTCAGAGCTGGTTACCTTTTCAAAGAGAATGAACAAGGGTGCATATCCACAAACCACTTCCCCCTACTTGACTAGTTTGCAGAAGTGTCATTCTGTAAGCACGATAAATTTAAGGGTGCAAACAGGACAGTGCAGTCCATTGTGGGTGGCTGTTCCCTGTGTGTCAACGGGAGTCCCAGGAGCTGTGCAAAAGAGTGTGAGCTGGCTGGGGAGGGGACAAGGGGCTGGATGGGGTTCAGGAATCCACATGAAAAAAACCCCACAAGACAAAGCAACATATCTTTGGTGAGAAGGACAAAAAATGAGATGGATAAACAAATGAGGACAGGCCAGGCATGGTGGCTCAGGCCTGTAATCCCAGGATTTTGGGACACAGAAGCAGGCAAATCACTTGACGTCAGGAGCTCGAGACCAGCCTGGCCAACATGGCAAAACCCCACCTCTACAAAAATACAAAAATTAGCTGGGCATGGTGGCAGGTGCCTGTAATCCCAGCTGCTTGGGAGGTTGAGGCAGGACAATCGCTAGAGCCTAGGAAGTGGAGGTTGCAGTGAGCTGAGATCACACCATTGCACTTCAGCCTGGGTGACAGAGTGAGACTCCATCTCAAAAAAAAAAAAAAAAAAGACAAAGTGAGTGATTAAACATGGCTCTAAGATCTCACCCATGCCCTCAATAGGTATTATTTAGCATGTGCTGTGTCAGCTATTGCAGAGTACCTGGGAAACAACAATAAATAGGACTCCTGTCTCCTGAGCCCACAGTCCGATCAAAGAGAGAGCCAAAGAAATAACAACGGTGCCTGGCGAGAATGTTGGGAGAGCCAGGTTCCGGCTGCAACAGGGCAGAGCACGGGGAAGGTTCCCTCCGCCTGGGGCAGGCAGGGTAAACCTCCCCACAGAGGGGACAGCTATGAGGAGACTCAGATGCCAAATAGGAATCTTTTCAGCCACGTGTCGTGACTCACGCCTGTATTCCCAGTACTTTGGGAGTCCAAGACAGGAGGTGAAGACCAGCCTGATAGCGAGACTGCATCTCTACAAAATATTTTAAAACTAGGCTGCACATGGTGGTGCACGCCTGTAGTCCCAGCTACTCAGGAGGCTGAGGCAGGGGAATTGCTTCAGCCCAGGAGTTCGAGGCTGCAGTGAGCTATGATGACACCACCACATTCCAGCCTGGGCAACAGAACAAGACCCTGTCAGGAAAAAAATAAATAAAAAAAGGCTAGCACAGTGGATCACACCTGCTAATCCCAGCACTTTCGGAGGCCAAGGCAAAAAGATCAATTGAGTCCAGGAGTTTGAGACCAGCCAGGGCAACATAGCAAGACCCTATCTCTAAAAAAATAAAAAGAAAAGGATCTTTTAGTTGGTGATTATGGTGCCAACATGGGCATTTCAGGCAGAAAGAATAGCTCAAGCAAGAGCAGGAGAGCAAATGAGGGCAGTGGAAACAGATCAGTGGCCAGGAGTGAGAAGAGAAGAGGATGAAAACCCAGGAGAGAGCAGAGGACACTGAGTGTCCTGACTAGGGGTTAGGACTTTGTCCTATGGGCCTGGGGGAGCCAATGATAGGACTCAAAAATTTTGATTTGTGGCCGGGCACAGTGGCTCACACCTGTAATCCCAGCGCTTTGTGAGCCTGAGGCAGGAGGATCACTTGATCCCAGGAATTCAAGACCAGCCCGGGGAACACAACAAGGCCCCTTCTCTACAAAAGTAAAAAAATAAGCCAGGCATGTTGGCCTGTGCCTATGGTCCCAGCTACTCAGGAGGCTGAGGTGGGAAGATCGCTCGGGCCCAGGAGGTTAAGGCTGCAGTGAGCAGTGATCGCACCACCGCACTCCAGCTTGGGTGACAGAGAAAGAGGCGGTCTCAAAAACACACAAAAATTTGGATTTGTTAGAAAGACCACTTGGGAACGGGTGATAGGAGGCTGTCTGGAAACAAGGCCAGTAAGGAGTCCACCTTTGAGGACCAAGCGAGTGGGACAGAGGCCTGGCTGCTGGTGAGAAGGGAACGTGGACAGGGTAGCGGGAGGTGAGCCCAAAGCTGAAGCAAGGGGAGCACTGCAGTGGGCGCAGGGCAGGGTGGGAGAGGCAAGTTGGCATCTCTGCCCAGAGAGAATACACAAGCAGAAAGTTCAACACCGCTTACCTGGTGAAACCCTACAAGCGTTTCCACTCCATACTCGCTCTGAATAATGGGATTGTGATGTCTTACACCAGTTCTCAAACTGGGCGGCCAGCTGCAGCTGAATCAACTCCAGGTGCCCGTAGTTGCGATACCAAGAGTAGTAGCTGTTCACACGGATCACATCCACATACAGAGCCTAGGACCAGAGCAGCAGAGCCCGTTCAGCAACCACAAGACCGCATGACTCAGTACTCACATGCTGTGGGGGCTCCTCTGACAGAGAAGGTAAGAAGGGGATGTAATCCCAGCACTCTGGGAGGCTGAGGCAGGAGGGTGGCTTGTGGCCAGGAGTTCGAGACCAGCCTGGGCAACACAGCAAGACCCCAGCTCTACAAAAAATAGTATCAAGAAAATTAGCACGGCACAGTGGCTCATGCCTGTAATCCCAGCACATTGGGAGGCCAAGGTGGGAGGATCACTTGAGCCCAGGAGTTTGAGACCAGCCTGGGCAACATCGTAGGACTCCATTTCTACAAAACAAAACAAAAAGCCTAGAACGGGAAGAGCTGCCTCTCGGGGCTGAGAACATCCAACTGCACCAATTTAGATCCTGAAATTACCCTGCCCCACAAGCAAAAAACATGGTCACAAAGTGGCCCAAAGGAGGCAGGCCTGTGATTGCACACTGACGCTCACGACGTGTGCAGCTGGGAAGGGCTGTGAGAGGCAGAGCAGCTGCCAACACGCAGTCCTCAGCCAAAACCCAGGGCCCCCGCCACTGGAACTGACTCCTCTCCAGGCAGCACTCCCAGCACTGGGCATCCCCTCACCTTGCCCTGGAGAAGCCCTCCCACCCAAGGGGCCAATGCAGTCATTCTCGCAGATAATCTTTTTTCGCTTTATTTGGAAGACAGAGTCTCGCTCTGTTGCCCAGGCTAGAATGGAGTGGCACAATAGTGCAACCTCTGCCTCCCACGATCAAGCGCAGGCGTGGTGGCATGTGCCTGTTATCCCAGCTACTTGGGAGGCTGAGGCAGGAGAATTGCTTGAACCTGGGAGGCGGAGGTTGCAGTGAGCTGAGACTGTGCCACTGCACTCCAGCCTGGGCAACACAGCAAGACTCCATCTTTTTAAAAAAAAAAAAAAAAAAGAATGCTAGTATCAGCCAGGCACGGTGGCTCATGCCTGTAATCCCAGCACTTTAGGAGGCTAAGGCAGGAGGATCACTTGAGCTCAAGAGTTTGAGACTGGCCTGGGCAACATAGTGAGATCCCATCTCTACAAAAACATTTAAAATTAGCCGGGCACAGTGGTGTACACCCGGAGTCCCAGCTACTTGGAAGGCTGAGGCAAGAGGGTTGCTTAGGCCCAGGAATTCAAGGCTGCAGTGAGCTGTGATCACACCACTGCACTCCAGCCAGAGCAACAGAGTAAGACCTTGCCTTCACAAAAAAAAAAAAAAAAACTCAGGTTCCAACCCTGGAGTTACTAAATCAGGATCTCAGAATGCAGAGATCTGGCATTTCAATAAAACTTCCCCTGGAGATTCTGATCAGCCAGGTTTGGGCCAGATGAACTCTAAGCTCACTTAAACCTTTGACATTTTATGAGTCTATTAAATCGAGTACAAAAAATGCTGAGTCCAAACTGGGCAAACAAATCCCATCTCCCTATGCCCAGCCTCCTTAAATTCAGAAAGCCACACTGCCTAGAGAGTAAGCAGAGAGAGAATTGTCATTAACCCAAAGACCATCTTTGAAAACAGACTGGCTGCGGCTGAGTGCGGTGGCACACGCCTGTCACCCCAGCCCTCTGGAAGGCCGAGGCAGGAGGACCACTTGAGCCCAGGAGTTCGAGACCAGCCTGGGCAACATGGCAAGACCCTGTCTCTATCTTTCTAAGTAAAACAAAATAAAAAGCTCAGACTGGCAGCACATGGTTCTTTCCAGCTGTTCCCATGAGCAGGCTTCAGGACAAGCCCAGGCAAAGGCAGGGAGAAATGGGGTGGGGACCCCCAGGCTCACCCCCTTGTCTGCTGCGTAGGTGGAGTTGGTCACAAAGGTCACAGGCTGGGAGGGGTCCAAGGCTTTGGTGTGAGCAATCACCATCCTGTCCACAAAAGAGAGAAGACACAGGTTCCGTCAGTCCGGGAAAGGCTCAGACACCCTCCCATCCTCTCTGTCCCATCTTCCCCTGCCAGAACACAACTGGGGGCCAGGCATGATGGCTCACATCTGTAATCCCAGCACTTCAGGAGGCTGAGGCAGGCAGATCACTGAGGTCAGGAGTTCAAGAACAGCCTGGCCAACATGGCAAAACCCCATTTCTACTAAATATACAAAAATTAGCCAGGCTTAGTGGCACGCATCTGTAACTCCAGCTACTCGGGAGGCTGAGGCACAAGAATTGCTTGAACCCGGGAGGTGGAGGTTGCAGTGAGCCGAAATCACGCTACTGCACTCCAGCCTGGGCCACAGAGCAAGACCCTGCCCCAAAACAAACAAACAAACAAACAAACAAACAAACAAACAAAAAGAAAGAAAAGAAAAAAAAACAAAAAAAAAAACAAAGCACAGAGCCGCTGCTTTCTTCCCTAACTTGAGATGTATTTTACATAAGGGCACGTTCCTCTAGTCCTAGACCAAGCTCTCTAACAACACTCTTTCTCCCCCACCCCTGAATCCAATTCCCCCAGAGGCGTAGCCACCCTGCCAGGTACACAGAGCTGAGGTCACTGGACTGAACACTGCCAAAAATGAGGTTCACTTCCTGAAATAGCCCTTGAACACAGGAGTGAATGGGCTGTGGATTCAGGTGGAATATTTATTAATGCATCAAGCAAACAGGTAGTGCGAGGTGGGAGGTAGGCATGAGGCTGGGTGCTAGGTGCTCAGTAATGACTCAAATCTAAGTCCACAGGTCCTGGGCAGTGGGAGTGGAGATGCATGCACAGAAAAACGGTGCAAGCGCCAGGCGAGGTGGCTCACGCCTAGAACCCCAGCACTTTGGGAGGCTTACTTGAGACCAGGTGCTTGAGACCAGCCTGGGCAACATAGCAAGACCTTGTTTCTACAACAAATTTAAAAATTAGGGCCGGGCATGGTGGCTCAAGCCTGTGAGCACTTTGGGAGGCCAGGGCAGGTGGATCACGAGCTCAAGAGTTCGAGACCAGCCTGGCCAACATGGTGAAACCCCATCTCAACAAAAAATAAAGAAGAAAACTAGCTGGGCATGGTGGCGTGAGCCTGTAATCCCAGCTACTCGGGAGGGTGAGGCAGGAGAACTGTTTGTACCCAGGAGGTAGAGGATGCAGTGAGCCAAGATCGCAACACTGCTCTCCAGCCTGGGAGACAGAGCAAGACTCTGACTCGTGGGGAAAAAAAATATTAAAATTTAGCCTGGCAAGGCAGCGCACGTCTGTGGTCCCAGCTATTTGGGAGGCTGAGAGGGGAGGATCGCTTAAGCCCAGGAGGTCGAGATGGCAACGAGCTATGATTGCACCACTGCACTCCAGCCTGGGCAACAGAGTGAGACCCTGACTCTGAAAAACAAACAATGAAAGAAATGTTGCGAATGGAAATGACAAATGGTGGCAGGAATTGGGCACTCTATGAGACAACAGACACATCCCCGATTGGAGAGTCAGGGACAGGCTCTTAGAAGAAATGGCCTTTATGCTGAGTCAAGTTAACCAGGAGGGATGAAGGGAAGAGGCTCCCAACAGAGGGACCAGTCTGTGCTCAGAGCTCCCAGCATCTGCCCAAGGCCTCCACAGAACAGACTGTTGTGTTTTTGTTTTGTTTTGTTTTTTTGAGATACAGAGTCTCATTCTGTAGCCCAGGCTGGAATGCAGTGGCATTATCTCAGCTCACTGCAATCTCTGCCTCCTGGTTCACCTGAGGCGGTTCTCCTGCCTCAGCCTACCTAGTAGCTGGGATTACAGACGTCCACCACCATGCCCAGCTAATTTTTGTATTTTTAGTAGAGACAGGATTCACTACCTGTTGACCAGGCTGGTCTCGAACTCCTGACCTCAGGTGATCCACCCACCTCAGCCTCCCAAACTGCTGGGATTACAGGCGTGACCCACCGCATCCGGCCTAGACTGTTGTTGAAGCTGGTTTTCTTCTTCTTTCCTCAGTTCTTTTCTTTTACATCTTCCCCCCATCATTGCTCTGCCCATCCGAAGGCTGTGGCTGGCACAGGACAGAACAGAACCTCCTAGCCTCAAGTTCCAAACCCACACTCTCCAATAGCCAGGCTCTCAGATGGGAAGCTTCAAAGCCTTGTGACAGCCTGGCTGAACCTCTCCAGCCTGGGCGCTCCCTCCATTTCCTGCCCCGGAAACAGGCATCTCCTCTGGCCACCTCCCAAAGCCTGTCTGGAAGCCTCAGGCACCCGCTCCTGGAAGCCTGTACGATTCACAACAAAGGGCCTGTCCACCCAGTCGTGCTGAGCACACCCCTATTCCCCCGAGCTCTGAATTGTCCTCTGCCCAGGCTAGGACAACATCTCAGAGCCTTCTGCCTGCTGCAGACTCGGCTCAGCCCAAATCACTCCATGAAACTGGGGTGTGGCATCTGCCTCAAGGAGCATTTCTACAACCTCTGCTGCCTCTACCACAAATGAAACTGGCTCTCACCCACTGGCTCTCGGTGACGGGCACAGTGCGGAGCCCCACAGGGAGTGTGTAGAAGTCAAAGGCCCCAGTGACTTCTGTGCAGTCAGCCGCACCTATGACAGCCAAAGCGCCAGGTGTGAGCGCCCCGACAGCCTGAGCCCCATCTGGCCTGCCCTACAGCAGGAAGACCCCTCGTGCATGCACCCCAGAAGTCGCCTCTGGGCCTGCAGAGAAGCAGCAATCAGAGGCTCTGCCCTTCACTGGCTGGCCCTGGGACCTGCCCTTCAAAATCAGGCCTTCTCCTTGACCAGACGAGGTGGCTCATGCCTGGAATCCCTACACTTTGGGACGCTAAGGCAGGAGGATCACCTGAGTCCAGGAGTTCAAGACCAGCCTGGGCAACCTAGTAAGACCCCCAACTCTATAAAAAGGATTTTTTTTTTTTGAGACAGTCTCACTCTGTCACCCAGGATAGAGTGCAGTGGCATGATCTCAATTCACTGCAGCCCCTGCCTCCTGGGTTCAAGCAATTCCCCTGCCTCAGCCTCCCGAGTAGCTGGGATTACAGACGTGCACCATCATGCCCTGCAAATTTTCATATTTTAGTAGAGACGGGGTTTCACCATGTTGGCCAGGCTGGTCTCCAACTCCTGGCCTAAAGTGATCCGCCCGCGTCAGCCTCCCGAAGTGCTGGGATTACAGGCGTGAGCCACCATGCCCGGCCTACAAAAAAAATGTTTTTAATTAGCCAGGCATGGTGGCATGTGCCTGTAGTCCCAGCTACTCAGGAGGCCAAGGGAGGAGGATTGCAGCTCAAAGCTGCAGTGAGCTGTGATCAGGCCATTGCGTTCCAGCCTGGGTGACACAGTGAGACCATCACAAATAAATAAATAAATAAATAAATAAATAAATAAATAAATAAATAAAAAATCTGGGCCTCCCACCAAGGGTGGGAAACATCAGAAAGCTCAGAAAAGCTCAGAGGACCACACCTGCCCGTTCACCTGTCCTGGGCTCCTGCTGAAGCCAGGGCTACCAGATGGGAGCAAAAGACCTCCCTTAAGCAAGTCCCAAACCACCATTACCTCCCACGAGTACAGGTAGGCGGGGTGTTCGTGCATCAGGTACGGCCACCAGAGGTTGGCACCCAGCACCTTCAGCTGGCCCTGGGTCCCAGCCTGGTTGTCCACGACTTTGTTTTCTGATTTCAAAAGACACACTTCCAACTTGAACTGGTTACTGCACTTGACGGAGATCTGGTAATTCACCAGCCCTGCAGGAGGCAAGAGAGACCAGGGCTTAGGGAGGGACATGACCTGGGTCACACAAACAGGAATGCCCCACAATGACCACTCCCAGGCACTCTCATTTGCTTCTGTTGCTTTTTTTTTTTTTTTTTTTTTTTTTGAGATAGAATCTCGCTCTGTCACCCAGGCTGGAGTGCAGTGGCATGATCTGGACTCACTGAAACCTCTGCCTCCCAGGTTCAAGTGATTCTCCTGCCTCAGCCTCTGGAATAGCTGGGATTACAGGCACCTGCCACCACATCCAGCTAATTTTTGTATTGTTAGTAGAGACCGGGTTTCACCACATTAGCCAGGATGGTCTTGATCTCCTGACCTCGTGATCCGCCTGCCTCGGCCTCCCAAAGTGCTGGGATTACAGGCTTGAGCCACCGTGCCCGGCCCTGAACCAATGCGCCCGGCCCGCTTTTTTTTAATTTAATTTTTTAATTTTTTTTTTTTTTGAGATGGAGTCTCACTCTGTCACCCAGGCTGGAGTGTAGTGCTGCGATCCTGACTCACTGCAACCTCCACCTCTGGAGTTCAGGTGATTCTCCTGCCTCAGCCTTCCGAGTACCTGGGAATACAGGAATGCACCACCATGCCCGGCGAATTTTTGTATTTTTAGTAGAGACGGAGTTTTGCCATGTTGGCCAGGCTGGTCTCGAACTCCTGATCTCAGGTGACCCACCCGCCTCAGTCTCCCAATAGATTAGATATATTATTAACGAATTGCTTCCTTTAACACGCTATTCATTGAATTTTCCAGTAAACCACAATTACTAATTACTCCTGAAATCAGAAAAGAGGTTAAAAAGATTTTATAACAGTATCTTATGAAATCTACTACTTTCAAGTAATAGTAGTTGAATTACCAAAACCCGTCACTCAAGCCAATGACTACAATTAAGATATCAGTAATATTTCCTAGATAAATAAAGTCAATTAATTATATTTGCATCTGGGAAATAGAGAAAGTACATATAAGCCATGATTTTGAAGTCAAAAGAGAGAGAATATTTGGCAAGGAGGGGTGAGTTATAGTATGTAATTATAACATATAGTAGTTTTTTGTATGCTGGTAACTAATTTTAATTTCCTACATTTTTATGTAGATTTCTGCTATTCTTGTCCTATTTTCCTAATCACCTTTCTATATGGATGACTACATAAGTCTGAGAATACCAAAAGAGACAGACACAGAACCAATCGGATTCCTTTCTTCTTGAAGCTTCTGCACAGCAGAAGAAACTATCAACAGAGTGAACAGACAACCTACAGAATAGGAGAAAATTGTTGCAACAATGCATGTGACAAAGATCTAATGTCCAACACTGATAAGGAACTTAAACAAATTTACAAGAAAAAAAAAATCTCATTAGAAAGTGGGCAAAGGACATAAACAGACACTTCAAAAGAAGACACACATGCGGCCAACAAGCATATGAAAAAAAGCCCAATATCACTGATCATTAGAGAAATGCAAATCAAAACCACAATGGCATACCATCTCACACCAGTCAGAATGGTTATTATTAAAAAGTCAACGCCGGGCATGGTGGCTCACGCCTATAATCCCAGCACTTCAGGAGGCCAAGGCAGGCAGATCGCATGAGGTCAGGAGTTCCAGACCAGCCTGGACAACCTGGCGAAATCCCGTCTCTACTAAAAATACAAAAATTAGCCCAGCGTGGTGGCGGGCGCCTGTAATCCCAGCTACTCAGGATGCTGAGGCAGGAGAATCGCTTGAACCCGGGAGGCAGAGGTTGTAGTGAGCCGCGATCATGCCACTGCACTCTCCAGCTTAGGTGACAGAGCGAGACTCTGTCTCAAAAAAAAAAAAAAAAAAAAATATTTGAATTTTGTTTAAATCGCTAACACATACTGGGCATTTAATAACAAAAAAAAGGACATGAGATTGTGATCCTTAGGAGGGTTTGAGAGGCATTTCACTAGGGTTCAACATAGAGCAGTCTGAAACATACTGTAATAATTTAATCCAATGGCTCATCTACAGCACCTAAAAATATTACAGCAGATTCTCATTATTCAGTGTAGTTACGGTCTAGAAAGTTCCATGAACAAATAAAAAGTTAGGTTTCAGCAAGCTACTGGTCACATTTTTGTAAGCTTACCAACACCTACTTTTGTTGTATGTGTGCTTATTTAATATATATATTGTTGGCCAGGCACAGTGGCTAATGCCTGTAATCCCAGCACTTTGGGAAGCCAAGGCGGGCAGATCATTTGAGGTCTGGAGCTCGAGACCAGCCTGGCCAACGTGGTGAAACCCCGTCTCTACTAAAACTACAAAATATATATATATATATATATATATATATATATATATATATATATTAGCCAGGCATGGTGGCGCATGCCTGTAGACTTAGCTACTTGGGAGGCTAAGGCAGGGGAATCGCTTGAACCCAGGAGGCAGAGGTTGCAGTGAGCCAAGACTGCACCACTGCACTCCAGCCTGAGCAACAGAGTGAGACTCTATCTCAAAAAAAATAATAATAATTAATTAAATGAAGAATAAATAAATAATACACATTGTTCATTCATTAACACTGAACTCACAGCCAATGGCACTACAGCACTCACGCCTGAAGGAGTTTATTCAATGCATCTATTTCCTCTGTAAGACACATCACAGACTTCTTGGACTTGTGAATGCTAAGCAGCACTTCAGCACTATGCTTGGGGGTTAATTTAAATGGCAAAACAACCAACAAACAGTACAAAAACAGGAAAAGCATGGCATTAAATAGACCACAAAAAGGATACCTGACTATTGTATGAGAGCTGAAAAAGAAGGCAGAATATCATCCTGTTCAAACTCAAATTCTTTGACACTCTGCGCAAACACATGACTATGAAAGTGCTGTGAGTACTGATTTGGGGGTTACAAAAAATAGTAGGTGAGTTCACAAATACAAAAGCTGAAAACAAGGAGGATCGACTGTATTTTCGTAGACAATCTAATCTCAGAAGATTTCAATTCAGACAAAAATCATGAGAATTACTGTATTACGAAAGGGCACTAGATAGGGGGAAAAGAGTAAAAATCACAATTAAAACAAAGGTTCAAAATTCTGCAGCAACCATATCCAGTTACACTTTAATATGTTTGTGGCAGACTACATTATTGTTCCCAACTCATCACCCCTCCCTATATCTAAAACCTTTCCCCAAGACAATGCAGTTCCTCCTGCTAGAGATCAGGTATATTTATCTATACTATCAATGTTAGCCATGGACAAGGTATGTGCTTTGGCTGACTGAATGTTAGTGGACATGATAGAAGCAATGGCTTAAAATGTACTTCCAGAACTGGAGTTTCCTTGTGATTCTATCACTGTGACAAAAACACATTCTCAGGTAGTCCACTGATCCAAGGGGGAACAAACACACAGAAATCATACCTAGACTCTATCTGCAGCTTGCAGCCTCACCAAGCCAAGAACAGTCAACTCACGGATATGTTAGCAAAAATAAATGTTTTTCGTACCTTAAGTTTTATATAATTATTGACCTATAGTTAACTGATATACAATATACATTAATCTTAAAATATCATTATCCCATTAAAAATATTTACATTAAAAACTGAGACCACTTTCTTTCCTCCTTTTTTTTTTTTTTTTTTTTTTAAATTAAGAGACAGGGTGTCTCAATGTTGCCCAAGCTGGAGTTCAGTGGCTAGTGGCTATTCACAAGAACGATCATCGCACACTACCTCAAACTCCTGGGATCAAGCAATCCTCCTGCCTCAGCTTTCCAAGTCGCTGGGACTATAAGTGTGTACCACAGCATGTCAGCTCTCTCTCTCCTTCTTGACCTAAAGCCTAGCATAAAATTAGCTAAGTAGAATGTTTCCAAAGATGCCTGCATCAGTATCTCCCGTCCCACATAATTTCTGCTTGATTTTGCCATTCACCCATAAAATGGTGGGATCTACCTCCCCTCCTTGCAAATTTGAGCTGGCCCTCTGATCCTGTCTAAGATCTGAAGCCAGATATTAAGGTACTTCATTAATTTCCATGTTTGTCCTCCATGCAACCTAGCAATCAAGCCAGAAGTCAAAACATACTGACATAGTTTGGATGGGTCCCCACCTAAATCTCACCTTGCATTGTAATAATTCCCACGTGTCAAGGGTGGGGCCAGGTGCAGATAACTGAATCATGGGGATGGTTCCCCCCATACTGTTCTCGTGGTAGTGACTAAGTCTCATGAGATCTGATGGTTTTATAAATGGGAGCTCCCCTGCACATGCTCTCTCCTGCCTGCCACTATGTGAGACATGCTTTTGCACCTCCTTGCCTTCCACCATGATTGTGAGGCCTCCCCAGCCATGCAGAACTGTGAGTCAATTCAACCTCTTTCCTTTATAAATTACCCAGTCTCAGGTATGTCTTTATTTGCAGTGTGAGAACAGACTAATACAATAAGTTGATACCAGTAGAGTGGGGTGCTGCTGTAAAGATACCCGAACATGTGGAAGCAACTTTGGAAATGGGTAACAGGGAGAGGCTGGAACAGTTTGGAAGGCTCAGAAGAGGATAGGAAAATGTGGGAAAGTTTGGAACTTCCTAGAGACTTGTTGAATGGCTTTGACCAAAATGTTAATAGTGATATGGACAATAAGGTCCAGGCGGAGGTGGTCTCAGAGGGAGATGAGGAATTTGTTGGGAAATGGAGTAAAGTCACTCTTACTATGCAAAGACACTGCAGGCACTGTGCACCTGTGTTAGAAACGGGCATAAGATAGGCGGGAAAGAGTGAAAATAAGAATTTTTTTCTAGAGTTCCCTAGAGATCTGTGGAACTTTGAACTTGAGAGAGATGATTTAAGGTATCTGACAGAAGAAATTTCTAAGCAGCAAAGCATTCGAGAAGAAGCAGAGCATAAAAGTTCAGAAAATTTGTAGCCTGATGATGCAACAGAAAAGAAAAATCTATTTTCTCAGGAGACTGGGTTGTAGAAATTTGCATAAGTAATGAGGAGCCAAATGTTAATCACCAAGACAATGGGGCAAATGTCTCCAGGGCATGTTAGAGACCCTCACAGCAGACCCTCCCATCACAGGCCAGGAGGCTTAGAAGGAAAAATGCTCTTGTGAGTCCAGAACCCCCTGCTGTGTGCAGCCTAGGAACCTGGTGCCCTGCATCCCAGCTGCTCCTGCCATAGGTAAAAGGGGCCAAGGTACACCTCAGGCCATGGCTTCAGAGGGTGCAAGTTCCAAGCCTTTCAGGTTCTAGGTGGTGTTAAGCCTGCAGATGCACCGAAGTCAAGAATTAACGTTCATGAACCTCCGCCTAGATTTCAGAAGATGTATGAAAATGCCTGGAAATCCAGGCAAAAGTTTGCTGTGCGGGGCAGCGGGGGGCCCTCATGGATAACCTCTGCTAGGGCAGTGTCAAAGGGAAATATGGGGTTGGAGCCCCCACACAGAGTCCCCACTGGGGTACTGCCAAGCAGAGCTGTCACAAAAGGGCCACCATCCTCCAGACCCCAGAATGGTAGATCCACTGACAGCTTGCACTGTGTGCCTGGAAAAGCTGCAGACACTCAATGCAGCCAGAAGGGGGGGCTGTACCCTGCAAAGCCACAGGGGCGGGGCTGCCCAAGACCCTGGGAACCCACTTCTTGCATCACCTAGATGTGACACATGGAGTCAAAGGAGGTCATTTTGGAGCTCTAAGATTTGCCTGCTGGGTTTTGGACTTGCATGGGGCCTGTAGCTCTTTCGCTTTGGCCAATTTCTCCCGTTTGAAACGGGTGTATTTACCCAATGCCTGTATCCCTGTGTATCTAGAAAATAACTAACTTGCTTTTGGTTTTACAGGCTCACAGGTGGAAGGGACTTGCCTTGTCTCAGATGAGACTTTGGACTATGGAATTTTGAGTTAATGCTGAAATAAGAGTTTGGGGGACTTAGGGGAAGGCACGATTGCTTTTGAAATATGAGGACATGAGATTTGGGAGGGGCCGGGGAAGAATTATATGGTTTGGCTCTGTCCCCACCCAAATCTCATCTTGAATTGTAACAATTCCCATGTGTCAAGGGTGGGGCCAGGTGGAGATAACTGAATCATGGAGGCAGTTTCCCCCATGCTGTTCTCATGGTAGTGAATAAGTCTCATGAGGTCTGATGGTTTTATAAATGGATGTTCCCCTGCACATGCTCTCTCCTGCCCACCATGTCTGACTAAATTTTGTATTTTTACTAGAGACGGGGTTTCACTATGTTGGCCAGGCTGGCCTCCAACTCCTGATCTCGTGATCCGTCCACCCCGACCTCCCAAAGTGCTAGGATTATAGGCATAAGCCACCACACCCGGCCTCTTTTTTTTCTTTTTCTTTTTTTTATCTGGAGACTGAGTTTTGCACTCGTTGCCCAGGCTGGAGTGCAATGGTGCGATCTCAGCTCACTGCAGTCTCCACCTCAGCAGGAGAGCAGGAATCTTCAGTGATCCACGGGCAGATCTGCAGCCATTGTGGGCACCTGTTCCTCCCGCGACCTTTGTGCCCACGTCTCTCCCTCCAGTACCTATTGCACGACCCCCCCCACGTCCGCCTCCTGCCATTGCCAGCAAGTGCCTTGCGCGGGTACCTGGCTGCGCTTATTAATCCATTATGGTCGCTCTGTCACTGGTGCCATTATGTGCTCACATGCCCACTCCCTCAGGTTTAGAAGTCGCGTCGCCCGGCAACAGAACAATCTGCTGGCTTAGCCTTTGGCCAAGTTGGCAGCTGGACGAGGACGCTCAGAGCCCAGCTCTCGAGAGTTCAAGTATCCGACAGTTCCCCACTGCTCCCAGGAGCGGTTACCCGGGCACTCTGTGCCCCTCATTCCTGTTTGGGCCAAGGCCGAGGACCTGCGAGTAGGGCTCAGTTGCCTAGAGCCCCTTCAGCCCATCGCCCAGTTCACTTTGCTTGTGGGATCTCCCCGTTGCTCCTGCCCCTGGACTGAGTGGCAGGCCATCCTACAAACACCCGGACACTCAACATCAGTGGTGTCAAGACAACTCTAAGAAGGTTTTCCGTGATCCTGCAAGACCTGTGTTCCATCCTGGTGATTCTGTCTCCAATTTCACTGCACAGGTACCACAGTAAGCCAGTGCTGTGTGCTCCGAATTCCAGGGCATCCCCCAGCTCAGCCACTACACTGAGCACAAGGACTCTGTGGGGCCCAGGAGCAGGTAGTCACCCCTTTGGGGTCCTCAACACCCGGCTGTCCCCAGACTTGTGTCCAGGGAAGATAGTGTTGAGGGCCCTCAAGGAGAGCAGGGCAGGGATGCCTGAGCAGGACAAGGACCCCAGAGTCCAAGAAAATCCTGCTGATCAGAGAACGGTCCCCGAGGTCACCGGGGATGCACGGTCTGCATTTTGGCCCCTGCGGGACAATGGAGGCCTCTCTCCCTTTGTGCCCAGGCCCGGGCCTCTGCAGACAGACCTCGATGCCCAGAGCTCAGAAATCAGATATAACCAGACATCCCAGACATCCTGGACGAGCTCGAGCACAAAACGAAATGCCATCTCCAGCTCCTACAGCTCCACGGGAGGCTTGCCGGGGCTAAAGCAGAGGAGGGGACCAGCCTCATCCCGCTGCCAGCTGACCCTCAGTTACTCAAAGACAGTGAGTGAGGACAGGCCTCAGGCTGTCTCTTCGGGTCACACACGGTGTGAAAAGGCGGCAGATACAGCACCAGGGCAGACACTCGCCCCAAGGGGTGGCTCCCCCAGATCCCAGGCCTCTAGGCCCCGTAGACGCAAGATTCCCCTGCTGCCAAGCAGGCGAGGGGAGCCTTTGATGCTGCCACCTCCCTTAGAGCTGGGGTACCGGGTCACGGCGGAAGACCTGCACCTGGAAAAACAGGCAGCATTCCAGCGCATCAACAGTGCACTGCACGTTGAGGACAAGGCCATCTCGGACTGCAGACCCTCACGGCCTTCCCACACTTTGTCCTCACTTGCAACAGGGGCTTCGGGTGGGCCTCCCCTTTCTAAAGCACCCACTATGGATGCACAGCAGGACAGACCCAAGTCCCAAGACTGCCTGGGCCTAGTGGCCCCCCTAGCATCTGCTGCAGAGGTCTCCTCTACAGCTCCCGTGTCTGGGAAGAAGCAGAGACCACCAGGACCCCTGTTCTCCTCCTCAGATACCCTTCCTGCCACCTCTTCCCACTCCCGGGACTCAGCCCAGGTCACCTCGATGATTCCTGCCCCCTTCACAGCTGCAAGCAGGGATGCCGGCATGAGAAGAACAAGGTCGGCCCCTGCAGCTGCCGCAGCAGCCCCTCCCCCCTCCACATTGAACCCCACGTCGGGGTCACTACTCAATGCAGTGGATGGAGGCCCCTCACATTTCTTGGCCTCAGCCACAGCTGCAGCACGTGCCCAGAGGTCAGAAGTGAGATATAACCAGAGATCCCAGACCACCCGGACCAGATCCTGCCTCAAACGAAATGCCAGCTCCAGCTCCCACAGCTCTACGGAAGGCCTCCCGGAACTAAAGCGGAGGAGGGGGCCAGCCTCATCCCACTGCCAGCTGGCCCACAGTTCCTCAAAGACAGTGAGTGAGGACGGAGCTCAGGCTGTCTCTACGGGTCACCGCTGTGAAAAGAAGGCAGACACAGCACCAGGGCAGACACTCGCCCCCAGGGGTGGCTCCCCCAGATCCCAGGCCTCTAGGCCCCACATCAACAGTGCACTGCACGTTGAGGACAAGGCCATCTCGGACTGCAGACCCTCACGGCCTTCCCACACTTTGTCCTCACTTGCAACAGGGGCTTCGCGTGGGCCTCCCGTTTCTAAAGCACCCACTATGGATGCACAGCAGGACAGACCCAAGTCCCAAGACTGCCTGGGCCTAGTGGCCCCCCTAGCATCTGCTGCAGAGGTCCCCTCTACAGCTCCCGTGTCTGGGAAGAAGCACAGACCACCAGGACCCCTGTTCTCCTCCTCAGATACCCTTCCTGCCACCTCTTCCCACTCCCGGGACTCAGCCCAGGTCACCTCGATGATTCCTGCCCCCTTCACAGCTGCAAGCAGGGATGCCGGCATGAGAAGAACAAGGTCGGCTCCTGCAGCTGCCGCAGCAGCCCCTCCCCCCTCCACATTGAACCCCACGTCGGGGTCACTACTCAATGCAGTGGATGGAGGCCCCTCACATTTCTTGGCCTCAGCCACAGCTGCAGCACGTGCCCAGAGGTCAGAAGTGAGATATAACCAGAGATCCCAGACCTCCCGGACCAGATCCTGCCTCAAACGAAATGCCAGCTCCAGCTCCCACAGCTCTACGGAAGGCCTCCCGGAACTAAAGCGGAGGAGGGGGCCAGCCTCATCCCACTGCCAGCTGGCCCACAGTTCCTCAAAGACAGTGAGTGAGGACGGAGCTCAGGCTGTCTCTACGGGTCACCGCTGTGAAAAGAAGGCAGATACAGCACCAGGGCAGACACTCGCCCCCAGGGGTGGCTCCCCCAGATCCCAGGCCTCTAGGCCCCACATCAACAGTGCACTGCACGTTGAGGACAAGGCCATCTCGGACTGCAGACCCTCACGGCCTTCCCACACTTTGTCCTCACTTGCAACGGGGGCTTCGGGTGGGCCTCCCGTTTCTAAAGCACCCGCTATGGATGCACAGCAGGACAGACCCAAGTCCCAAGACTGCCTGGGCCTAGTGGCCCCCCTAGCATCTGCTGCAGAGGTCTCCTCTACAGCTCCCGTGTCTGGGAAGAAGCACAGACCACCAGGACCCCTGTTCTCCTCCTCAGATCCCCTTCCTGCCACCTCTTCCCACTCCCGGGACTCAGCCCAGGTCACCTCGCTGATTCCTGCCCCCTTCACAGCTGCAAGCAGGGATGCCAGCATGAGAAGAACAAGGCCTGGCACCTCCGCTCCTGCAGCTGCAGCAGCAGCCCCTCCCCCCTCCACATTGAACCCCACGTCGGGGTCACTACTCAATGCAGTGAATGGAGGCCCCTCACATTTCTTGGCCTCAGCCACAGCTGCAGCACGTGCCCAGAGGTCAGAAGTGAGATATAACCAGAGATCCCAGACCTCCCGGACCAGATCCTGCCTCCAAGGAAATGCCAGCTCCAGCTCCCACAGTTCTACGGAAGGCCTCCCGGAACTAAAGCGGAGGAGGGGGCCAGCCTCATGCCACTGCCAGCTGGCCCTCAGTTCCTCAAACACAGTGAGTGAGGACGGACCTCAGGCTGTCTCTTCGGGTCACACCCGCTGTCAAAAGGCAGATACAGCACCAGGGCAGACACTCGCCCCCAGGGGTGGCTCCCCCAGATCCCAGGCCTCTAGGCCCCACATCAACAGTGCACTGCACGTTGAGGGCAAGGCCATCTCGGACTGCAGACCCTCACGGCCTTCCCACACTTTGTCCTCACTTGCAACGGGGGCTTCGCGTGGGCCTCCCCTTTCTAAAGCACCCACTATGGATGCACAGCAGGACAGACCCAAGTCCCAAGACTGCCTAGGCCTAGTGGCCCCCCTAGCATCTGCTGCAGAGGTCTCCTCTACAGCTCCCGTGTCTGGGAAGAAGCACAGACCACCAGGACCCCTGTTCTCCTCCTCAGATCCCCTTCCTGCCACCTCTTCCCACTCCGGGGACTCAGCCCAGGACACCTCGCTGATTCCTGCCCCCCTCACACCTGCAAGCAGGGATGCCGGCGTGAGAAGAATGTTTTGTGTTCGAAATTGTTTGAGGGGTTTGGGTTTATTTTTGTTGGTTTTTTCTTTTTTGTTTTTGCTTACATGGGCATCCTTCAGCTTTTAATAATCTGAAAAGCTCTATTTACCCATTGTCAATGTGTATAAATTAATCTGAGTCAATTTTATACAATAAAAGGTGAACTTTTATGCATGAAACAATAATTTAACAAAAAATGTACCGGAAGAAGAATGTTCATTACAAATATAGGAAACATAAATATTACCAAATATTGGCAAGCACTAAAATGTTCAGAAATATAAGTCTACTACAGTTATAGCTCTCTCAAGCAAAAAAATAGCAGAGAAAAACTTAGTTTACCTTAGGGGCTATTTATTTACTTAGGGATTTGTTAAAAGGTCAAATGGGGTCACACAGAATACTAAGAAGAGCTGTTCACCCAGGCCTCACTAAGAACTCTTCTTCATTCAGTAGCTATATAGTAACATGACAACTGCTCCTACGACCCAAAGAGGAACTACAGCAACTACTCTTTAGCATCTGTTGCTCCCAACTCTGCTTTGCAATTATATGACTCAAGCATTCTGGCTCCGTTAACTATTACTGCTGTTACTCCCAATTAAATTCCCTCTAAAAAATAAAAATTTTTAAAGCTCTAATTTAAGCTCTCTGCTGCCTCATGACTTCAATTCCATCAGAGTTATGCATTGTTTCCTCTGTACATCTTTGCTCTGCTTCCATTGCTAATTCCCTAGTAAAGTGTTGTATATTCAAAGTTCCAAAGAAACAGAATATCCAAGACATCACCAATCATCCAAAACACAGTGTAGGAGGCCACAGTTAAGAGAAGCAAGACCATTAGCTCTTTTTATAGGCTCGAGAACAACAGGATGCTTTGGTCCTGTATCAGCAGGACGCTTTTCGGGTAGATCCTACTGCCACCCTAGCTATGGGCACATGTCAGAGTCCCATGTAATAAAGGAGACAAAAGGAAACCACCACGAGTATAAACTAAGAAAAGTACTCCAAGGTTTCTAAGGATGGAGCTGTATAACTCACTTTGCCCCATTTGTTACTTCTCCACGGTACTTACCACCACCTATTACATATATTTTGTTTATAGTCAGTCTTCCCTCATTACAATGAAAGTTCCGTGAGGATAGGACTAGACAGTCAGCCCTCAGTATCCATGGAGGACTAGTTTCAGGATCTCCTGAGGATAACAAAGGATACTCAAGTCCCTGATATAAAATGACATAGTATTTGCACATCACCTTTGCACATCCTCCCATATACTTCATATCAACTCTAGATCACTCATAATATCCGATGTAAATGTCATGCAAATAGTTATTGTACTATATTGTGTAAGGAATAAGGACAAGAAAAAAGTCTGTACATGTTCAGTACAGACGCAATTTTTTTTCCCAATATTTCCAATCTTTGGTTGGCTTAACAGATGTAGAACCCAGGAATAAGTTCTGGTGTCCTATTGCATAGTAGGATGAGTATAGTTAACAATAACATATTATATATTTGAAAATAGCCAGAAGAGTAGATTTTGAATTTTCTCCCTACAGAAAAATCATTATGCAAATTACCCTGATTTGATCATTACACATTGAGTACATGTATTAAAACATCACATTGTACCCCATATATATGTACAATTATTATGTGTCAATAAAAATTTAATGTCAATATGTGAAATAAAATGAAAAAATAAAAATTTTTAAAGCTGTAATTATCTCCATCTGGTAGGAATATATATAATCTGAAATAAAAAATATATTTGTAATTGTTAGGACAAAATAGATTATACATTAAGTCTGCAAATTATAAATTATAAAATTCTCACAGAAACTGAAAAATTATTGATACTGTTAAATATTTAAAAAGCTGTCCTTGGAGAGAAAGAAACCTATCAGATTTACATCAACAAGTGTAATATATCAGCCTATTACCATCTGCTACAGACTGCATGATTGTGTTCCCTCAAAATTCATATGATAGGCCAGGCGCGGTGGCTCATGCCTGTAATCCCAGCACTTTGGGAGGCCGAGGTGGGTGGATCACGAGGTCAGGAGATCGAGATCATCCTGGCTAACATGGTAAAACCCCGTCTCTACTAAAAATACAAAAAAATTAGCCGGGCGCAGTGGCGGGCGCCTTAGTCCCAGCTACTGAGGAGGCTGACGCAGGAGAATGGCGTGAACCCAGGAGGCGGAGCTTGTAGAGAGCCGAGATTGTGCCACTGCACTCCAGCCTGGGTGACAGACAGAGCGAGACTCTGTCTCAAAAAAAAAAAAAAAAAAATTCATATGATAAAGCCCTAACCCCCAAGGTGAGGATACTGGGAGGCGTGGCCTTTAGGAGAGAATTACGTTTAGATGAGGTCATGAGAATAGAGCCCCTATGGTGGCATTACTTCCTTTATAAGAAGAGACACTAGAGCTGCTTTTCTCCCTACCATGTGAGGATACTGAGAGAAGATGGCCATTTCCAATCTAGGAAGCAGGCCCTCTTTAAGAAACGTAATTTGCCAACACTTTGATCTTGCACTTCCAGTCTCCACAACTGTGAGAAATATCTGTTTTTTTTGTTTGTTTGTTTTTGTTTTTTTTGAGACAGAGTCTCATTCTGTCATCCAGGCTGGAGTACAGTGGTGCGATCATGGCTCACTGCAACCTCCGCCTCCCAGGTTCAAGCAATTCTCCCACCTCAGCCTCCCAAGTAGCTCAGACTACAGGCGTGCACCACCATGCCCAGCTAATTTTCGTAGAGACAAGGTTTTGCCATGCTGCCCAGGCTAGTCTCAAACTCCTGAGCTCAAGTTATCCACCTGCCTCGGCCTCCCAAAGTGTTAGGAATACAGGCATAAGCCACCATGCCGGGTCAAAATATCTACTGTTTAAGCTACCTAATTTATGGTATTCTGTTTTAGCAGCTGAAGCAGACTTTTTTTTTTTTTTTTTTTTGAGATGGAGTCTCGCTCTGTCCCCCAGGCTGGAGTGCAGTGGCGCCAATCTCGGCTCACTGCAAACTCTGCCTCCCAGGTTCACGCCATTCTCCTGCCTCAGCCTCCTGAGTAGCTGGGACTGCAGGCGCCCGCCACCACGCCCGGCTAATTTTTTGTATTTTTAATAGAGATGGGGGTTCACCGTCTTAGTAAGGATGGTCTCGATCTCCTGACCTAATGATCTGCCCGCCTCGGCCTCCCAAAGTGCTGGGATTACAGGCGTGAGCCACCACGCCCGGCCAATTTTTATTTTATCTTATTTAAATAACCACATGTGGCTAGTGGCTAATGTATTGAACACTACAGCTGTAGACAATATGAAATAAATATAAAGCAGTCTCAACTTTGGAAAAACAGAAGACTCTTACTGCCTCATAATATAGACGAAAAATGAAATACTAAGTTAAGTAAAATGTTCTTTAAAGAACAAAAACAAAAGAAAACCTAATGAAAGCTATAAAAGTCCATTGGATAATAATGCTACCAGTACTAAGGAAGTACAGCCCCTAAAAGTGACTTGCAGTCACAAATATAAAAATGACTATTCAAGTGAACTCCTAAGGTAAAAATTTCTTATTCACCATGCTCCAAAATGGTCTGTAATATTCTTCAGAGATGGCATGGTGGGAGAGGCAAGTTGGCATCTCTGCCCAGAGAGAATACACAAGCAGAAAGTTCAACACCGCTTACCTGGTGAAACCCTACAAGCGTTTCCACTCCATACTCGCTCTGAATAATGGGATTGTGATGTCTTACACCAGTTCTCAAACTGGGCGGCCAGCTGCAGCTGAATCAACTCCAGGTGCCCGTAGTTGCGATACCAAGAGTAGTAGCTGTTCACACGGATCACATCCACATACAGAGCCTAGGACCAGAGCAGCAGAGCCCGTTCAGCAACCACAAGACCGCATGACTCAGTACTCACATGCTGTGGGGGCTCCTCTGACAGAGAAGGTAAGAAGGGGATGTAATCCCAGCACTCTGGGAGGCTGAGGCAGGAGGGTGGCTTGTGGCCAGGAGTTCGAGACCAGCCTGGGCAACACAGCAAGACCCCAGCTCTACAAAAAATAGTATCAAGAAAATTAGCACGGCACAGTGGCTCATGCCTGTAATCCCAGCACATTGGGAGGCCAAGGTGGGAGGATCACTTGAGCCCAGGAGTTTGAGACCAGCCTGGGCAACATCGTAGGACTCCATTTCTACAAAACAAAACAAAAAGCCTAGAACGGGAAGAGCTGCCTCTCGGGGCTGAGAACATCCAACTGCACCAATTTAGATCCTGAAATTACCCTGCCCCACAAGCAAAAAACATGGTCACAAAGTGGCCCAAAGGAGGCAGGCCTGTGATTGCACACTGACGCTCACGACGTGTGCAGCTGGGAAGGGCTGTGAGAGGCAGAGCAGCTGCCAACACGCAGTCCTCAGCCAAAACCCAGGGCCCCCGCCACTGGAACTGACTCCTCTCCAGGCAGCACTCCCAGCACTGGGCATCCCCTCACCTTGCCCTGGAGAAGCCCTCCCACCCAAGGGGCCAATGCAGTCATTCTCGCAGATAATCTTTTTTCGCTTTATTTGGAAGACAGAGTCTCGCTCTGTTGCCCAGGCTAGAATGGAGTGGCACAATAGTGCAACCTCTGCCTCCCACGATCAAGCGCAGGCGTGGTGGCATGTGCCTGTTATCCCAGCTACTTGGGAGGCTGAGGCAGGAGAATTGCTTGAACCTGGGAGGCGGAGGTTGCAGTGAGCTGAGACTGTGCCACTGCACTCCAGCCTGGGCAACACAGCAAGACTCCATCTTTTTAAAAAAAAAAAAAAAAAAAGAATGCTAGTATCAGCCAGGCACGGTGGCTCATGCCTGTAATCCCAGCACTTTAGGAGGCTAAGGCAGGAGGATCACTTGAGCTCAAGAGTTTGAGACTGGCCTGGGCAACATAGTGAGATCCCATCTCTACAAAAACATTTAAAATTAGCCGGGCACAGTGGTGTACACCCGGAGTCCCAGCTACTTGGAAGGCTGAGGCAAGAGGGTTGCTTAGGCCCAGGAATTCAAGGCTGCAGTGAGCTGTGATCACACCACTGCACTCCAGCCAGAGCAACAGAGTAAGACCTTGCCTTCACAAAAAAAAAAAAAAAAAAACTCAGGTTCCAACCCTGGAGTTACTAAATCAGGATCTCAGAATGCAGAGATCTGGCATTTCAATAAAACTTCCCCTGGAGATTCTGATCAGCCAGGTTTGGGCCAGATGAACTCTAAGCTCACTTAAACCTTTGACATTTTATGAGTCTATTAAATCGAGTACAAAAAATGCTGAGTCCAAACTGGGCAAACAAATCCCATCTCCCTATGCCCAGCCTCCTTAAATTCAGAAAGCCACACTGCCTAGAGAGTAAGCAGAGAGAGAATTGTCATTAACCCAAAGACCATCTTTGAAAACAGACTGGCTGCGGCTGAGTGCGGTGGCACACGCCTGTCACCCCAGCCCTCTGGAAGGCCGAGGCAGGAGGACCACTTGAGCCCAGGAGTTCGAGACCAGCCTGGGCAACATGGCAAGACCCTGTCTCTATCTTTCTAAGTAAAACAAAATAAAAAGCTCAGACTGGCAGCACATGGTTCTTTCCAGCTGTTCCCATGAGCAGGCTTCAGGACAAGCCCAGGCAAAGGCAGGGAGAAATGGGGTGGGGACCCCCAGGCTCACCCCCTTGTCTGCTGCGTAGGTGGAGTTGGTCACAAAGGTCACAGGCTGGGAGGGGTCCAAGGCTTTGGTGTGAGCAATCACCATCCTGTCCACAAAAGAGAGAAGACACAGGTTCCGTCAGTCCGGGAAAGGCTCAGACACCCTCCCATCCTCTCTGTCCCATCTTCCCCTGCCAGAACACAACTGGGGGCCAGGCATGATGGCTCACATCTGTAATCCCAGCACTTCAGGAGGCTGAGGCAGGCAGATCACTGAGGTCAGGAGTTCAAGAACAGCCTGGCCAACATGGCAAAACCCCATTTCTACTAAATATACAAAAATTAGCCAGGCTTAGTGGCACGCATCTGTAACTCCAGCTACTCGGGAGGCTGAGGCACAAGAATTGCTTGAACCCGGGAGGTGGAGGTTGCAGTGAGCCGAAATCACGCTACTGCACTCCAGCCTGGGCCACAGAGCAAGACCCTGCCCCAAAAAAACAAACAAACAAACAAACAAACAAACAAACAAACAAACAAACAAAAAGAAAGAAAAGAAAAAAAAACAAAAAAAAAAAACAAAGCACAGAGCCGCTGCTTTCTTCCCTAACTTGAGATGTATTTTACATAAGGGCACGTTCCTCTAGTCCTAGACCAAGCTCTCTAACAACACTCTTTCTCCCCCACCCCTGAATCCAATTCCCCCAGAGGCGTAGCCACCCTGCCAGGTACACAGAGCTGAGGTCACTGGACTGAACACTGCCAAAAATGAGGTTCACTTCCTGAAATAGCCCTTGAACACAGGAGTGAATGGGCTGTGGATTCAGGTGGAATATTTATTAATGCATCAAGCAAACAGGTAGTGCGAGGTGGGAGGCAGGCATGAGGCTGGGTGCTAGGTGCTCAGTAATGACTCAAATCTAAGTCCACAGGTCCTGGGCAGTGGGAGTGGAGATGCATGCACAGAAAAACGGTGCAAGCGCCAGGCGAGGTGGCTCACGCCTAGAACCCCAGCACTTTGGGAGGCTTACTTGAGACCAGGTGCTTGAGACCAGCCTGGGCAACATAGCAAGACCTTGTTTCTACAACAAATTTAAAAATTAGGGCCGGGCATGGTGGCTCAAGCCTGTGAGCACTTTGGGAGGCCAGGGCAGGTGGATCACGAGCTCAAGAGTTCGAGACCAGCCTGGCCAACATGGTGAAACCCCATCTCAACAAAAAATAAAGAAGAAAACTAGCTGGGCATGGTGGCGTGAGCCTGTAATCCCAGCTACTCGGGAGGGTGAGGCAGGAGAACTGTTTGTACCCAGGAGGTAGAGGATGCAGTGAGCCAAGATCGCAACACTGCTCTCCAGCCTGGGAGACAGAGCAAGACTCTGACTCGTGGGGAAAAAAAATATTAAAATTTAGCCTGGCAAGGCAGCGCACGTCTGTGGTCCCAGCTATTTGGGAGGCTGAGAGGGGAGGATCGCTTAAGCCCAGGAGGTCGAGATGGCAACGAGCTATGATTGCACCACTGCACTCCAGCCTGGGCAACAGAGTGAGACCCTGACTCTGAAAAACAAACAATGAAAGAAATGTTGCGAATGGAAATGACAAATGGTGGCAGGAATTGGGCACTCTATGAGACAACAGACACATCCCCGATTGGAGAGTCAGGGACAGGCTCTTAGAAGAAATGGCCTTTATGCTGAGTCAAGTTAACCAGGAGGGATGAAGGGAAGAGGCTCCCAACAGAGGGACCAGTCTGTGCTCAGAGCTCCCAGCATCTGCCCAAGGCCTCCACAGAACAGACTGTTGTGTTTTTGTTTTGTTTTGTTTTTTTGAGATACAGAGTCTCATTCTGTAGCCCAGGCTGGAATGCAGTGGCATTATCTCAGCTCACTGCAATCTCTGCCTCCTGGTTCACCTGAGGCGGTTCTCCTGCCTCAGCCTACCTAGTAGCTGGGATTACAGACGTCCACCACCATGCCCAGCTAATTTTTGTATTTTTAGTAGAGACAGGATTCACTACCTGTTGACCAGGCTGGTCTCGAACTCCTGACCTCAGGTGATCCACCCACCTCAGCCTCCCAAACTGCTGGGATTACAGGCGTGACCCACCGCATCCGGCCTAGACTGTTGTTGAAGCTGGTTTTCTTCTTCTTTCCTCAGTTCTTTTCTTTTACATCTTCCCCCCATCATTGCTCTGCCCATCCGAAGGCTGTGGCTGGCACAGGACAGAACAGAACCTCCTAGCCTCAAGTTCCAAACCCACACTCTCCAATAGCCAGGCTCTCAGATGGGAAGCTTCAAAGCCTTGTGACAGCCTGGCTGAACCTCTCCAGCCTGGGCGCTCCCTCCATTTCCTGCCCCGGAAACAGGCATCTCCTCTGGCCACCTCCCAAAGCCTGTCTGGAAGCCTCAGGCACCGGCTCCTGGAAGCCTGTACGATTCACAACAAAGGGCCTGTCCACCCAGTCGTGCTGAGCACACCCCTATTCCCCCGAGCTCTGAATTGTCCTCTGCCCAGGCTAGGACAACATCTCAGAGCCTTCTGCCTGCTGCAGACTCGGCTCAGCCCAAATCACTCCATGAAACTGGGGTGTGGCATCTGCCTCAAGGAGCATTTCTACAACCTCTGCTGCCTCTACCACAAATGAAACTGGCTCTCACCCACTGGCTCTCGGTGACGGGCACAGTGCGGAGCCCCACAGGGAGTGTGTAGAAGTCAAAGGCCCCAGTGACTTCTGTGCAGTCAGCCGCACCTATGACAGCCAAAGCGCCAGGTGTGAGCGCCCCGACAGCCTGAGCCCCATCTGGCCTGCCCTACAGCAGGAAGACCCCTCGTGCATGCACCCCAGAAGTCGCCTCTGGGCCTGCAGAGAAGCAGCAATCAGAGGCTCTGCCCTTCACTGGCTGGCCCTGGGACCTGCCCTTCAAAATCAGGCCTTCTCCTTGACCAGACGAGGTGGCTCATGCCTGGAATCCCTACACTTTGGGACGCTAAGGCAGGAGGATCACCTGAGTCCAGGAGTTCAAGACCAGCCTGGGCAACCTAGTAAGACCCCCAACTCTATAAAAAGGATTTTTTTTTTTTGAGACAGTCTCACTCTGTCACCCAGGATAGAGTGCAGTGGCATGATCTCAATTCACTGCAGCCCCTGCCTCCTGGGTTCAAGCAATTCCCCTGCCTCAGCCTCCCGAGTAGCTGGGATTACAGACGTGCACCATCATGCCCTGCAAATTTTCATATTTTAGTAGAGACAGGGTTTCACCATGTTGGCCAGGCTGGTCTCCAACTCCTGGCCTAAAGTGATCCGCCCGCGTCAGCCTCCCGAAGTGCTGGGATTACAGGCGTGAGCCACCATGCCCGGCCTACAAAAAAAATGTTTTTAATTAGCCAGGCATGGTGGCATGTGCCTGTAGTCCCAGCTACTCAGGAGGCCAAGGGAGGAGGATTGCAGCTCAAAGCTGCAGTGAGCTGTGATCAGGCCATTGCGTTCCAGCCTGGGTGACACAGTGAGACCATCACAAATAAATAAATAAATAAATAAATAAATAAATAAATAAATAAATAAAAAATCTGGGCCTCCCACCAAGGGTGGGAAACATCAGAAAGCTCAGAAAAGCTCAGAGGACCACACCTGCCCGTTCACCTGTCCTGGGCTCCTGCTGAAGCCAGGGCTACCAGATGGGAGCAAAAGACCTCCCTTAAGCAAGTCCCAAACCACCATTACCTCCCACGAGTACAGGTAGGCGGGGTGTTCGTGCATCAGGTACGGCCACCAGAGGTTGGCACCCAGCACCTTCAGCTGGCCCTGGGTCCCAGCCTGGTTGTCCACGACTTTGTTTTCTGATTTCAAAAGACACACTTCCAACTTGAACTGGTTACTGCACTTGACGGAGATCTGGTAATTCACCAGCCCTGCAGGAGGCAAGAGAGACCAGGGCTTAGGGAGGGACATGACCTGGGTCACACAAACAGGAATGCCCCACAATGACCACTCCCAGGCACTCTCATTTGCTTCTGTTGCTTTTTTTTTTTTTTTTTTTTTTTTGAGATAGAATCTCGCTCTGTCACCCAGGCTGGAGTGCAGTGGCATGATCTGGACTCACTGAAACCTCTGCCTCCCAGGTTCAAGTGATTCTCCTGCCTCAGCCTCTGGAATAGCTGGGATTACAGGCACCTGCCACCACATCCAGCTAATTTTTGTATTGTTAGTAGAGACCGGGTTTCACCACATTAGCCAGGATGGTCTTGATCTCCTGACCTCGTGATCCGCCTGCCTCGGCCTCCCAAAGTGCTGGGATTACAGGCTTGAGCCACCGTGCCCGGCCCTGAACCAATGCGCCCGGCCCGCTTTTTTTTAATTTAATTTTTTAATTTTTTTTTTTTTTTGAGATGGAGTCTCACTCTGTCACCCAGGCTGGAGTGTAGTGCTGCGATCCTGACTCACTGCAACCTCCACCTCTGGAGTTCAGGTGATTCTCCTGCCTCAGCCTTCCGAGTACCTGGGAATACAGGAATGCACCACCATGCCCGGCGAATTTTTGTATTTTTAGTAGAGACGGAGTTTTGCCATGTTGGCCAGGCTGGTCTCGAACTCCTGATCTCAGGTGACCCACCCGCCTCAGTCTCCCAATAGATTAGATATATTATTAACGAATTGCTTCCTTTAACACGCTATTCATTGAATTTTCCAGTAAACCACAATTACTAATTACTCCTGAAATCAGAAAAGAGGTTAAAAAGATTTTATAACAGTATCTTATGAAATCTACTACTTTCAAGTAATAGTAGTTGAATTACCAAAACCCGTCACTCAAGCCAATGACTACAATTAAGATATCAGTAATATTTCCTAGATAAATAAAGTCAATTAATTATATTTGCATCTGGGAAATAGAGAAAGTACATATAAGCCATGATTTTGAAGTCAAAAGAGAGAGAATATTTGGCAAGGAGGGGTGAGTTATAGTATGTAATTATAACATATAGTAGTTTTTTGTATGCTGGTAACTAATTTTAATTTCCTACATTTTTATGTAGATTTCTGCTATTCTTGTCCTATTTTCCTAATCACCTTTCTATATGGATGACTACATAAGTCTGAGAATACCAAAAGAGACAGACACAGAACCAATCGGATTCCTTTCTTCTTGAAGCTTCTGCACAGCAGAAGAAACTATCAACAGAGTGAACAGACAACCTACAGAATAGGAGAAAATTGTTGCAACAATGCATGTGACAAAGATCTAATGTCCAACACTGATAAGGAACTTAAACAAATTTACAAGAAAAAAAAAATCTCATTAGAAAGTGGGCAAAGGACATAAACAGACACTTCAAAAGAAGACACACATGCGGCCAACAAGCATATGAAAAAAAGCCCAATATCACTGATCATTAGAGAAATGCAAATCAAAACCACAATGGCATACCATCTCACACCAGTCAGAATGGTTATTATTAAAAAGTCAACGCCGGGCATGGTGGCTCACGCCTATAATCCCAGCACTTCAGGAGGCCAAGGCAGGCAGATCGCATGAGGTCAGGAGTTCCAGACCAGCCTGGACAACCTGGCGAAATCCCGTCTCTACTAAAAATACAAAAATTAGCCCAGCGTGGTGGCGGGCGCCTGTAATCCCAGCTACTCAGGATGCTGAGGCAGGAGAATCGCTTGAACCCGGGAGGCAGAGGTTGTAGTGAGCCGCGATCATGCCACTGCACTCTCCAGCTTAGGTGACAGAGCGAGACTCTGTCTCAAAAAAAAAAAAAAAAAAAAATATTTGAATTTTGTTTAAATCGCTAACACATACTGGGCATTTAATAACAAAAAAAAGGACATGAGATTGTGATCCTTAGGAGGGTTTGAGAGGCATTTCACTAGGGTTCAACATAGAGCAGTCTGAAACATACTGTAATAATTTAATCCAATGGCTCATCTACAGCACCTAAAAATATTACAGCAGATTCTCATTATTCAGTGTAGTTACGGTCTAGAAAGTTCCATGAACAAATAAAAAGTTAGGTTTCAGCAAGCTACTGGTCACATTTTTGTAAGCTTACCAACACCTACTTTTGTTGTATGTGTGCTTATTTAATATATATATTGTTGGCCAGGCACAGTGGCTAATGCCTGTAATCCCAGCACTTTGGGAAGCCAAGGCGGGCAGATCATTTGAGGTCTGGAGCTCGAGACCAGCCTGGCCAACGTGGTGAAACCCCGTCTCTACTAAAACTACAAAATATATATATATATATATATATATATATATATATATATATATATTAGCCAGGCATGGTGGCGCATGCCTGTAGACTTAGCTACTTGGGAGGCTAAGGCAGGGGAATCGCTTGAACCCAGGAGGCAGAGGTTGCAGTGAGCCAAGACTGCACCACTGCACTCCAGCCTGAGCAACAGAGTGAGACTCTATCTCAAAAAAAATAATAATAATTAATTAAATGAAGAATAAATAAATAATACACATTGTTCATTCATTAACACTGAACTCACAGCCAATGGCACTACAGCACTCACGCCTGAAGGGAGTTTATTCAATGCATCTATTTCCTCTGTAAGACACATCACAGACTTCTTGGACTTGTGAATGCTAAGCAGCACTTCAGCACTATGCTTGGGGGTTAATTTAAATGGCAAAACAACCAACAAACAGTACAAAAACAGGAAAAGCATGGCATTAAATAGACCACAAAAAGGATACCTGACTATTGTATGAGAGCTGAAAAAGAAGGCAGAATATCATCCTGTTCAAACTCAAATTCTTTGACACTCTGCGCAAACACATGACTATGAAAGTGCTGTGAGTACTGATTTGGGGGTTACAAAAAATAGTAGGTGAGTTCACAAATACAAAAGCTGAAAACAAGGAGGATCGACTGTATTTTCGTAGACAATCTAATCTCAGAAGATTTCAATTCAGACAAAAATCATGAGAATTACTGTATTACGAAAGGGCACTAGATAGGGGGAAAAGAGTAAAAATCACAATTAAAACAAAGGTTCAAAATTCTGCAGCAACCATATCCAGTTACACTTTAATATGTTTGTGGCAGACTACATTATTGTTCCCAACTCATCACCCCTCCCTATATCTAAAACCTTTCCCCAAGACAATGCAGTTCCTCCTGCTAGAGATCAGGTATATTTATCTATACTATCAATGTTAGCCATGGACAAGGTATGTGCTTTGGCTGACTGAATGTTAGTGGACATGATAGAAGCAATGGCTTAAAATGTACTTCCAGAACTGGAGTTTCCTTGTGATTCTATCACTGTGACAAAAACACATTCTCAGGTAGTCCACTGATCCAAGGGGGAACAAACACACAGAAATCATACCTAGACTCTATCTGCAGCTTGCAGCCTCACCAAGCCAAGAACAGTCAACTCACGGATATGTTAGCAAAAATAAATGTTTTTCGTACCTTAAGTTTTATATAATTATTGACCTATAGTTAACTGATATACAATATACATTAATCTTAAAATATCATTATCCCATTAAAAATATTTACATTAAAAACTGAGACCACTTTCTTTCCTCCTTTTTTTTTTTTTTTTTTAAATTAAGAGACAGGGTGTCTCAATGTTGCCCAAGCTGGAGTTCAGTGGCTAGTGGCTATTCACAAGAACGATCATCGCACACTACCTCAAACTCCTGGGATCAAGCAATCCTCCTGCCTCAGCTTTCCAAGTCGCTGGGACTATAAGTGTGTACCACAGCATGTCAGCTCTCTCTCTCCTTCTTGACCTAAAGCCTAGCATAAAATTAGCTAAGTAGAATGTTTCCAAAGATGCCTGCATCAGTATCTCCCGTCCCACATAATTTCTGCTTGATTTTGCCATTCACCCATAAAATGGTGGGATCTACCTCCCCTCCTTGCAAATTTGAGCTGGCCCTCTGATCCTGTCTAAGATCTGAAGCCAGATATTAAGGTACTTCATTAATTTCCATGTTTGTCCTCCATGCAACCTAGCAATCAAGCCAGAAGTCAAAACATACTGACATAGTTTGGATGGGTCCCCACCTAAATCTCACCTTGCATTGTAATAATTCCCACGTGTCAAGGGTGGGGCCAGGTGCAGATAACTGAATCATGGGGATGGTTCCCCCCATACTGTTCTCGTGGTAGTGACTAAGTCTCATGAGATCTGATGGTTTTATAAATGGGAGCTCCCCTGCACATGCTCTCTCCTGCCTGCCACTATGTGAGACATGCTTTTGCACCTCCTTGCCTTCCACCATGATTGTGAGGCCTCCCCAGCCATGCAGAACTGTGAGTCAATTCAACCTCTTTCCTTTATAAATTACCCAGTCTCAGGTATGTCTTTATTTGCAGTGTGAGAACAGACTAATACAATAAGTTGATACCAGTAGAGTGGGGTGCTGCTGTAAAGATACCCGAACATGTGGAAGCAACTTTGGAAATGGGTAACAGGGAGAGGCTGGAACAGTTTGGAAGGCTCAGAAGAGGATAGGAAAATGTGGGAAAGTTTGGAACTTCCTAGAGACTTGTTGAATGGCTTTGACCAAAATGTTAATAGTGATATGGACAATAAGGTCCAGGCGGAGGTGGTCTCAGAGGGAGATGAGGAATTTGTTGGGAAATGGAGTAAAGTCACTCTTACTATGCAAAGACACTGCAGGCACTGTGCACCTGTGTTAGAAACGGGCATAAGATAGGCGGGAAAGAGTGAAAATAAGAATTTTTTTCTAGAGTTCCCTAGAGATCTGTGGAACTTTGAACTTGAGAGAGATGATTTAAGGTATCTGACAGAAGAAATTTCTAAGCAGCAAAGCATTCGAGAAGAAGCAGAGCATAAAAGTTCAGAAAATTTGTAGCCTGATGATGCAACAGAAAAGAAAAATCTATTTTCTCAGGAGACTGGGTTGTAGAAATTTGCATAAGTAATGAGGAGCCAAATGTTAATCACCAAGACAATGGGGCAAATGTCTCCAGGGCATGTTAGAGACCCTCACAGCAGACCCTCCCATCACAGGCCAGGAGGCTTAGAAGGAAAAATGCTCTTGTGAGTCCAGAACCCCCTGCTGTGTGCAGCCTAGGAACCTGGTGCCCTGCATCCCAGCTGCTCCTGCCATAGGTAAAAGGGGCCAAGGTACACCTCAGGCCATGGCTTCAGAGGGTGCAAGTTCCAAGCCTTTCAGGTTCTAGGTGGTGTTAAGCCTGCAGATGCACCGAAGTCAAGAATTAACGTTCATGAACCTCCGCCTAGATTTCAGAAGATGTATGAAAATGCCTGGAAATCCAGGCAAAAGTTTGCTGTGCGGGGCAGCGGGGGGCCCTCATGGATAACCTCTGCTAGGGCAGTGTCAAAGGGAAATATGGGGTTGGAGCCCCCACACAGAGTCCCCACTGGGGTACTGCCAAGCAGAGCTGTCACAAAAGGGCCACCATCCTCCAGACCCCAGAATGGTAGATCCACTGACAGCTTGCACTGTGTGCCTGGAAAAGCTGCAGACACTCAATGCAGCCAGAAGGGGGGGCTGTACCCTGCAAAGCCACAGGGGCGGGGCTGCCCAAGACCCTGGGAACCCACTTCTTGCATCACCTAGATGTGACACATGGAGTCAAAGGAGGTCATTTTGGAGCTCTAAGATTTGCCTGCTGGGTTTTGGACTTGCATGGGGCCTGTAGCTCTTTCGCTTTGGCCAATTTCTCCCGTTTGAAACGGGTGTATTTACCCAATGCCTGTATCCCTGTGTATCTAGAAAATAACTAACTTGCTTTTGGTTTTACAGGCTCACAGGTGGAAGGGACTTGCCTTGTCTCAGATGAGACTTTGGACTATGGAATTTTGAGTTAATGCTGAAATAAGAGTTTGGGGGACTTAGGGGAAGGCACGATTGCTTTTGAAATATGAGGACATGAGATTTGGGAGGGGCCGGGGAAGAATTATATGGTTTGGCTCTGTCCCCACCCAAATCTCATCTTGAATTGTAACAATTCCCATGTGTCAAGGGTGGGGCCAGGTGGAGATAACTGAATCATGGAGGCAGTTTCCCCCATGCTGTTCTCATGGTAGTGAATAAGTCTCATGAGGTCTGATGGTTTTATAAATGGATGTTCCCCTGCACATGCTCTCTCCTGCCCACCATGTCTGACTAAATTTTGTATTTTTACTAGAGACGGGGTTTCACTATGTTGGCCAGGCTGGCCTCCAACTCCTGATCTCGTGATCCGTCCACCCCGACCTCCCAAAGTGCTAGGATTATAGGCATAAGCCACCACACCCGGCCTCTTTTTTTCTTTTTCTTTTTTTTATCTGGAGACTGAGTTTTGCACTCGTTGCCCAGGCTGGAGTGCAATGGTGCGATCTCAGCTCACTGCAGTCTCCACCTCAGCAGGAGAGCAGGAATCTTCAGTGATCCACGGGCAGATCTGCAGCCATTGTGGGCACCTGTTCCTCCCGCGACCTTTGTGCCCACGTCTCTCCCTCCAGTACCTATTGCACGACCCCCCCCACGTCCGCCTCCTGCCATTGCCAGCAAGTGCCTTGCGCGGGTACCTGGCTGCGCTTATTAATCCATTATGGTCGCTCTGTCACTGGTGCCATTATGTGCTCACATGCCCACTCCCTCAGGTTTAGAAGTCGCGTCGCCCGGCAACAGAACAATCTGCTGGCTTAGCCTTTGGCCAAGTTGGCAGCTGGACGAGGACGCTCAGAGCCCAGCTCTCGAGAGTTCAAGTATCCGACAGTTCCCCACTGCTCCCAGGAGCGGTTACCCGGGCACTCTGTGCCCCTCATTCCTGTTTGGGCCAAGGCCGAGGACCTGCGAGTAGGGCTCAGTTGCCTAGAGCCCCTTCAGCCCATCGCCCAGTTCACTTTGCTTGTGGGATCTCCCCGTTGCTCCTGCCCCTGGACTGAGTGGCAGGCCATCCTACAAACACCCGGACACTCAACATCAGTGGTGTCAAGACAACTCTAAGAAGGTTTTCCGTGATCCTGCAAGACCTGTGTTCCATCCTGGTGATTCTGTCTCCAATTTCACTGCACAGGTACCACAGTAAGCCAGTGCTGTGTGCTCCGAATTCCAGGGCATCCCCCAGCTCAGCCACTACACTGAGCACAAGGACTCTGTGGGGCCCAGGAGCAGGTAGTCACCCCTTTGGGGTCCTCAACACCCGGCTGTCCCCAGACTTGTGTCCAGGGAAGATAGTGTTGAGGGCCCTCAAGGAGAGCAGGGCAGGGATGCCTGAGCAGGACAAGGACCCCAGAGTCCAAGAAAATCCTGCTGATCAGAGAACGGTCCCCGAGGTCACCGGGATGCACGGTCTGCATTTTGGCCCCTGCGGGACAATGGAGGCCTCTCTCCCTTTGTGCCCAGGCCCGGGCCTCTGCAGACAGACCTCGATGCCCAGAGCTCAGAAATCAGATATAACCAGACATCCCAGACATCCTGGACGAGCTCGAGCACAAAACGAAATGCCATCTCCAGCTCCTACAGCTCCACGGGAGGCTTGCCGGGGCTAAAGCAGAGGAGGGGACCAGCCTCATCCCGCTGCCAGCTGACCCTCAGTTACTCAAAGACAGTGAGTGAGGACAGGCCTCAGGCTGTCTCTTCGGGTCACACACGGTGTGAAAAGGCGGCAGATACAGCACCAGGGGAGACACTCGCCCCAAGGGGTGGCTCCCCCAGATCCCAGGCCTCTAGGCCCCGTAGACGCAAGATTCGCCTGCTGCCAAGCAGGCGAGGGGAGCCTTTGATGCTGCCACCTCCCTTAGAGCTGGGGTACCGGGTCACGGCGGAAGACCTGCACCTGGAAAAACAGGCAGCATTCCAGCGCATCAACAGTGCACTGCACGTTGAGGACAAGGCCATCTCGGACTGCAGACCCTCACGGCCTTCCCACACTTTGTCCTCACTTGCAACAGGGGCTTCGGGTGGGCCTCCCCTTTCTAAAGCACCCACTATGGATGCACAGCAGGACAGACCCAAGTCCCAAGACTGCCTGGGCCTAGTGGCCCCCCTAGCATCTGCTGCAGAGGTCCCCTCTACAGCTCCCGTGTCTGGGAAGAAGCACAGACCACCAGGACCCCTGTTCTCCTCCTCAGATACCCTTCCTGCCACCTCTTCCCACTCCCGGGACTCAGCCCAGGTCACCTCGATGATTCCTGCCCCCTTCACAGCTGCAAGCAGGGATGCCGGCATGAGAAGAACAAGGTCGGCTCCTGCAGCTGCCGCAGCAGCCCCTCCCCCCTCCACATTGAACCCCACGTCGGGGTCACTACTCAATGCAGTGGATGGAGGCCCCTCACATTTCTTGGCCTCAGCCACAGCTGCAGCACGTGCCCAGAGGTCAGAAGTGAGATATAACCAGAGATCCCAGACCTCCCGGACCAGATCCTGCCTCAAACGAAATGCCAGCTCCAGCTCCCACAGCTCTACGGAAGGCCTCCCGGAACTAAAGCGGAGGAGGGGGCCAGCCTCATCCCACTGCCAGCTGGCCCACAGTTCCTCAAAGACAGTGAGTGAGGACGGAGCTCAGGCTGTCTCTACGGGTCACCGCTGTGAAAAGAAGGCAGATACAGCACCAGGGCAGACACTCGCCCCCAGGGGTGGCTCCCCAGATCCCAGGCCTCTAGGCCCCACATCAACAGTGCACTGCACGTTGAGGACAAGGCCATCTCGGACTGCAGACCCTCACGGCCTTCCCACACTTTGTCCTCACTTGCAACGGGGGCTTCGGGTGGGCCTCCCGTTTCTAAAGCACCCACTATGGATGCACAGCAGGACAGACCCAAGTCCCAAGACTGCCTGGGCCTAGTGGCCCCCCTAGCATCTGCTGCAGAGGTCTCCTCTACAGCTCCCGTGTCTGGGAAGAAGCACAGACCACCAGGACCCCTGTTCTCCTCCTCAGATCCCTTCCTGCCACCTCTTCCCACTCCCGGGACTCAGCCCAGGTCACCTCGCTGATTCCTGCCCCCTTCACAGCTGCAAGCAGGGATGCCAGCATGAGAAGAACAAGGCCTGGCACCTCCGCTCCTGCAGCTGCAGCAGCAGCCCCTCCCCCCTCCACATTGAACCCCACGTCGGGGTCACTACTCAATGCAGTGAATGGAGGCCCCTCACATTTCTTGGCCTCAGCCACAGCTGCAGCACGTGCCCAGAGGTCAGAAGTGAGATATAACCAGAGATCCCAGACCTCCCGGACCAGATCCTGCCTCCAAGGAAATGCCAGCTCCAGCTCCCACAGTTCTACGGAAGGCCTCCCGGAACTAAAGCGGAGGAGGGGGCCAGCCTCATGCCACTGCCAGCTGGCCCTCAGTTCCTCAAACACAGTGAGTGAGGACGGACCTCAGGCTGTCTCTTCGGGTCACACCCGCTGTCAAAAGGCAGATACAGCACCAGGGCAGACACTCGCCCCCAGGGGTGGCTCCCCAGATCCCAGGCCTCTAGGCCCCACATCAACAGTGCACTGCACGTTGAGGGCAAGGCCATCTCGGACTGCAGACCCTCACGGCCTTCCCACACTTTGTCCTCACTTGCAACGGGGCTTCGCGTGGGCCTCCCCTTTCTAAAGCACCCACTATGGATGCACAGCAGGACAGACCCAAGTCCCAAGACTGCCTAGGCCTAGTGGCCCCCTAGCATCTGCTGCAGAGGTCTCCTCTACAGCTCCCGTGTCTGGGAAGAAGCACAGACCACCAGGACCCCTGTTCTCCTCCTCAGATCCCCTTCCTGCCACCTCTTCCCACTCCGGGGACTCAGCCCAGGACACCTCGCTGATTCCTGCCCCCTCACACCTGCAAGCAGGGATGCCGGCGTGAGAAGAATGTTTTGTGTTCGAAATTGTTTGAGGGGTTTGGGTTTATTTTTGTTGGTTTTTTCTTTTTTGTTTTTGCTTACATGGGCATCCTTCAGCTTTTAATAATCTGAAAAGCTCTATTTACCCATTGTCAATGTGTATAAATTAATCTGAGTCAATTTTATACAATAAAAGGTGAACTTTTATGCATGAAACAATAATTTAACAAAAAATGTACCGGAAGAAGAATGTTCATTACAAATATAGGAAACATAAATATTACCAAATATTGGCAAGCACTAAAATGTTCAGAAATATAAGTCTACTACAGTTATAGCTCTCTCAAGCAAAAAAATAGCAGAGAAAAACTTAGTTTACCTTAGGGGCTATTTATTTTCTTAGGGATTTGTTAAAAGGTCAAATGGGGTCACACAGAATACTAAGAAGAGCTGTTCACCCAGGCCTCACTAAGAACTCTTCTTCATTCAGTAGCTATATAGTAACATGACAACTGCTCCTACGACCCAAAGAGGAACTACAGCAACTACTCTTTAGCATCTGTTGCTCCCAACTCTGCTTTGCAATTATATGACTCAAGCATTCTGGCTCCGTTAACTATTACTGCTGTTACTCCCAATTAAATTCCCTCTAAAAAATAAAAATTTTTAAAGCTCTAATTTAAGCTCTCTGCTGCCTCATGACTTCAATTCCATCAGAGTTATGCATTGTTTCCTCTGTACATCTTTGCTCTGCTTCCATTGCTAATTCCCTAGTAAAGTGTTGTATATTCAAAGTTCCAAAGAAACAGAATATCCAAGACATCACCAATCATCCAAAACACAGTGTAGGAGGCCACAGTTAAGAGAAGCAAGACCATTAGCTCTTTTTATAGGCTCGAGAACAACAGGATGCTTTGGTCCTGTATCAGCAGGACGCTTTTCGGGTAGATCCTACTGCCACCCTAGCTATGGGCACATGTCAGAGTCCCATGTAATAAAGGAGACAAAAGGAAACCACCACGAGTATAAACTAAGAAAAGTACTCCAAGGTTTCTAAGGATGGAGCTGTATAACTCACTTTGCCCCATTTGTTACTTCTCCACGGTACTTACCACCACCTATTACATATATTTTGTTTATAGTCAGTCTTCCCTCATTACAATGAAAGTTCCGTGAGGATAGGACTAGACAGTCAGCCCTCAGTATCCATGGAGGACTAGTTTCAGGATCTCCTGAGGATAACAAAGGATACTCAAGTCCCTGATATAAAATGACATAGTATTTGCACATCACCTTTGCACATCCTCCCATATACTTCATATCAACTCTAGATCACTCATAATATCCGATGTAAATGTCATGCAAATAGTTATTGTACTATATTGTGTAAGGAATAAGGACAAGAAAAAAGTCTGTACATGTTCAGTACAGACGCAATTTTTTTTCCCAATATTTCCAATCTTTGGTTGGCTTAACAGATGTAGAACCCAGGAATAAGTTCTGGTGTCCTATTGCATAGTAGGATGAGTATAGTTAACAATAACATATTATATATTTGAAAATAGCCAGAAGAGTAGATTTTGAATTTTCTCCCTACAGAAAAATCATTATGCAAATTACCCTGATTTGATCATTACACATTGAGTACATGTATTAAAACATCACATTGTACCCCATATATATGTACAATTATTATGTGTCAATAAAAATTTAATGTCAATATGTGAAATAAAATGAAAAAATAAAAATTTTTAAAGCTGTAATTATCTCCATCTGGTAGGAATATATATAATCTGAAATAAAAATATATTTGTAATTGTTAGGACAAAATAGATTATACATTAAGTCTGCAAATTATAAATTATAAAATTCTCACAGAAACTGAAAAATTATTGATACTGTTAAATATTTAAAAAGCTGTCCTTGGAGAGAAAGAAACCTATCAGATTTACATCAACAAGTGTAATATATCAGCCTATTACCATCTGCTACAGACTGCATGATTGTGTTCCCTCAAAATTCATATGATAGGCCAGGCGCGGTGGCTCATGCCTGTAATCCCAGCACTTTGGGAGGCCGAGGTGGGTGGATCACGAGGTCAGGAGATCGAGATCATCCTGGCTAACATGGTAAAACCCCGTCTCTACTAAAAATACAAAAAAATTAGCCGGGCGCAGTGGCGGGCGCCTTAGTCCCAGCTACTGAGGAGGCTGACGCAGGAGAATGGCGTGAACCCAGGAGGCGGAGCTTGTAGAGAGCCGAGATTGTGCCACTGCACTCCAGCCTGGGTGACAGACAGAGCGAGACTCTGTCTCAAAAAAAAAAAAAAAAAATTCATATGATAAAGCCCTAACCCCCAAGGTGAGGATACTGGGAGGCGTGGCCTTTAGGAGAGAATTACGTTTAGATGAGGTCATGAGAATAGAGCCCCTATGGTGGCATTACTTCCTTTATAAGAAGAGACACTAGAGCTGCTTTTCTCCCTACCATGTGAGGATACTGAGAGAAGATGGCCATTTCCAATCTAGGAAGCAGGCCCTCTTTAAGAAACGTAATTTGCCAACACTTTGATCTTGCACTTCCAGTCTCCACAACTGTGAGAAATATCTGTTTTTTTTGTTTGTTTGTTTTTGTTTTTTTTGAGACAGAGTCTCATTCTGTCATCCAGGCTGGAGTACAGTGGTGCGATCATGGCTCACTGCAACCTCCGCCTCCCAGGTTCAAGCAATTCTCCCACCTCAGCCTCCCAAGTAGCTCAGACTACAGGCGTGCACCACCATGCCCAGCTAATTTTCGTAGAGACAAGGTTTTGCCATGCTGCCCAGGCTAGTCTCAAACTCCTGAGCTCAAGTTATCCACCTGCCTCGGCCTCCCAAAGTGTTAGGAATACAGGCATAAGCCACCATGCCGGGTCAAAATATCTACTGTTTAAGCTACCTAATTTATGGTATTCTGTTTTAGCAGCTGAAGCAGACTTTTTTTTTTTTTTTTTTTTGAGATGGAGTCTCGCTCTGTCCCCCAGGCTGGAGTGCAGTGGCGCCAATCTCGGCTCACTGCAAACTCTGCCTCCCAGGTTCACGCCATTCTCCTGCCTCAGCCTCCTGAGTAGCTGGGACTGCAGGCGCCCGCCACCACGCCCGGCTAATTTTTTGTATTTTTAATAGAGATGGGGGTTCACCGTCTTAGTAAGGATGGTCTCGATCTCCTGACCTAATGATCTGCCCGCCTCGGCCTCCCAAAGTGCTGGGATTACAGGCGTGAGCCACCACGCCCGGCCAATTTTTATTTTATCTTATTTAAATAACCACATGTGGCTAGTGGCTAATGTATTGAACACTACAGCTGTAGACAATATGAAATAAATATAAAGCAGTCTCAACTTTGGAAAAACAGAAGACTCTTACTGCCTCATAATATAGACGAAAAATGAAATACTAAGTTAAGTAAAATGTTCTTTAAAGAACAAAAACAAAAGAAAACCTAATGAAAGCTATAAAAGTCCATTGGATAATAATGCTACCAGTACTAAGGAAGTACAGCCCCTAAAAGTGACTTGCAGTCACAAATATAAAAATGACTATTCAAGTGAACTCCTAAGGTAAAAATTTCTTATTCACCATGCTCCAAAATGGTCTGTAATATTCTTCAGAGATGGCATGGTGGGAGAGGCAAGTTGGCATCTCTGCCCAGAGAGAATACACAAGCAGAAAGTTCAACACCGCTTACCTGGTGAAACCCTACAAGCGTTTCCACTCCATACTCGCTCTGAATAATGGGATTGTGATGTCTTACACCAGTTCTCAAACTGGGCGGCCAGCTGCAGCTGAATCAACTCCAGGTGCCCGTAGTTGCGATACCAAGAGTAGTAGCTGTTCACACGGATCACATCCACATACAGAGCCTAGGACCAGAGCAGCAGAGCCCGTTCAGCAACCACAAGACCGCATGACTCAGTACTCACATGCTGTGGGGGCTCCTCTGACAGAGAAGGTAAGAAGGGGATGTAATCCCAGCACTCTGGGAGGCTGAGGCAGGAGGGTGGCTTGTGGCCAGGAGTTCGAGACCAGCCTGGGCAACACAGCAAGACCCCAGCTCTACAAAAAATAGTATCAAGAAAATTAGCACGGCACAGTGGCTCATGCCTGTAATCCCAGCACATTGGGAGGCCAAGGTGGGAGGATCACTTGAGCCCAGGAGTTTGAGACCAGCCTGGGCAACATCGTAGGACTCCATTTCTACAAAACAAAACAAAAAGCCTAGAACGGGAAGAGCTGCCTCTCGGGGCTGAGAACATCCAACTGCACCAATTTAGATCCTGAAATTACCCTGCCCCACAAGCAAAAAACATGGTCACAAAGTGGCCCAAAGGAGGCAGGCCTGTGATTGCACACTGACGCTCACGACGTGTGCAGCTGGGAAGGGCTGTGAGAGGCAGAGCAGCTGCCAACACGCAGTCCTCAGCCAAAACCCAGGGCCCCCGCCACTGGAACTGACTCCTCTCCAGGCAGCACTCCCAGCACTGGGCATCCCCTCACCTTGCCCTGGAGAAGCCCTCCCACCCAAGGGGCCAATGCAGTCATTCTCGCAGATAATCTTTTTTCGCTTTATTTGGAAGACAGAGTCTCGCTCTGTTGCCCAGGCTAGAATGGAGTGGCACAATAGTGCAACCTCTGCCTCCCACGATCAAGCGCAGGCGTGGTGGCATGTGCCTGTTATCCCAGCTACTTGGGAGGCTGAGGCAGGAGAATTGCTTGAACCTGGGAGGCGGAGGTTGCAGTGAGCTGAGACTGTGCCACTGCACTCCAGCCTGGGCAACACAGCAAGACTCCATCTTTTAAAAAAAAAAAAAAAAAAAAGAATGCTAGTATCAGCCAGGCACGGTGGCTCATGCCTGTAATCCCAGCACTTTAGGAGGCTAAGGCAGGAGGATCACTTGAGCTCAAGAGTTTGAGACTGGCCTGGGCAACATAGTGAGATCCCATCTCTACAAAAACATTTAAAATTAGCCGGGCACAGTGGTGTACACCCGGAGTCCCAGCTACTTGGAAGGCTGAGGCAAGAGGGTTGCTTAGGCCCAGGAATTCAAGGCTGCAGTGAGCTGTGATCACACCACTGCACTCCAGCCAGAGCAACAGAGTAAGACCTTGCCTTCACAAAAAAAAAAAAAAAAACTCAGGTTCCAACCCTGGAGTTACTAAATCAGGATCTCAGAATGCAGAGATCTGGCATTTCAATAAAACTTCCCCTGGAGATTCTGATCAGCCAGGTTTGGGCCAGATGAACTCTAAGCTCACTTAAACCTTTGACATTTTATGAGTCTATTAAATCGAGTACAAAAAATGCTGAGTCCAAACTGGGCAAACAAATCCCATCTCCCTATGCCCAGCCTCCTTAAATTCAGAAAGCCACACTGCCTAGAGAGTAAGCAGAGAGAGAATTGTCATTAACCCAAAGACCATCTTTGAAAACAGACTGGCTGCGGCTGAGTGCGGTGGCACACGCCTGTCACCCCAGCCCTCTGGAAGGCCGAGGCAGGAGGACCACTTGAGCCCAGGAGTTCGAGACCAGCCTGGGCAACATGGCAAGACCCTGTCTCTATCTTTCTAAGTAAAACAAAATAAAAAGCTCAGACTGGCAGCACATGGTTCTTTCCAGCTGTTCCCATGAGCAGGCTTCAGGACAAGCCCAGGCAAAGGCAGGGAGAAATGGGGTGGGGACCCCCAGGCTCACCCCCTTGTCTGCTGCGTAGGTGGAGTTGGTCACAAAGGTCACAGGCTGGGAGGGGTCCAAGGCTTTGGTGTGAGCAATCACCATCCTGTCCACAAAAGAGAGAAGACACAGGTTCCGTCAGTCCGGGAAAGGCTCAGACACCCTCCCATCCTCTCTGTCCCATCTTCCCCTGCCAGAACACAACTGGGGGCCAGGCATGATGGCTCACATCTGTAATCCCAGCACTTCAGGAGGCTGAGGCAGGCAGATCACTGAGGTCAGGAGTTCAAGAACAGCCTGGCCAACATGGCAAAACCCCATTTCTACTAAATATACAAAAATTAGCCAGGCTTAGTGGCACGCATCTGTAACTCCAGCTACTCGGGAGGCTGAGGCACAAGAATTGCTTGAACCCGGGAGGTGGAGGTTGCAGTGAGCCGAAATCACGCTACTGCACTCCAGCCTGGGCCACAGAGCAAGACCCTGCCCCAAAACAAACAAACAAACAAACAAACAAACAAACAAACAAACAAACAAAAGAAAGAAAAGAAAAAAAACAAAAAAAAAAACAAAGCACAGAGCCGCTGCTTTCTTCCCTAACTTGAGATGTATTTTACATAAGGGCACGTTCCTCTAGTCCTAGACCAAGCTCTCTAACAACACTCTTTCTCCCCCACCCCTGAATCCAATTCCCCCAGAGGCGTAGCCACCCTGCCAGGTACACAGAGCTGAGGTCACTGGACTGAACACTGCCAAAAATGAGGTTCACTTCCTGAAATAGCCCTTGAACACAGGAGTGAATGGGCTGTGGATTCAGGTGGAATATTTATTAATGCATCAAGCAAACAGGTAGTGCGAGGTGGGAGGTAGGCATGAGGCTGGGTGCTAGGTGCTCAGTAATGACTCAAATCTAAGTCCACAGGTCCTGGGCAGTGGGAGTGGAGATGCATGCACAGAAAAACGGTGCAAGCGCCAGGCGAGGTGGCTCACGCCTAGAACCCCAGCACTTTGGGAGGCTTACTTGAGACCAGGTGCTTGAGACCAGCCTGGGCAACATAGCAAGACCTTGTTTCTACAACAAATTTAAAAATTAGGGCCGGGCATGGTGGCTCAAGCCTGTGAGCACTTTGGGAGGCCAGGGCAGGTGGATCACGAGCTCAAGAGTTCGAGACCAGCCTGGCCAACATGGTGAAACCCCATCTCAACAAAAAATAAAGAAGAAAACTAGCTGGGCATGGTGGCGTGAGCCTGTAATCCCAGCTACTCGGGAGGGTGAGGCAGGAGAACTGTTTGTACCCAGGAGGTAGAGGATGCAGTGAGCCAAGATCGCAACACTGCTCTCCAGCCTGGGAGACAGAGCAAGACTCTGACTCGTGGGGAAAAAAAATATTAAAATTTAGCCTGGCAAGGCAGCGCACGTCTGTGGTCCCAGCTATTTGGGAGGCTGAGAGGGGAGGATCGCTTAAGCCCAGGAGGTCGAGATGGCAACGAGCTATGATTGCACCACTGCACTCCAGCCTGGGCAACAGAGTGAGACCCTGACTCTGAAAAACAAACAATGAAAGAAATGTTGCGAATGGAAATGACAAATGGTGGCAGGAATTGGGCACTCTATGAGACAACAGACACATCCCCGATTGGAGAGTCAGGGACAGGCTCTTAGAAGAAATGGCCTTTATGCTGAGTCAAGTTAACCAGGAGGGATGAAGGGAAGAGGCTCCCAACAGAGGGACCAGTCTGTGCTCAGAGCTCCCAGCATCTGCCCAAGGCCTCCACAGAACAGACTGTTGTGTTTTTGTTTTGTTTTGTTTTTTTGAGATACAGAGTCTCATTCTGTAGCCCAGGCTGGAATGCAGTGGCATTATCTCAGCTCACTGCAATCTCTGCCTCCTGGTTCACCTGAGGCGGTTCTCCTGCCTCAGCCTACCTAGTAGCTGGGATTACAGACGTCCACCACCATGCCCAGCTAATTTTTGTATTTTTAGTAGAGACAGGATTCACTACCTGTTGACCAGGCTGGTCTCGAACTCCTGACCTCAGGTGATCCACCCACCTCAGCCTCCCAAACTGCTGGGATTACAGGCGTGACCCACCGCATCCGGCCTAGACTGTTGTTGAAGCTGGTTTTCTTCTTCTTTCCTCAGTTCTTTTCTTTTACATCTTCCCCCCATCATTGCTCTGCCCATCCGAAGGCTGTGGCTGGCACAGGACAGAACAGAACCTCCTAGCCTCAAGTTCCAAACCCACACTCTCCAATAGCCAGGCTCTCAGATGGGAAGCTTCAAAGCCTTGTGACAGCCTGGCTGAACCTCTCCAGCCTGGGCGCTCCCTCCATTTCCTGCCCCGGAAACAGGCATCTCCTCTGGCCACCTCCCAAAGCCTGTCTGGAAGCCTCAGGCACCCGCTCCTGGAAGCCTGTACGATTCACAACAAAGGGCCTGTCCACCCAGTCGTGCTGAGCACACCCCTATTCCCCCGAGCTCTGAATTGTCCTCTGCCCAGGCTAGGACAACATCTCAGAGCCTTCTGCCTGCTGCAGACTCGGCTCAGCCCAAATCACTCCATGAAACTGGGGTGTGGCATCTGCCTCAAGGAGCATTTCTACAACCTCTGCTGCCTCTACCACAAATGAAACTGGCTCTCACCCACTGGCTCTCGGTGACGGGCACAGTGCGGAGCCCCACAGGGAGTGTGTAGAAGTCAAAGGCCCCAGTGACTTCTGTGCAGTCAGCCGCACCTATGACAGCCAAAGCGCCAGGTGTGAGCGCCCCGACAGCCTGAGCCCCATCTGGCCTGCCCTACAGCAGGAAGACCCCTCGTGCATGCACCCCAGAAGTCGCCTCTGGGCCTGCAGAGAAGCAGCAATCAGAGGCTCTGCCCTTCACTGGCTGGCCCTGGGACCTGCCCTTCAAAATCAGGCCTTCTCCTTGACCAGACGAGGTGGCTCATGCCTGGAATCCCTACACTTTGGGACGCTAAGGCAGGAGGATCACCTGAGTCCAGGAGTTCAAGACCAGCCTGGGCAACCTAGTAAGACCCCCAACTCTATAAAAAGGATTTTTTTTTTTTGAGACAGTCTCACTCTGTCACCCAGGATAGAGTGCAGTGGCATGATCTCAATTCACTGCAGCCCCTGCCTCCTGGGTTCAAGCAATTCCCCTGCCTCAGCCTCCCGAGTAGCTGGGATTACAGACGTGCACCATCATGCCCTGCAAATTTTCATATTTTAGTAGAGACGGGGTTTCACCATGTTGGCCAGGCTGGTCTCCAACTCCTGGCCTAAAGTGATCCGCCCGCGTCAGCCTCCCGAAGTGCTGGGATTACAGGCGTGAGCCACCATGCCCGGCCTACAAAAAAAATGTTTTTAATTAGCCAGGCATGGTGGCATGTGCCTGTAGTCCCAGCTACTCAGGAGGCCAAGGGAGGAGGATTGCAGCTCAAAGCTGCAGTGAGCTGTGATCAGGCCATTGCGTTCCAGCCTGGGTGACACAGTGAGACCATCACAAATAAATAAATAAATAAATAAATAAATAAATAAATAAATAAATAAAAAATCTGGGCCTCCCACCAAGGGTGGGAAACATCAGAAAGCTCAGAAAAGCTCAGAGGACCACACCTGCCCGTTCACCTGTCCTGGGCTCCTGCTGAAGCCAGGGCTACCAGATGGGAGCAAAAGACCTCCCTTAAGCAAGTCCCAAACCACCATTACCTCCCACGAGTACAGGTAGGCGGGGTGTTCGTGCATCAGGTACGGCCACCAGAGGTTGGCACCCAGCACCTTCAGCTGGCCCTGGGTCCCAGCCTGGTTGTCCACGACTTTGTTTTCTGATTTCAAAAGACACACTTCCAACTTGAACTGGTTACTGCACTTGACGGAGATCTGGTAATTCACCAGCCCTGCAGGAGGCAAGAGAGACCAGGGCTTAGGGAGGGACATGACCTGGGTCACACAAACAGGAATGCCCCACAATGACCACTCCCAGGCACTCTCATTTGCTTCTGTTGCTTTTTTTTTTTTTTTTTTTTTTTTGAGATAGAATCTCGCTCTGTCACCCAGGCTGGAGTGCAGTGGCATGATCTGGACTCACTGAAACCTCTGCCTCCCAGGTTCAAGTGATTCTCCTGCCTCAGCCTCTGGAATAGCTGGGATTACAGGCACCTGCCACCACATCCAGCTAATTTTTGTATTGTTAGTAGAGACCGGGTTTCACCACATTAGCCAGGATGGTCTTGATCTCCTGACCTCGTGATCCGCCTGCCTCGGCCTCCCAAAGTGCTGGGATTACAGGCTTGAGCCACCGTGCCCGGCCCTGAACCAATGCGCCCGGCCCGCTTTTTTTTAATTTAATTTTTTAATTTTTTTTTTTTTTTGAGATGGAGTCTCACTCTGTCACCCAGGCTGGAGTGTAGTGCTGCGATCCTGACTCACTGCAACCTCCACCTCTGGAGTTCAGGTGATTCTCCTGCCTCAGCCTTCCGAGTACCTGGGAATACAGGAATGCACCACCATGCCCGGCGAATTTTTGTATTTTTAGTAGAGACGGAGTTTTGCCATGTTGGCCAGGCTGGTCTCGAACTCCTGATCTCAGGTGACCCACCCGCCTCAGTCTCCCAATAGATTAGATATATTATTAACGAATTGCTTCCTTTAACACGCTATTCATTGAATTTTCCAGTAAACCACAATTACTAATTACTCCTGAAATCAGAAAAGAGGTTAAAAAGATTTTATAACAGTATCTTATGAAATCTACTACTTTCAAGTAATAGTAGTTGAATTACCAAAACCCGTCACTCAAGCCAATGACTACAATTAAGATATCAGTAATATTTCCTAGATAAATAAAGTCAATTAATTATATTTGCATCTGGGAAATAGAGAAAGTACATATAAGCCATGATTTTGAAGTCAAAAGAGAGAGAATATTTGGCAAGGAGGGGTGAGTTATAGTATGTAATTATAACATATAGTAGTTTTTTGTATGCTGGTAACTAATTTTAATTTCCTACATTTTTATGTAGATTTCTGCTATTCTTGTCCTATTTTCCTAATCACCTTTCTATATGGATGACTACATAAGTCTGAGAATACCAAAAGAGACAGACACAGAACCAATCGGATTCCTTTCTTCTTGAAGCTTCTGCACAGCAGAAGAAACTATCAACAGAGTGAACAGACAACCTACAGAATAGGAGAAAATTGTTGCAACAATGCATGTGACAAAGATCTAATGTCCAACACTGATAAGGAACTTAAACAAATTTACAAGAAAAAAAAAATCTCATTAGAAAGTGGGCAAAGGACATAAACAGACACTTCAAAAGAAGACACACATGCGGCCAACAAGCATATGAAAAAAAGCCCAATATCACTGATCATTAGAGAAATGCAAATCAAAACCACAATGGCATACCATCTCACACCAGTCAGAATGGTTATTATTAAAAAGTCAACGCCGGGCATGGTGGCTCACGCCTATAATCCCAGCACTTCAGGAGGCCAAGGCAGGCAGATCGCATGAGGTCAGGAGTTCCAGACCAGCCTGGACAACCTGGCGAAATCCCGTCTCTACTAAAAATACAAAAATTAGCCCAGCGTGGTGGCGGGCGCCTGTAATCCCAGCTACTCAGGATGCTGAGGCAGGAGAATCGCTTGAACCCGGGAGGCAGAGGTTGTAGTGAGCCGCGATCATGCCACTGCACTCTCCAGCTTAGGTGACAGAGCGAGACTCTGTCTCAAAAAAAAAAAAAAAAAAAAATATTTGAATTTTGTTTAAATCGCTAACACATACTGGGCATTTAATAACAAAAAAAAGGACATGAGATTGTGATCCTTAGGAGGGTTTGAGAGGCATTTCACTAGGGTTCAACATAGAGCAGTCTGAAACATACTGTAATAATTTAATCCAATGGCTCATCTACAGCACCTAAAAATATTACAGCAGATTCTCATTATTCAGTGTAGTTACGGTCTAGAAAGTTCCATGAACAAATAAAAAGTTAGGTTTCAGCAAGCTACTGGTCACATTTTTGTAAGCTTACCAACACCTACTTTTGTTGTATGTGTGCTTATTTAATATATATATTGTTGGCCAGGCACAGTGGCTAATGCCTGTAATCCCAGCACTTTGGGAAGCCAAGGCGGGCAGATCATTTGAGGTCTGGAGCTCGAGACCAGCCTGGCCAACGTGGTGAAACCCCGTCTCTACTAAAACTACAAAATATATATATATATATATATATATATATATATATTAGCCAGGCATGGTGGCGCATGCCTGTAGACTTAGCTACTTGGGAGGCTAAGGCAGGGGAATCGCTTGAACCCAGGAGGCAGAGGTTGCAGTGAGCCAAGACTGCACCACTGCACTCCAGCCTGAGCAACAGAGTGAGACTCTATCTCAAAAAAAATAATAATAATTAATTAAATGAAGAATAAATAAATAATACACATTGTTCATTCATTAACACTGAACTCACAGCCAATGGCACTACAGCACTCACGCCTGAATGGAGTTTATTCAATGCATCTATTTCCTCTGTAAGACACATCACAGACTTCTTGGACTTGTGAATGCTAAGCAGCACTTCAGCACTATGCTTGGGGGTTAATTTAAATGGCAAAACAACCAACAAACAGTACAAAAACAGGAAAAGCATGGCATTAAATAGACCACAAAAAGGATACCTGACTATTGTATGAGAGCTGAAAAAGAAGGCAGAATATCATCCTGTTCAAACTCAAATTCTTTGACACTCTGCGCAAACACATGACTATGAAAGTGCTGTGAGTACTGATTTGGGGGTTACAAAAAATAGTAGGTGAGTTCACAAATACAAAAGCTGAAAACAAGGAGGATCGACTGTATTTTCGTAGACAATCTAATCTCAGAAGATTTCAATTCAGACAAAAATCATGAGAATTACTGTATTACGAAAGGGCACTAGATAGGGGGAAAAGAGTAAAAATCACAATTAAAACAAAGGTTCAAAATTCTGCAGCAACCATATCCAGTTACACTTTAATATGTTTGTGGCAGACTACATTATTGTTCCCAACTCATCACCCCTCCCTATATCTAAAACCTTTCCCCAAGACAATGCAGTTCCTCCTGCTAGAGATCAGGTATATTTATCTATACTATCAATGTTAGCCATGGACAAGGTATGTGCTTTGGCTGACTGAATGTTAGTGGACATGATAGAAGCAATGGCTTAAAATGTACTTCCAGAACTGGAGTTTCCTTGTGATTCTATCACTGTGACAAAAACACATTCTCAGGTAGTCCACTGATCCAAGGGGGAACAAACACACAGAAATCATACCTAGACTCTATCTGCAGCTTGCAGCCTCACCAAGCCAAGAACAGTCAACTCACGGATATGTTAGCAAAAATAAATGTTTTTCGTACCTTAAGTTTTATATAATTATTGACCTATAGTTAACTGATATACAATATACATTAATCTTAAAATATCATTATCCCATTAAAAATATTTACATTAAAAACTGAGACCACTTTCTTTCCTCCTTTTTTTTTTTTTTTTTTTTAAATTAAGAGACAGGGTGTCTCAATGTTGCCCAAGCTGGAGTTCAGTGGCTAGTGGCTATTCACAAGAACGATCATCGCACACTACCTCAAACTCCTGGGATCAAGCAATCCTCCTGCCTCAGCTTTCCAAGTCGCTGGGACTATAAGTGTGTACCACAGCATGTCAGCTCTCTCTCTCCTTCTTGACCTAAAGCCTAGCATAAAATTAGCTAAGTAGAATGTTTCCAAAGATGCCTGCATCAGTATCTCCCGTCCCACATAATTTCTGCTTGATTTTGCCATTCACCCATAAAATGGTGGGATCTACCTCCCCTCCTTGCAAATTTGAGCTGGCCCTCTGATCCTGTCTAAGATCTGAAGCCAGATATTAAGGTACTTCATTAATTTCCATGTTTGTCCTCCATGCAACCTAGCAATCAAGCCAGAAGTCAAAACATACTGACATAGTTTGGATGGGTCCCCACCTAAATCTCACCTTGCATTGTAATAATTCCCACGTGTCAAGGGTGGGGCCAGGTGCAGATAACTGAATCATGGGGATGGTTCCCCCCATACTGTTCTCGTGGTAGTGACTAAGTCTCATGAGATCTGATGGTTTTATAAATGGGAGCTCCCCTGCACATGCTCTCTCCTGCCTGCCACTATGTGAGACATGCTTTTGCACCTCCTTGCCTTCCACCATGATTGTGAGGCCTCCCCAGCCATGCAGAACTGTGAGTCAATTCAACCTCTTTCCTTTATAAATTACCCAGTCTCAGGTATGTCTTTATTTGCAGTGTGAGAACAGACTAATACAATAAGTTGATACCAGTAGAGTGGGGTGCTGCTGTAAAGATACCCGAACATGTGGAAGCAACTTTGGAAATGGGTAACAGGGAGAGGCTGGAACAGTTTGGAAGGCTCAGAAGAGGATAGGAAAATGTGGGAAAGTTTGGAACTTCCTAGAGACTTGTTGAATGGCTTTGACCAAAATGTTAATAGTGATATGGACAATAAGGTCCAGGCGGAGGTGGTCTCAGAGGGAGATGAGGAATTTGTTGGGAAATGGAGTAAAGTCACTCTTACTATGCAAAGACACTGCAGGCACTGTGCACCTGTGTTAGAAACGGGCATAAGATAGGCGGGAAAGAGTGAAAATAAGAATTTTTTTCTAGAGTTCCCTAGAGATCTGTGGAACTTTGAACTTGAGAGAGATGATTTAAGGTATCTGACAGAAGAAATTTCTAAGCAGCAAAGCATTCGAGAAGAAGCAGAGCATAAAAGTTCAGAAAATTTGTAGCCTGATGATGCAACAGAAAAGAAAAATCTATTTTCTCAGGAGACTGGGTTGTAGAAATTTGCATAAGTAATGAGGAGCCAAATGTTAATCACCAAGACAATGGGGCAAATGTCTCCAGGGCATGTTAGAGACCCTCACAGCAGACCCTCCCATCACAGGCCAGGAGGCTTAGAAGGAAAAATGCTCTTGTGAGTCCAGAACCCCCTGCTGTGTGCAGCCTAGGAACCTGGTGCCCTGCATCCCAGCTGCTCCTGCCATAGGTAAAAGGGGCCAAGGTACACCTCAGGCCATGGCTTCAGAGGGTGCAAGTTCCAAGCCTTTCAGGTTCTAGGTGGTGTTAAGCCTGCAGATGCACCGAAGTCAAGAATTAACGTTCATGAACCTCCGCCTAGATTTCAGAAGATGTATGAAAATGCCTGGAAATCCAGGCAAAAGTTTGCTGTGCGGGGCAGCGGGGGGCCCTCATGGATAACCTCTGCTAGGGCAGTGTCAAAGGGAAATATGGGGTTGGAGCCCCCACACAGAGTCCCCACTGGGGTACTGCCAAGCAGAGCTGTCACAAAAGGGCCACCATCCTCCAGACCCCAGAATGGTAGATCCACTGACAGCTTGCACTGTGTGCCTGGAAAAGCTGCAGACACTCAATGCAGCCAGAAGGGGGGCTGTACCCTGCAAAGCCACAGGGGCGGGGCTGCCCAAGACCCTGGGAACCCACTTCTTGCATCACCTAGATGTGACACATGGAGTCAAAGGAGGTCATTTTGGAGCTCTAAGATTTGCCTGCTGGGTTTTGGACTTGCATGGGGCCTGTAGCTCTTTCGCTTTGGCCAATTTCTCCCGTTTGAAACGGGTGTATTTACCCAATGCCTGTATCCCTGTGTATCTAGAAAATAACTAACTTGCTTTTGGTTTTACAGGCTCACAGGTGGAAGGGACTTGCCTTGTCTCAGATGAGACTTTGGACTATGGAATTTTGAGTTAATGCTGAAATAAGAGTTTGGGGGACTTAGGGGAAGGCACGATTGCTTTTGAAATATGAGGACATGAGATTTGGGAGGGGCCGGGGAAGAATTATATGGTTTGGCTCTGTCCCCACCCAAATCTCATCTTGAATTGTAACAATTCCCATGTGTCAAGGGTGGGGCCAGGTGGAGATAACTGAATCATGGAGGCAGTTTCCCCCATGCTGTTCTCATGGTAGTGAATAAGTCTCATGAGGTCTGATGGTTTTATAAATGGATGTTCCCCTGCACATGCTCTCTCCTGCCCACCATGTCTGACTAAATTTTGTATTTTTACTAGAGACGGGGTTTCACTATGTTGGCCAGGCTGGCCTCCAACTCCTGATCTCGTGATCCGTCCACCCCGACCTCCCAAAGTGCTAGGATTATAGGCATAAGCCACCACACCCGGCCTCTTTTTTTTCTTTTTCTTTTTTTTATCTGGAGACTGAGTTTTGCACTCGTTGCCCAGGCTGGAGTGCAATGGTGCGATCTCAGCTCACTGCAGTCTCCACCTCAGCAGGAGAGCAGGAATCTTCAGTGATCCACGGGCAGATCTGCAGCCATTGTGGGCACCTGTTCCTCCCGCGACCTTTGTGCCCACGTCTCTCCCTCCAGTACCTATTGCACGACCCCCCCCACGTCCGCCTCCTGCCATTGCCAGCAAGTGCCTTGCGCGGGTACCTGGCTGCGCTTATTAATCCATTATGGTCGCTCTGTCACTGGTGCCATTATGTGCTCACATGCCCACTCCCTCAGGTTTAGAAGTCGCGTCGCCCGGCAACAGAACAATCTGCTGGCTTAGCCTTTGGCCAAGTTGGCAGCTGGACGAGGACGCTCAGAGCCCAGCTCTCGAGAGTTCAAGTATCCGACAGTTCCCCACTGCTCCCAGGAGCGGTTACCCGGGCACTCTGTGCCCCTCATTCCTGTTTGGGCCAAGGCCGAGGACCTGCGAGTAGGGCTCAGTTGCCTAGAGCCCCTTCAGCCCATCGCCCAGTTCACTTTGCTTGTGGGATCTCCCCGTTGCTCCTGCCCCTGGACTGAGTGGCAGGCCATCCTACAAACACCCGGACACTCAACATCAGTGGTGTCAAGACAACTCTAAGAAGGTTTTCCGTGATCCTGCAAGACCTGTGTTCCATCCTGGTGATTCTGTCTCCAATTTCACTGCACAGGTACCACAGTAAGCCAGTGCTGTGTGCTCCGAATTCCAGGGCATCCCCCAGCTCAGCCACTACACTGAGCACAAGGACTCTGTGGGGCCCAGGAGCAGGTAGTCACCCCTTTGGGGTCCTCAACACCCGGCTGTCCCCAGACTTGTGTCCAGGGAAGATAGTGTTGAGGGCCCTCAAGGAGAGCAGGGCAGGGATGCCTGAGCAGGACAAGGACCCCAGAGTCCAAGAAAATCCTGCTGATCAGAGAACGGTCCCCGAGGTCACCGGGGATGCACGGTCTGCATTTTGGCCCCTGCGGGACAATGGAGGCCTCTCTCCCTTTGTGCCCAGGCCCGGGCCTCTGCAGACAGACCTCGATGCCCAGAGCTCAGAAATCAGATATAACCAGACATCCCAGACATCCTGGACGAGCTCGAGCACAAAACGAAATGCCATCTCCAGCTCCTACAGCTCCACGGGAGGCTTGCCGGGGCTAAAGCAGAGGAGGGGACCAGCCTCATCCCGCTGCCAGCTGACCCTCAGTTACTCAAAGACAGTGAGTGAGGACAGGCCTCAGGCTGTCTCTTCGGGTCACACACGGTGTGAAAAGGCGGCAGATACAGCACCAGGGGAGACACTCGCCCCAAGGGGTGGCTCCCCCAGATCCCAGGCCTCTAGGCCCCGTAGACGCAAGATTCGCCTGCTGCCAAGCAGGCGAGGGGAGCCTTTGATGCTGCCACCTCCCTTAGAGCTGGGGTACCGGGTCACGGCGGAAGACCTGCACCTGGAAAAACAGGCAGCATTCCAGCGCATCAACAGTGCACTGCACGTTGAGGACAAGGCCATCTCGGACTGCAGACCCTCACGGCCTTCCCACACTTTGTCCTCACTTGCAACAGGGGCTTCGGGTGGGCCTCCCCTTTCTAAAGCACCCACTATGGATGCACAGCAGGACAGACCCAAGTCCCAAGACTGCCTGGGCCTAGTGGCCCCCCTAGCATCTGCTGCAGAGGTCTCCTCTACAGCTCCCGTGTCTGGGAAGAAGCAGAGACCACCAGGACCCCTGTTCTCCTCCTCAGATACCCTTCCTGCCACCTCTTCCCACTCCCGGGACTCAGCCCAGGTCACCTCGATGATTCCTGCCCCCTTCACAGCTGCAAGCAGGGATGCCGGCATGAGAAGAACAAGGTCGGCCCCTGCAGCTGCCGCAGCAGCCCCTCCCCCCTCCACATTGAACCCCACGTCGGGGTCACTACTCAATGCAGTGGATGGAGGCCCCTCACATTTCTTGGCCTCAGCCACAGCTGCAGCACGTGCCCAGAGGTCAGAAGTGAGATATAACCAGAGATCCCAGACCACCCGGACCAGATCCTGCCTCAAACGAAATGCCAGCTCCAGCTCCCACAGCTCTACGGAAGGCCTCCCGGAACTAAAGCGGAGGAGGGGGCCAGCCTCATCCCACTGCCAGCTGGCCCACAGTTCCTCAAAGACAGTGAGTGAGGACGGAGCTCAGGCTGTCTCTACGGGTCACCGCTGTGAAAAGAAGGCAGACACAGCACCAGGGCAGACACTCGCCCCCAGGGGTGGCTCCCCCAGATCCCAGGCCTCTAGGCCCCACATCAACAGTGCACTGCACGTTGAGGACAAGGCCATCTCGGACTGCAGACCCTCACGGCCTTCCCACACTTTGTCCTCACTTGCAACAGGGGCTTCGCGTGGGCCTCCCGTTTCTAAAGCACCCACTATGGATGCACAGCAGGACAGACCCAAGTCCCAAGACTGCCTGGGCCTAGTGGCCCCCCTAGCATCTGCTGCAGAGGTCCCCTCTACAGCTCCCGTGTCTGGGAAGAAGCACAGACCACCAGGACCCCTGTTCTCCTCCTCAGATACCCTTCCTGCCACCTCTTCCCACTCCCGGGACTCAGCCCAGGTCACCTCGATGATTCCTGCCCCCTTCACAGCTGCAAGCAGGGATGCCGGCATGAGAAGAACAAGGTCGGCTCCTGCAGCTGCCGCAGCAGCCCCTCCCCCCTCCACATTGAACCCCACGTCGGGGTCACTACTCAATGCAGTGGATGGAGGCCCCTCACATTTCTTGGCCTCAGCCACAGCTGCAGCACGTGCCCAGAGGTCAGAAGTGAGATATAACCAGAGATCCCAGACCTCCCGGACCAGATCCTGCCTCAAACGAAATGCCAGCTCCAGCTCCCACAGCTCTACGGAAGGCCTCCCGGAACTAAAGCGGAGGAGGGGGCCAGCCTCATCCCACTGCCAGCTGGCCCACAGTTCCTCAAAGACAGTGAGTGAGGACGGAGCTCAGGCTGTCTCTACGGGTCACCGCTGTGAAAAGAAGGCAGATACAGCACCAGGGCAGACACTCGCCCCCAGGGGTGGCTCCCCCAGATCCCAGGCCTCTAGGCCCCACATCAACAGTGCACTGCACGTTGAGGACAAGGCCATCTCGGACTGCAGACCCTCACGGCCTTCCCACACTTTGTCCTCACTTGCAACGGGGGCTTCGGGTGGGCCTCCCGTTTCTAAAGCACCCGCTATGGATGCACAGCAGGACAGACCCAAGTCCCAAGACTGCCTGGGCCTAGTGGCCCCCCTAGCATCTGCTGCAGAGGTCTCCTCTACAGCTCCCGTGTCTGGGAAGAAGCACAGACCACCAGGACCCCTGTTCTCCTCCTCAGATCCCCTTCCTGCCACCTCTTCCCACTCCCGGGACTCAGCCCAGGTCACCTCGCTGATTCCTGCCCCCTTCACAGCTGCAAGCAGGGATGCCAGCATGAGAAGAACAAGGCCTGGCACCTCCGCTCCTGCAGCTGCAGCAGCAGCCCCTCCCCCCTCCACATTGAACCCCACGTCGGGGTCACTACTCAATGCAGTGAATGGAGGCCCCTCACATTTCTTGGCCTCAGCCACAGCTGCAGCACGTGCCCAGAGGTCAGAAGTGAGATATAACCAGAGATCCCAGACCTCCCGGACCAGATCCTGCCTCCAAGGAAATGCCAGCTCCAGCTCCCACAGTTCTACGGAAGGCCTCCCGGAACTAAAGCGGAGGAGGGGGCCAGCCTCATGCCACTGCCAGCTGGCCCTCAGTTCCTCAAACACAGTGAGTGAGGACGGACCTCAGGCTGTCTCTTCGGGTCACACCCGCTGTCAAAAGGCAGATACAGCACCAGGGCAGACACTCGCCCCCAGGGGTGGCTCCCCCAGATCCCAGGCCTCTAGGCCCCACATCAACAGTGCACTGCACGTTGAGGGCAAGGCCATCTCGGACTGCAGACCCTCACGGCCTTCCCACACTTTGTCCTCACTTGCAACGGGGGCTTCGCGTGGGCCTCCCCTTTCTAAAGCACCCACTATGGATGCACAGCAGGACAGACCCAAGTCCCAAGACTGCCTAGGCCTAGTGGCCCCCCTAGCATCTGCTGCAGAGGTCTCCTCTACAGCTCCCGTGTCTGGGAAGAAGCACAGACCACCAGGACCCCTGTTCTCCTCCTCAGATCCCCTTCCTGCCACCTCTTCCCACTCCGGGGACTCAGCCCAGGACACCTCGCTGATTCCTGCCCCCCTCACACCTGCAAGCAGGGATGCCGGCGTGAGAAGAATGTTTTGTGTTCGAAATTGTTTGAGGGGTTTGGGTTTATTTTTGTTGGTTTTTTCTTTTTTGTTTTTGCTTACATGGGCATCCTTCAGCTTTTAATAATCTGAAAAGCTCTATTTACCCATTGTCAATGTGTATAAATTAATCTGAGTCAATTTTATACAATAAAAGGTGAACTTTTATGCATGAAACAATAATTTAACAAAAAATGTACCGGAAGAAGAATGTTCATTACAAATATAGGAAACATAAATATTACCAAATATTGGCAAGCACTAAAATGTTCAGAAATATAAGTCTACTACAGTTATAGCTCTCTCAAGCAAAAAAATAGCAGAGAAAAACTTAGTTTACCTTAGGGGCTATTTATTTTCTTAGGGATTTGTTAAAAGGTCAAATGGGGTCACACAGAATACTAAGAAGAGCTGTTCACCCAGGCCTCACTAAGAACTCTTCTTCATTCAGTAGCTATATAGTAACATGACAACTGCTCCTACGACCCAAAGAGGAACTACAGCAACTACTCTTTAGCATCTGTTGCTCCCAACTCTGCTTTGCAATTATATGACTCAAGCATTCTGGCTCCGTTAACTATTACTGCTGTTACTCCCAATTAAATTCCCTCTAAAAAATAAAAATTTTTAAAGCTCTAATTTAAGCTCTCTGCTGCCTCATGACTTCAATTCCATCAGAGTTATGCATTGTTTCCTCTGTACATCTTTGCTCTGCTTCCATTGCTAATTCCCTAGTAAAGTGTTGTATATTCAAAGTTCCAAAGAAACAGAATATCCAAGACATCACCAATCATCCAAAACACAGTGTAGGAGGCCACAGTTAAGAGAAGCAAGACCATTAGCTCTTTTTATAGGCTCGAGAACAACAGGATGCTTTGGTCCTGTATCAGCAGGACGCTTTTCGGGTAGATCCTACTGCCACCCTAGCTATGGGCACATGTCAGAGTCCCATGTAATAAAGGAGACAAAAGGAAACCACCACGAGTATAAACTAAGAAAAGTACTCCAAGGTTTCTAAGGATGGAGCTGTATAACTCACTTTGCCCCATTTGTTACTTCTCCACGGTACTTACCACCACCTATTACATATATTTTGTTTATAGTCAGTCTTCCCTCATTACAATGAAAGTTCCGTGAGGATAGGACTAGACAGTCAGCCCTCAGTATCCATGGAGGACTAGTTTCAGGATCTCCTGAGGATAACAAAGGATACTCAAGTCCCTGATATAAAATGACATAGTATTTGCACATCACCTTTGCACATCCTCCCATATACTTCATATCAACTCTAGATCACTCATAATATCCGATGTAAATGTCATGCAAATAGTTATTGTACTATATTGTGTAAGGAATAAGGACAAGAAAAAAGTCTGTACATGTTCAGTACAGACGCAATTTTTTTTCCCAATATTTCCAATCTTTGGTTGGCTTAACAGATGTAGAACCCAGGAATAAGTTCTGGTGTCCTATTGCATAGTAGGATGAGTATAGTTAACAATAACATATTATATATTTGAAAATAGCCAGAAGAGTAGATTTTGAATTTTCTCCCTACAGAAAAATCATTATGCAAATTACCCTGATTTGATCATTACACATTGAGTACATGTATTAAAACATCACATTGTACCCCATATATATGTACAATTATTATGTGTCAATAAAAATTTAATGTCAATATGTGAAATAAAATGAAAAAATAAAAATTTTTAAAGCTGTAATTATCTCCATCTGGTAGGAATATATATAATCTGAAATAAAAAATATATTTGTAATTGTTAGGACAAAATAGATTATACATTAAGTCTGCAAATTATAAATTATAAAATTCTCACAGAAACTGAAAAATTATTGATACTGTTAAATATTTAAAAAGCTGTCCTTGGAGAGAAAGAAACCTATCAGATTTACATCAACAAGTGTAATATATCAGCCTATTACCATCTGCTACAGACTGCATGATTGTGTTCCCTCAAAATTCATATGATAGGCCAGGCGCGGTGGCTCATGCCTGTAATCCCAGCACTTTGGGAGGCCGAGGTGGGTGGATCACGAGGTCAGGAGATCGAGATCATCCTGGCTAACATGGTAAAACCCCGTCTCTACTAAAAATACAAAAAAATTAGCCGGGCGCAGTGGCGGGCGCCTTAGTCCCAGCTACTGAGGAGGCTGACGCAGGAGAATGGCGTGAACCCAGGAGGCGGAGCTTGTAGAGAGCCGAGATTGTGCCACTGCACTCCAGCCTGGGTGACAGACAGAGCGAGACTCTGTCTCAAAAAAAAAAAAAAAAAAAATTCATATGATAAAGCCCTAACCCCCAAGGTGAGGATACTGGGAGGCGTGGCCTTTAGGAGAGAATTACGTTTAGATGAGGTCATGAGAATAGAGCCCCTATGGTGGCATTACTTCCTTTATAAGAAGAGACACTAGAGCTGCTTTTCTCCCTACCATGTGAGGATACTGAGAGAAGATGGCCATTTCCAATCTAGGAAGCAGGCCCTCTTTAAGAAACGTAATTTGCCAACACTTTGATCTTGCACTTCCAGTCTCCACAACTGTGAGAAATATCTGTTTTTTTTGTTTGTTTGTTTTTGTTTTTTTTGAGACAGAGTCTCATTCTGTCATCCAGGCTGGAGTACAGTGGTGCGATCATGGCTCACTGCAACCTCCGCCTCCCAGGTTCAAGCAATTCTCCCACCTCAGCCTCCCAAGTAGCTCAGACTACAGGCGTGCACCACCATGCCCAGCTAATTTTCGTAGAGACAAGGTTTTGCCATGCTGCCCAGGCTAGTCTCAAACTCCTGAGCTCAAGTTATCCACCTGCCTCGGCCTCCCAAAGTGTTAGGAATACAGGCATAAGCCACCATGCCGGGTCAAAATATCTACTGTTTAAGCTACCTAATTTATGGTATTCTGTTTTAGCAGCTGAAGCAGACTTTTTTTTTTTTTTTTTTTTTGAGATGGAGTCTCGCTCTGTCCCCCAGGCTGGAGTGCAGTGGCGCCAATCTCGGCTCACTGCAAACTCTGCCTCCCAGGTTCACGCCATTCTCCTGCCTCAGCCTCCTGAGTAGCTGGGACTGCAGGCGCCCGCCACCACGCCCGGCTAATTTTTTGTATTTTTAATAGAGATGGGGGTTCACCGTCTTAGTAAGGATGGTCTCGATCTCCTGACCTAATGATCTGCCCGCCTCGGCCTCCCAAAGTGCTGGGATTACAGGCGTGAGCCACCACGCCCGGCCAATTTTTATTTTATCTTATTTAAATAACCACATGTGGCTAGTGGCTAATGTATTGAACACTACAGCTGTAGACAATATGAAATAAATATAAAGCAGTCTCAACTTTGGAAAAACAGAAGACTCTTACTGCCTCATAATATAGACGAAAAATGAAATACTAAGTTAAGTAAAATGTTCTTTAAAGAACAAAAACAAAAGAAAACCTAATGAAAGCTATAAAAGTCCATTGGATAATAATGCTACCAGTACTAAGGAAGTACAGCCCCTAAAAGTGACTTGCAGTCACAAATATAAAAATGACTATTCAAGTGAACTCCTAAGGTAAAAATTTCTTATTCACCATGCTCCAAAATGGTCTGTAATATTCTTCAGAGATGGCATGGTGGGAGAGGCAAGTTGGCATCTCTGCCCAGAGAGAATACACAAGCAGAAAGTTCAACACCGCTTACCTGGTGAAACCCTACAAGCGTTTCCACTCCATACTCGCTCTGAATAATGGGATTGTGATGTCTTACACCAGTTCTCAAACTGGGCGGCCAGCTGCAGCTGAATCAACTCCAGGTGCCCGTAGTTGCGATACCAAGAGTAGTAGCTGTTCACACGGATCACATCCACATACAGAGCCTAGGACCAGAGCAGCAGAGCCCGTTCAGCAACCACAAGACCGCATGACTCAGTACTCACATGCTGTGGGGGCTCCTCTGACAGAGAAGGTAAGAAGGGGATGTAATCCCAGCACTCTGGGAGGCTGAGGCAGGAGGGTGGCTTGTGGCCAGGAGTTCGAGACCAGCCTGGGCAACACAGCAAGACCCCAGCTCTACAAAAAATAGTATCAAGAAAATTAGCACGGCACAGTGGCTCATGCCTGTAATCCCAGCACATTGGGAGGCCAAGGTGGGAGGATCACTTGAGCCCAGGAGTTTGAGACCAGCCTGGGCAACATCGTAGGACTCCATTTCTACAAAACAAAACAAAAAGCCTAGAACGGGAAGAGCTGCCTCTCGGGGCTGAGAACATCCAACTGCACCAATTTAGATCCTGAAATTACCCTGCCCCACAAGCAAAAAACATGGTCACAAAGTGGCCCAAAGGAGGCAGGCCTGTGATTGCACACTGACGCTCACGACGTGTGCAGCTGGGAAGGGCTGTGAGAGGCAGAGCAGCTGCCAACACGCAGTCCTCAGCCAAAACCCAGGGCCCCCGCCACTGGAACTGACTCCTCTCCAGGCAGCACTCCCAGCACTGGGCATCCCCTCACCTTGCCCTGGAGAAGCCCTCCCACCCAAGGGGCCAATGCAGTCATTCTCGCAGATAATCTTTTTTCGCTTTATTTGGAAGACAGAGTCTCGCTCTGTTGCCCAGGCTAGAATGGAGTGGCACAATAGTGCAACCTCTGCCTCCCACGATCAAGCGCAGGCGTGGTGGCATGTGCCTGTTATCCCAGCTACTTGGGAGGCTGAGGCAGGAGAATTGCTTGAACCTGGGAGGCGGAGGTTGCAGTGAGCTGAGACTGTGCCACTGCACTCCAGCCTGGGCAACACAGCAAGACTCCATCTTTTAAAAAAAAAAAAAAAAAAAAGAATGCTAGTATCAGCCAGGCACGGTGGCTCATGCCTGTAATCCCAGCACTTTAGGAGGCTAAGGCAGGAGGATCACTTGAGCTCAAGAGTTTGAGACTGGCCTGGGCAACATAGTGAGATCCCATCTCTACAAAAACATTTAAAATTAGCCGGGCACAGTGGTGTACACCCGGAGTCCCAGCTACTTGGAAGGCTGAGGCAAGAGGGTTGCTTAGGCCCAGGAATTCAAGGCTGCAGTGAGCTGTGATCACACCACTGCACTCCAGCCAGAGCAACAGAGTAAGACCTTGCCTTCACAAAAAAAAAAAAAAAAACTCAGGTTCCAACCCTGGAGTTACTAAATCAGGATCTCAGAATGCAGAGATCTGGCATTTCAATAAAACTTCCCCTGGAGATTCTGATCAGCCAGGTTTGGGCCAGATGAACTCTAAGCTCACTTAAACCTTTGACATTTTATGAGTCTATTAAATCGAGTACAAAAAATGCTGAGTCCAAACTGGGCAAACAAATCCCATCTCCCTATGCCCAGCCTCCTTAAATTCAGAAAGCCACACTGCCTAGAGAGTAAGCAGAGAGAGAATTGTCATTAACCCAAAGACCATCTTTGAAAACAGACTGGCTGCGGCTGAGTGCGGTGGCACACGCCTGTCACCCCAGCCCTCTGGAAGGCCGAGGCAGGAGGACCACTTGAGCCCAGGAGTTCGAGACCAGCCTGGGCAACATGGCAAGACCCTGTCTCTATCTTTCTAAGTAAAACAAAATAAAAAGCTCAGACTGGCAGCACATGGTTCTTTCCAGCTGTTCCCATGAGCAGGCTTCAGGACAAGCCCAGGCAAAGGCAGGGAGAAATGGGGTGGGGACCCCCAGGCTCACCCCCTTGTCTGCTGCGTAGGTGGAGTTGGTCACAAAGGTCACAGGCTGGGAGGGGTCCAAGGCTTTGGTGTGAGCAATCACCATCCTGTCCACAAAAGAGAGAAGACACAGGTTCCGTCAGTCCGGGAAAGGCTCAGACACCCTCCCATCCTCTCTGTCCCATCTTCCCCTGCCAGAACACAACTGGGGGCCAGGCATGATGGCTCACATCTGTAATCCCAGCACTTCAGGAGGCTGAGGCAGGCAGATCACTGAGGTCAGGAGTTCAAGAACAGCCTGGCCAACATGGCAAAACCCCATTTCTACTAAATATACAAAAATTAGCCAGGCTTAGTGGCACGCATCTGTAACTCCAGCTACTCGGGAGGCTGAGGCACAAGAATTGCTTGAACCCGGGAGGTGGAGGTTGCAGTGAGCCGAAATCACGCTACTGCACTCCAGCCTGGGCCACAGAGCAAGACCCTGCCCCAAAACAAACAAACAAACAAACAAACAAACAAACAAACAAACAAACAAAAAGAAAGAAAAGAAAAAAAAACAAAAAAAAAAACAAAGCACAGAGCCGCTGCTTTCTTCCCTAACTTGAGATGTATTTTACATAAGGGCACGTTCCTCTAGTCCTAGACCAAGCTCTCTAACAACACTCTTTCTCCCCCACCCCTGAATCCAATTCCCCCAGAGGCGTAGCCACCCTGCCAGGTACACAGAGCTGAGGTCACTGGACTGAACACTGCCAAAAATGAGGTTCACTTCCTGAAATAGCCCTTGAACACAGGAGTGAATGGGCTGTGGATTCAGGTGGAATATTTATTAATGCATCAAGCAAACAGGTAGTGCGAGGTGGGAGGTAGGCATGAGGCTGGGTGCTAGGTGCTCAGTAATGACTCAAATCTAAGTCCACAGGTCCTGGGCAGTGGGAGTGGAGATGCATGCACAGAAAAACGGTGCAAGCGCCAGGCGAGGTGGCTCACGCCTAGAACCCCAGCACTTTGGGAGGCTTACTTGAGACCAGGTGCTTGAGACCAGCCTGGGCAACATAGCAAGACCTTGTTTCTACAACAAATTTAAAAATTAGGGCCGGGCATGGTGGCTCAAGCCTGTGAGCACTTTGGGAGGCCAGGGCAGGTGGATCACGAGCTCAAGAGTTCGAGACCAGCCTGGCCAACATGGTGAAACCCCATCTCAACAAAAAATAAAGAAGAAAACTAGCTGGGCATGGTGGCGTGAGCCTGTAATCCCAGCTACTCGGGAGGGTGAGGCAGGAGAACTGTTTGTACCCAGGAGGTAGAGGATGCAGTGAGCCAAGATCGCAACACTGCTCTCCAGCCTGGGAGACAGAGCAAGACTCTGACTCGTGGGGAAAAAAAATATTAAAATTTAGCCTGGCAAGGCAGCGCACGTCTGTGGTCCCAGCTATTTGGGAGGCTGAGAGGGGAGGATCGCTTAAGCCCAGGAGGTCGAGATGGCAACGAGCTATGATTGCACCACTGCACTCCAGCCTGGGCAACAGAGTGAGACCCTGACTCTGAAAAACAAACAATGAAAGAAATGTTGCGAATGGAAATGACAAATGGTGGCAGGAATTGGGCACTCTATGAGACAACAGACACATCCCCGATTGGAGAGTCAGGGACAGGCTCTTAGAAGAAATGGCCTTTATGCTGAGTCAAGTTAACCAGGAGGGATGAAGGGAAGAGGCTCCCAACAGAGGGACCAGTCTGTGCTCAGAGCTCCCAGCATCTGCCCAAGGCCTCCACAGAACAGACTGTTGTGTTTTTGTTTTGTTTTGTTTTTTTGAGATACAGAGTCTCATTCTGTAGCCCAGGCTGGAATGCAGTGGCATTATCTCAGCTCACTGCAATCTCTGCCTCCTGGTTCACCTGAGGCGGTTCTCCTGCCTCAGCCTACCTAGTAGCTGGGATTACAGACGTCCACCACCATGCCCAGCTAATTTTTGTATTTTTAGTAGAGACAGGATTCACTACCTGTTGACCAGGCTGGTCTCGAACTCCTGACCTCAGGTGATCCACCCACCTCAGCCTCCCAAACTGCTGGGATTACAGGCGTGACCCACCGCATCCGGCCTAGACTGTTGTTGAAGCTGGTTTTCTTCTTCTTTCCTCAGTTCTTTTCTTTTACATCTTCCCCCCATCATTGCTCTGCCCATCCGAAGGCTGTGGCTGGCACAGGACAGAACAGAACCTCCTAGCCTCAAGTTCCAAACCCACACTCTCCAATAGCCAGGCTCTCAGATGGGAAGCTTCAAAGCCTTGTGACAGCCTGGCTGAACCTCTCCAGCCTGGGCGCTCCCTCCATTTCCTGCCCCGGAAACAGGCATCTCCTCTGGCCACCTCCCAAAGCCTGTCTGGAAGCCTCAGGCACCCGCTCCTGGAAGCCTGTACGATTCACAACAAAGGGCCTGTCCACCCAGTCGTGCTGAGCACACCCCTATTCCCCCGAGCTCTGAATTGTCCTCTGCCCAGGCTAGGACAACATCTCAGAGCCTTCTGCCTGCTGCAGACTCGGCTCAGCCCAAATCACTCCATGAAACTGGGGTGTGGCATCTGCCTCAAGGAGCATTTCTACAACCTCTGCTGCCTCTACCACAAATGAAACTGGCTCTCACCCACTGGCTCTCGGTGACGGGCACAGTGCGGAGCCCCACAGGGAGTGTGTAGAAGTCAAAGGCCCCAGTGACTTCTGTGCAGTCAGCCGCACCTATGACAGCCAAAGCGCCAGGTGTGAGCGCCCCGACAGCCTGAGCCCCATCTGGCCTGCCCTACAGCAGGAAGACCCCTCGTGCATGCACCCCAGAAGTCGCCTCTGGGCCTGCAGAGAAGCAGCAATCAGAGGCTCTGCCCTTCACTGGCTGGCCCTGGGACCTGCCCTTCAAAATCAGGCCTTCTCCTTGACCAGACGAGGTGGCTCATGCCTGGAATCCCTACACTTTGGGACGCTAAGGCAGGAGGATCACCTGAGTCCAGGAGTTCAAGACCAGCCTGGGCAACCTAGTAAGACCCCCAACTCTATAAAAAGGATTTTTTTTTTTTGAGACAGTCTCACTCTGTCACCCAGGATAGAGTGCAGTGGCATGATCTCAATTCACTGCAGCCCCTGCCTCCTGGGTTCAAGCAATTCCCCTGCCTCAGCCTCCCGAGTAGCTGGGATTACAGACGTGCACCATCATGCCCTGCAAATTTTCATATTTTAGTAGAGACGGGGTTTCACCATGTTGGCCAGGCTGGTCTCCAACTCCTGGCCTAAAGTGATCCGCCCGCGTCAGCCTCCCGAAGTGCTGGGATTACAGGCGTGAGCCACCATGCCCGGCCTACAAAAAAAATGTTTTTAATTAGCCAGGCATGGTGGCATGTGCCTGTAGTCCCAGCTACTCAGGAGGCCAAGGGAGGAGGATTGCAGCTCAAAGCTGCAGTGAGCTGTGATCAGGCCATTGCGTTCCAGCCTGGGTGACACAGTGAGACCATCACAAATAAATAAATAAATAAATAAATAAATAAATAAATAAATAAATAAAAAATCTGGGCCTCCCACCAAGGGTGGGAAACATCAGAAAGCTCAGAAAAGCTCAGAGGACCACACCTGCCCGTTCACCTGTCCTGGGCTCCTGCTGAAGCCAGGGCTACCAGATGGGAGCAAAAGACCTCCCTTAAGCAAGTCCCAAACCACCATTACCTCCCACGAGTACAGGTAGGCGGGGTGTTCGTGCATCAGGTACGGCCACCAGAGGTTGGCACCCAGCACCTTCAGCTGGCCCTGGGTCCCAGCCTGGTTGTCCACGACTTTGTTTTCTGATTTCAAAAGACACACTTCCAACTTGAACTGGTTACTGCACTTGACGGAGATCTGGTAATTCACCAGCCCTGCAGGAGGCAAGAGAGACCAGGGCTTAGGGAGGGACATGACCTGGGTCACACAAACAGGAATGCCCCACAATGACCACTCCCAGGCACTCTCATTTGCTTCTGTTGCTTTTTTTTTTTTTTTTTTTTTTTTTGAGATAGAATCTCGCTCTGTCACCCAGGCTGGAGTGCAGTGGCATGATCTGGACTCACTGAAACCTCTGCCTCCCAGGTTCAAGTGATTCTCCTGCCTCAGCCTCTGGAATAGCTGGGATTACAGGCACCTGCCACCACATCCAGCTAATTTTTGTATTGTTAGTAGAGACCGGGTTTCACCACATTAGCCAGGATGGTCTTGATCTCCTGACCTCGTGATCCGCCTGCCTCGGCCTCCCAAAGTGCTGGGATTACAGGCTTGAGCCACCGTGCCCGGCCCTGAACCAATGCGCCCGGCCCGCTTTTTTTTAATTTAATTTTTTAATTTTTTTTTTTTTTGAGATGGAGTCTCACTCTGTCACCCAGGCTGGAGTGTAGTGCTGCGATCCTGACTCACTGCAACCTCCACCTCTGGAGTTCAGGTGATTCTCCTGCCTCAGCCTTCCGAGTACCTGGGAATACAGGAATGCACCACCATGCCCGGCGAATTTTTGTATTTTTAGTAGAGACGGAGTTTTGCCATGTTGGCCAGGCTGGTCTCGAACTCCTGATCTCAGGTGACCCACCCGCCTCAGTCTCCCAATAGATTAGATATATTATTAACGAATTGCTTCCTTTAACACGCTATTCATTGAATTTTCCAGTAAACCACAATTACTAATTACTCCTGAAATCAGAAAAGAGGTTAAAAAGATTTTATAACAGTATCTTATGAAATCTACTACTTTCAAGTAATAGTAGTTGAATTACCAAAACCCGTCACTCAAGCCAATGACTACAATTAAGATATCAGTAATATTTCCTAGATAAATAAAGTCAATTAATTATATTTGCATCTGGGAAATAGAGAAAGTACATATAAGCCATGATTTTGAAGTCAAAAGAGAGAGAATATTTGGCAAGGAGGGGTGAGTTATAGTATGTAATTATAACATATAGTAGTTTTTTGTATGCTGGTAACTAATTTTAATTTCCTACATTTTTATGTAGATTTCTGCTATTCTTGTCCTATTTTCCTAATCACCTTTCTATATGGATGACTACATAAGTCTGAGAATACCAAAAGAGACAGACACAGAACCAATCGGATTCCTTTCTTCTTGAAGCTTCTGCACAGCAGAAGAAACTATCAACAGAGTGAACAGACAACCTACAGAATAGGAGAAAATTGTTGCAACAATGCATGTGACAAAGATCTAATGTCCAACACTGATAAGGAACTTAAACAAATTTACAAGAAAAAAAAAATCTCATTAGAAAGTGGGCAAAGGACATAAACAGACACTTCAAAAGAAGACACACATGCGGCCAACAAGCATATGAAAAAAAGCCCAATATCACTGATCATTAGAGAAATGCAAATCAAAACCACAATGGCATACCATCTCACACCAGTCAGAATGGTTATTATTAAAAAGTCAACGCCGGGCATGGTGGCTCACGCCTATAATCCCAGCACTTCAGGAGGCCAAGGCAGGCAGATCGCATGAGGTCAGGAGTTCCAGACCAGCCTGGACAACCTGGCGAAATCCCGTCTCTACTAAAAATACAAAAATTAGCCCAGCGTGGTGGCGGGCGCCTGTAATCCCAGCTACTCAGGATGCTGAGGCAGGAGAATCGCTTGAACCCGGGAGGCAGAGGTTGTAGTGAGCCGCGATCATGCCACTGCACTCTCCAGCTTAGGTGACAGAGCGAGACTCTGTCTCAAAAAAAAAAAAAAAAAAAAATATTTGAATTTTGTTTAAATCGCTAACACATACTGGGCATTTAATAACAAAAAAAAGGACATGAGATTGTGATCCTTAGGAGGGTTTGAGAGGCATTTCACTAGGGTTCAACATAGAGCAGTCTGAAACATACTGTAATAATTTAATCCAATGGCTCATCTACAGCACCTAAAAATATTACAGCAGATTCTCATTATTCAGTGTAGTTACGGTCTAGAAAGTTCCATGAACAAATAAAAAGTTAGGTTTCAGCAAGCTACTGGTCACATTTTTGTAAGCTTACCAACACCTACTTTTGTTGTATGTGTGCTTATTTAATATATATATTGTTGGCCAGGCACAGTGGCTAATGCCTGTAATCCCAGCACTTTGGGAAGCCAAGGCGGGCAGATCATTTGAGGTCTGGAGCTCGAGACCAGCCTGGCCAACGTGGTGAAACCCCGTCTCTACTAAAACTACAAAATATATATATATATATATATATATATATATATATATTAGCCAGGCATGGTGGCGCATGCCTGTAGACTTAGCTACTTGGGAGGCTAAGGCAGGGGAATCGCTTGAACCCAGGAGGCAGAGGTTGCAGTGAGCCAAGACTGCACCACTGCACTCCAGCCTGAGCAACAGAGTGAGACTCTATCTCAAAAAAAATAATAATAATTAATTAAATGAAGAATAAATAAATAATACACATTGTTCATTCATTAACACTGAACTCACAGCCAATGGCACTACAGCACTCACGCCTGAATGGAGTTTATTCAATGCATCTATTTCCTCTGTAAGACACATCACAGACTTCTTGGACTTGTGAATGCTAAGCAGCACTTCAGCACTATGCTTGGGGGTTAATTTAAATGGCAAAACAACCAACAAACAGTACAAAAACAGGAAAAGCATGGCATTAAATAGACCACAAAAAGGATACCTGACTATTGTATGAGAGCTGAAAAAGAAGGCAGAATATCATCCTGTTCAAACTCAAATTCTTTGACACTCTGCGCAAACACATGACTATGAAAGTGCTGTGAGTACTGATTTGGGGGTTACAAAAAATAGTAGGTGAGTTCACAAATACAAAAGCTGAAAACAAGGAGGATCGACTGTATTTTCGTAGACAATCTAATCTCAGAAGATTTCAATTCAGACAAAAATCATGAGAATTACTGTATTACGAAAGGGCACTAGATAGGGGGAAAAGAGTAAAAATCACAATTAAAACAAAGGTTCAAAATTCTGCAGCAACCATATCCAGTTACACTTTAATATGTTTGTGGCAGACTACATTATTGTTCCCAACTCATCACCCCTCCCTATATCTAAAACCTTTCCCCAAGACAATGCAGTTCCTCCTGCTAGAGATCAGGTATATTTATCTATACTATCAATGTTAGCCATGGACAAGGTATGTGCTTTGGCTGACTGAATGTTAGTGGACATGATAGAAGCAATGGCTTAAAATGTACTTCCAGAACTGGAGTTTCCTTGTGATTCTATCACTGTGACAAAAACACATTCTCAGGTAGTCCACTGATCCAAGGGGGAACAAACACACAGAAATCATACCTAGACTCTATCTGCAGCTTGCAGCCTCACCAAGCCAAGAACAGTCAACTCACGGATATGTTAGCAAAAATAAATGTTTTTCGTACCTTAAGTTTTATATAATTATTGACCTATAGTTAACTGATATACAATATACATTAATCTTAAAATATCATTATCCCATTAAAAATATTTACATTAAAAACTGAGACCACTTTCTTTCCTCCTTTTTTTTTTTTTTTTTTAAATTAAGAGACAGGGTGTCTCAATGTTGCCCAAGCTGGAGTTCAGTGGCTAGTGGCTATTCACAAGAACGATCATCGCACACTACCTCAAACTCCTGGGATCAAGCAATCCTCCTGCCTCAGCTTTCCAAGTCGCTGGGACTATAAGTGTGTACCACAGCATGTCAGCTCTCTCTCTCCTTCTTGACCTAAAGCCTAGCATAAAATTAGCTAAGTAGAATGTTTCCAAAGATGCCTGCATCAGTATCTCCCGTCCCACATAATTTCTGCTTGATTTTGCCATTCACCCATAAAATGGTGGGATCTACCTCCCCTCCTTGCAAATTTGAGCTGGCCCTCTGATCCTGTCTAAGATCTGAAGCCAGATATTAAGGTACTTCATTAATTTCCATGTTTGTCCTCCATGCAACCTAGCAATCAAGCCAGAAGTCAAAACATACTGACATAGTTTGGATGGGTCCCCACCTAAATCTCACCTTGCATTGTAATAATTCCCACGTGTCAAGGGTGGGGCCAGGTGCAGATAACTGAATCATGGGGATGGTTCCCCCCATACTGTTCTCGTGGTAGTGACTAAGTCTCATGAGATCTGATGGTTTTATAAATGGGAGCTCCCCTGCACATGCTCTCTCCTGCCTGCCACTATGTGAGACATGCTTTTGCACCTCCTTGCCTTCCACCATGATTGTGAGGCCTCCCCAGCCATGCAGAACTGTGAGTCAATTCAACCTCTTTCCTTTATAAATTACCCAGTCTCAGGTATGTCTTTATTTGCAGTGTGAGAACAGACTAATACAATAAGTTGATACCAGTAGAGTGGGGTGCTGCTGTAAAGATACCCGAACATGTGGAAGCAACTTTGGAAATGGGTAACAGGGAGAGGCTGGAACAGTTTGGAAGGCTCAGAAGAGGATAGGAAAATGTGGGAAAGTTTGGAACTTCCTAGAGACTTGTTGAATGGCTTTGACCAAAATGTTAATAGTGATATGGACAATAAGGTCCAGGCGGAGGTGGTCTCAGAGGGAGATGAGGAATTTGTTGGGAAATGGAGTAAAGTCACTCTTACTATGCAAAGACACTGCAGGCACTGTGCACCTGTGTTAGAAACGGGCATAAGATAGGCGGGAAAGAGTGAAAATAAGAATTTTTTTCTAGAGTTCCCTAGAGATCTGTGGAACTTTGAACTTGAGAGAGATGATTTAAGGTATCTGACAGAAGAAATTTCTAAGCAGCAAAGCATTCGAGAAGAAGCAGAGCATAAAAGTTCAGAAAATTTGTAGCCTGATGATGCAACAGAAAAGAAAAATCTATTTTCTCAGGAGACTGGGTTGTAGAAATTTGCATAAGTAATGAGGAGCCAAATGTTAATCACCAAGACAATGGGGCAAATGTCTCCAGGGCATGTTAGAGACCCTCACAGCAGACCCTCCCATCACAGGCCAGGAGGCTTAGAAGGAAAAATGCTCTTGTGAGTCCAGAACCCCCTGCTGTGTGCAGCCTAGGAACCTGGTGCCCTGCATCCCAGCTGCTCCTGCCATAGGTAAAAGGGGCCAAGGTACACCTCAGGCCATGGCTTCAGAGGGTGCAAGTTCCAAGCCTTTCAGGTTCTAGGTGGTGTTAAGCCTGCAGATGCACCGAAGTCAAGAATTAACGTTCATGAACCTCCGCCTAGATTTCAGAAGATGTATGAAAATGCCTGGAAATCCAGGCAAAAGTTTGCTGTGCGGGGCAGCGGGGGGCCCTCATGGATAACCTCTGCTAGGGCAGTGTCAAAGGGAAATATGGGGTTGGAGCCCCCACACAGAGTCCCCACTGGGGTACTGCCAAGCAGAGCTGTCACAAAAGGGCCACCATCCTCCAGACCCCAGAATGGTAGATCCACTGACAGCTTGCACTGTGTGCCTGGAAAAGCTGCAGACACTCAATGCAGCCAGAAGGGGGGGCTGTACCCTGCAAAGCCACAGGGGCGGGGCTGCCCAAGACCCTGGGAACCCACTTCTTGCATCACCTAGATGTGACACATGGAGTCAAAGGAGGTCATTTTGGAGCTCTAAGATTTGCCTGCTGGGTTTTGGACTTGCATGGGGCCTGTAGCTCTTTCGCTTTGGCCAATTTCTCCCGTTTGAAACGGGTGTATTTACCCAATGCCTGTATCCCTGTGTATCTAGAAAATAACTAACTTGCTTTTGGTTTTACAGGCTCACAGGTGGAAGGGACTTGCCTTGTCTCAGATGAGACTTTGGACTATGGAATTTTGAGTTAATGCTGAAATAAGAGTTTGGGGGACTTAGGGGAAGGCACGATTGCTTTTGAAATATGAGGACATGAGATTTGGGAGGGGCCGGGGAAGAATTATATGGTTTGGCTCTGTCCCCACCCAAATCTCATCTTGAATTGTAACAATTCCCATGTGTCAAGGGTGGGGCCAGGTGGAGATAACTGAATCATGGAGGCAGTTTCCCCCATGCTGTTCTCATGGTAGTGAATAAGTCTCATGAGGTCTGATGGTTTTATAAATGGATGTTCCCCTGCACATGCTCTCTCCTGCCCACCATGTCTGACTAAATTTTGTATTTTTACTAGAGACGGGGTTTCACTATGTTGGCCAGGCTGGCCTCCAACTCCTGATCTCGTGATCCGTCCACCCCGACCTCCCAAAGTGCTAGGATTATAGGCATAAGCCACCACACCCGGCCTCTTTTTTTTCTTTTTCTTTTTTTTATCTGGAGACTGAGTTTTGCACTCGTTGCCCAGGCTGGAGTGCAATGGTGCGATCTCAGCTCACTGCAGTCTCCACCTCAGCAGGAGAGCAGGAATCTTCAGTGATCCACGGGCAGATCTGCAGCCATTGTGGGCACCTGTTCCTCCCGCGACCTTTGTGCCCACGTCTCTCCCTCCAGTACCTATTGCACGACCCCCCCCACGTCCGCCTCCTGCCATTGCCAGCAAGTGCCTTGCGCGGGTACCTGGCTGCGCTTATTAATCCATTATGGTCGCTCTGTCACTGGTGCCATTATGTGCTCACATGCCCACTCCCTCAGGTTTAGAAGTCGCGTCGCCCGGCAACAGAACAATCTGCTGGCTTAGCCTTTGGCCAAGTTGGCAGCTGGACGAGGACGCTCAGAGCCCAGCTCTCGAGAGTTCAAGTATCCGACAGTTCCCCACTGCTCCCAGGAGCGGTTACCCGGGCACTCTGTGCCCCTCATTCCTGTTTGGGCCAAGGCCGAGGACCTGCGAGTAGGGCTCAGTTGCCTAGAGCCCCTTCAGCCCATCGCCCAGTTCACTTTGCTTGTGGGATCTCCCCGTTGCTCCTGCCCCTGGACTGAGTGGCAGGCCATCCTACAAACACCCGGACACTCAACATCAGTGGTGTCAAGACAACTCTAAGAAGGTTTTCCGTGATCCTGCAAGACCTGTGTTCCATCCTGGTGATTCTGTCTCCAATTTCACTGCACAGGTACCACAGTAAGCCAGTGCTGTGTGCTCCGAATTCCAGGGCATCCCCCAGCTCAGCCACTACACTGAGCACAAGGACTCTGTGGGGCCCAGGAGCAGGTAGTCACCCCTTTGGGGTCCTCAACACCCGGCTGTCCCCAGACTTGTGTCCAGGGAAGATAGTGTTGAGGGCCCTCAAGGAGAGCAGGGCAGGGATGCCTGAGCAGGACAAGGACCCCAGAGTCCAAGAAAATCCTGCTGATCAGAGAACGGTCCCCGAGGTCACCGGGGATGCACGGTCTGCATTTTGGCCCCTGCGGGACAATGGAGGCCTCTCTCCCTTTGTGCCCAGGCCCGGGCCTCTGCAGACAGACCTCGATGCCCAGAGCTCAGAAATCAGATATAACCAGACATCCCAGACATCCTGGACGAGCTCGAGCACAAAACGAAATGCCATCTCCAGCTCCTACAGCTCCACGGGAGGCTTGCCGGGGCTAAAGCAGAGGAGGGGACCAGCCTCATCCCGCTGCCAGCTGACCCTCAGTTACTCAAAGACAGTGAGTGAGGACAGGCCTCAGGCTGTCTCTTCGGGTCACACACGGTGTGAAAAGGCGGCAGATACAGCACCAGGGGAGACACTCGCCCCAAGGGGTGGCTCCCCCAGATCCCAGGCCTCTAGGCCCCGTAGACGCAAGATTCGCCTGCTGCCAAGCAGGCGAGGGGAGCCTTTGATGCTGCCACCTCCCTTAGAGCTGGGGTACCGGGTCACGGCGGAAGACCTGCACCTGGAAAAACAGGCAGCATTCCAGCGCATCAACAGTGCACTGCACGTTGAGGACAAGGCCATCTCGGACTGCAGACCCTCACGGCCTTCCCACACTTTGTCCTCACTTGCAACAGGGGCTTCGGGTGGGCCTCCCCTTTCTAAAGCACCCACTATGGATGCACAGCAGGACAGACCCAAGTCCCAAGACTGCCTGGGCCTAGTGGCCCCCCTAGCATCTGCTGCAGAGGTCCCCTCTACAGCTCCCGTGTCTGGGAAGAAGCACAGACCACCAGGACCCCTGTTCTCCTCCTCAGATACCCTTCCTGCCACCTCTTCCCACTCCCGGGACTCAGCCCAGGTCACCTCGATGATTCCTGCCCCCTTCACAGCTGCAAGCAGGGATGCCGGCATGAGAAGAACAAGGTCGGCTCCTGCAGCTGCCGCAGCAGCCCCTCCCCCCTCCACATTGAACCCCACGTCGGGGTCACTACTCAATGCAGTGGATGGAGGCCCCTCACATTTCTTGGCCTCAGCCACAGCTGCAGCACGTGCCCAGAGGTCAGAAGTGAGATATAACCAGAGATCCCAGACCTCCCGGACCAGATCCTGCCTCAAACGAAATGCCAGCTCCAGCTCCCACAGCTCTACGGAAGGCCTCCCGGAACTAAAGCGGAGGAGGGGGCCAGCCTCATCCCACTGCCAGCTGGCCCACAGTTCCTCAAAGACAGTGAGTGAGGACGGAGCTCAGGCTGTCTCTACGGGTCACCGCTGTGAAAAGAAGGCAGATACAGCACCAGGGCAGACACTCGCCCCCAGGGGTGGCTCCCCCAGATCCCAGGCCTCTAGGCCCCACATCAACAGTGCACTGCACGTTGAGGACAAGGCCATCTCGGACTGCAGACCCTCACGGCCTTCCCACACTTTGTCCTCACTTGCAACGGGGGCTTCGGGTGGGCCTCCCGTTTCTAAAGCACCCACTATGGATGCACAGCAGGACAGACCCAAGTCCCAAGACTGCCTGGGCCTAGTGGCCCCCCTAGCATCTGCTGCAGAGGTCTCCTCTACAGCTCCCGTGTCTGGGAAGAAGCACAGACCACCAGGACCCCTGTTCTCCTCCTCAGATCCCCTTCCTGCCACCTCTTCCCACTCCCGGGACTCAGCCCAGGTCACCTCGCTGATTCCTGCCCCCTTCACAGCTGCAAGCAGGGATGCCAGCATGAGAAGAACAAGGCCTGGCACCTCCGCTCCTGCAGCTGCAGCAGCAGCCCCTCCCCCCTCCACATTGAACCCCACGTCGGGGTCACTACTCAATGCAGTGAATGGAGGCCCCTCACATTTCTTGGCCTCAGCCACAGCTGCAGCACGTGCCCAGAGGTCAGAAGTGAGATATAACCAGAGATCCCAGACCTCCCGGACCAGATCCTGCCTCCAAGGAAATGCCAGCTCCAGCTCCCACAGTTCTACGGAAGGCCTCCCGGAACTAAAGCGGAGGAGGGGGCCAGCCTCATGCCACTGCCAGCTGGCCCTCAGTTCCTCAAACACAGTGAGTGAGGACGGACCTCAGGCTGTCTCTTCGGGTCACACCCGCTGTCAAAAGGCAGATACAGCACCAGGGCAGACACTCGCCCCCAGGGGTGGCTCCCCCAGATCCCAGGCCTCTAGGCCCCACATCAACAGTGCACTGCACGTTGAGGGCAAGGCCATCTCGGACTGCAGACCCTCACGGCCTTCCCACACTTTGTCCTCACTTGCAACGGGGGCTTCGCGTGGGCCTCCCCTTTCTAAAGCACCCACTATGGATGCACAGCAGGACAGACCCAAGTCCCAAGACTGCCTAGGCCTAGTGGCCCCCCTAGCATCTGCTGCAGAGGTCTCCTCTACAGCTCCCGTGTCTGGGAAGAAGCACAGACCACCAGGACCCCTGTTCTCCTCCTCAGATCCCCTTCCTGCCACCTCTTCCCACTCCGGGGACTCAGCCCAGGACACCTCGCTGATTCCTGCCCCCCTCACACCTGCAAGCAGGGATGCCGGCGTGAGAAGAATGTTTTGTGTTCGAAATTGTTTGAGGGGTTTGGGTTTATTTTTGTTGGTTTTTTCTTTTTTGTTTTTGCTTACATGGGCATCCTTCAGCTTTTAATAATCTGAAAAGCTCTATTTACCCATTGTCAATGTGTATAAATTAATCTGAGTCAATTTTATACAATAAAAGGTGAACTTTTATGCATGAAACAATAATTTAACAAAAAATGTACCGGAAGAAGAATGTTCATTACAAATATAGGAAACATAAATATTACCAAATATTGGCAAGCACTAAAATGTTCAGAAATATAAGTCTACTACAGTTATAGCTCTCTCAAGCAAAAAAATAGCAGAGAAAAACTTAGTTTACCTTAGGGGCTATTTATTTTCTTAGGGATTTGTTAAAAGGTCAAATGGGGTCACACAGAATACTAAGAAGAGCTGTTCACCCAGGCCTCACTAAGAACTCTTCTTCATTCAGTAGCTATATAGTAACATGACAACTGCTCCTACGACCCAAAGAGGAACTACAGCAACTACTCTTTAGCATCTGTTGCTCCCAACTCTGCTTTGCAATTATATGACTCAAGCATTCTGGCTCCGTTAACTATTACTGCTGTTACTCCCAATTAAATTCCCTCTAAAAAATAAAAATTTTTAAAGCTCTAATTTAAGCTCTCTGCTGCCTCATGACTTCAATTCCATCAGAGTTATGCATTGTTTCCTCTGTACATCTTTGCTCTGCTTCCATTGCTAATTCCCTAGTAAAGTGTTGTATATTCAAAGTTCCAAAGAAACAGAATATCCAAGACATCACCAATCATCCAAAACACAGTGTAGGAGGCCACAGTTAAGAGAAGCAAGACCATTAGCTCTTTTTATAGGCTCGAGAACAACAGGATGCTTTGGTCCTGTATCAGCAGGACGCTTTTCGGGTAGATCCTACTGCCACCCTAGCTATGGGCACATGTCAGAGTCCCATGTAATAAAGGAGACAAAAGGAAACCACCACGAGTATAAACTAAGAAAAGTACTCCAAGGTTTCTAAGGATGGAGCTGTATAACTCACTTTGCCCCATTTGTTACTTCTCCACGGTACTTACCACCACCTATTACATATATTTTGTTTATAGTCAGTCTTCCCTCATTACAATGAAAGTTCCGTGAGGATAGGACTAGACAGTCAGCCCTCAGTATCCATGGAGGACTAGTTTCAGGATCTCCTGAGGATAACAAAGGATACTCAAGTCCCTGATATAAAATGACATAGTATTTGCACATCACCTTTGCACATCCTCCCATATACTTCATATCAACTCTAGATCACTCATAATATCCGATGTAAATGTCATGCAAATAGTTATTGTACTATATTGTGTAAGGAATAAGGACAAGAAAAAAGTCTGTACATGTTCAGTACAGACGCAATTTTTTTTCCCAATATTTCCAATCTTTGGTTGGCTTAACAGATGTAGAACCCAGGAATAAGTTCTGGTGTCCTATTGCATAGTAGGATGAGTATAGTTAACAATAACATATTATATATTTGAAAATAGCCAGAAGAGTAGATTTTGAATTTTCTCCCTACAGAAAAATCATTATGCAAATTACCCTGATTTGATCATTACACATTGAGTACATGTATTAAAACATCACATTGTACCCCATATATATGTACAATTATTATGTGTCAATAAAAATTTAATGTCAATATGTGAAATAAAATGAAAAAATAAAAATTTTTAAAGCTGTAATTATCTCCATCTGGTAGGAATATATATAATCTGAAATAAAAAATATATTTGTAATTGTTAGGACAAAATAGATTATACATTAAGTCTGCAAATTATAAATTATAAAATTCTCACAGAAACTGAAAAATTATTGATACTGTTAAATATTTAAAAAGCTGTCCTTGGAGAGAAAGAAACCTATCAGATTTACATCAACAAGTGTAATATATCAGCCTATTACCATCTGCTACAGACTGCATGATTGTGTTCCCTCAAAATTCATATGATAGGCCAGGCGCGGTGGCTCATGCCTGTAATCCCAGCACTTTGGGAGGCCGAGGTGGGTGGATCACGAGGTCAGGAGATCGAGATCATCCTGGCTAACATGGTAAAACCCCGTCTCTACTAAAAATACAAAAAAATTAGCCGGGCGCAGTGGCGGGCGCCTTAGTCCCAGCTACTGAGGAGGCTGACGCAGGAGAATGGCGTGAACCCAGGAGGCGGAGCTTGTAGAGAGCCGAGATTGTGCCACTGCACTCCAGCCTGGGTGACAGACAGAGCGAGACTCTGTCTCAAAAAAAAAAAAAAAAAAAATTCATATGATAAAGCCCTAACCCCCAAGGTGAGGATACTGGGAGGCGTGGCCTTTAGGAGAGAATTACGTTTAGATGAGGTCATGAGAATAGAGCCCCTATGGTGGCATTACTTCCTTTATAAGAAGAGACACTAGAGCTGCTTTTCTCCCTACCATGTGAGGATACTGAGAGAAGATGGCCATTTCCAATCTAGGAAGCAGGCCCTCTTTAAGAAACGTAATTTGCCAACACTTTGATCTTGCACTTCCAGTCTCCACAACTGTGAGAAATATCTGTTTTTTTTGTTTGTTTGTTTTTGTTTTTTTTGAGACAGAGTCTCATTCTGTCATCCAGGCTGGAGTACAGTGGTGCGATCATGGCTCACTGCAACCTCCGCCTCCCAGGTTCAAGCAATTCTCCCACCTCAGCCTCCCAAGTAGCTCAGACTACAGGCGTGCACCACCATGCCCAGCTAATTTTCGTAGAGACAAGGTTTTGCCATGCTGCCCAGGCTAGTCTCAAACTCCTGAGCTCAAGTTATCCACCTGCCTCGGCCTCCCAAAGTGTTAGGAATACAGGCATAAGCCACCATGCCGGGTCAAAATATCTACTGTTTAAGCTACCTAATTTATGGTATTCTGTTTTAGCAGCTGAAGCAGACTTTTTTTTTTTTTTTTTTTTTGAGATGGAGTCTCGCTCTGTCCCCCAGGCTGGAGTGCAGTGGCGCCAATCTCGGCTCACTGCAAACTCTGCCTCCCAGGTTCACGCCATTCTCCTGCCTCAGCCTCCTGAGTAGCTGGGACTGCAGGCGCCCGCCACCACGCCCGGCTAATTTTTTGTATTTTTAATAGAGATGGGGGTTCACCGTCTTAGTAAGGATGGTCTCGATCTCCTGACCTAATGATCTGCCCGCCTCGGCCTCCCAAAGTGCTGGGATTACAGGCGTGAGCCACCACGCCCGGCCAATTTTTATTTTATCTTATTTAAATAACCACATGTGGCTAGTGGCTAATGTATTGAACACTACAGCTGTAGACAATATGAAATAAATATAAAGCAGTCTCAACTTTGGAAAAACAGAAGACTCTTACTGCCTCATAATATAGACGAAAAATGAAATACTAAGTTAAGTAAAATGTTCTTTAAAGAACAAAAACAAAAGAAAACCTAATGAAAGCTATAAAAGTCCATTGGATAATAATGCTACCAGTACTAAGGAAGTACAGCCCCTAAAAGTGACTTGCAGTCACAAATATAAAAATGACTATTCAAGTGAACTCCTAAGGTAAAAATTTCTTATTCACCATGCTCCAAAATGGTCTGTAATATTCTTCAGAGATGGCATGGTGGGAGAGGCAAGTTGGCATCTCTGCCCAGAGAGAATACACAAGCAGAAAGTTCAACACCGCTTACCTGGTGAAACCCTACAAGCGTTTCCACTCCATACTCGCTCTGAATAATGGGATTGTGATGTCTTACACCAGTTCTCAAACTGGGCGGCCAGCTGCAGCTGAATCAACTCCAGGTGCCCGTAGTTGCGATACCAAGAGTAGTAGCTGTTCACACGGATCACATCCACATACAGAGCCTAGGACCAGAGCAGCAGAGCCCGTTCAGCAACCACAAGACCGCATGACTCAGTACTCACATGCTGTGGGGGCTCCTCTGACAGAGAAGGTAAGAAGGGGATGTAATCCCAGCACTCTGGGAGGCTGAGGCAGGAGGGTGGCTTGTGGCCAGGAGTTCGAGACCAGCCTGGGCAACACAGCAAGACCCCAGCTCTACAAAAAATAGTATCAAGAAAATTAGCACGGCACAGTGGCTCATGCCTGTAATCCCAGCACATTGGGAGGCCAAGGTGGGAGGATCACTTGAGCCCAGGAGTTTGAGACCAGCCTGGGCAACATCGTAGGACTCCATTTCTACAAAACAAAACAAAAAGCCTAGAACGGGAAGAGCTGCCTCTCGGGGCTGAGAACATCCAACTGCACCAATTTAGATCCTGAAATTACCCTGCCCCACAAGCAAAAAACATGGTCACAAAGTGGCCCAAAGGAGGCAGGCCTGTGATTGCACACTGACGCTCACGACGTGTGCAGCTGGGAAGGGCTGTGAGAGGCAGAGCAGCTGCCAACACGCAGTCCTCAGCCAAAACCCAGGGCCCCCGCCACTGGAACTGACTCCTCTCCAGGCAGCACTCCCAGCACTGGGCATCCCCTCACCTTGCCCTGGAGAAGCCCTCCCACCCAAGGGGCCAATGCAGTCATTCTCGCAGATAATCTTTTTTCGCTTTATTTGGAAGACAGAGTCTCGCTCTGTTGCCCAGGCTAGAATGGAGTGGCACAATAGTGCAACCTCTGCCTCCCACGATCAAGCGCAGGCGTGGTGGCATGTGCCTGTTATCCCAGCTACTTGGGAGGCTGAGGCAGGAGAATTGCTTGAACCTGGGAGGCGGAGGTTGCAGTGAGCTGAGACTGTGCCACTGCACTCCAGCCTGGGCAACACAGCAAGACTCCATCTTTTAAAAAAAAAAAAAAAAAAAAAGAATGCTAGTATCAGCCAGGCACGGTGGCTCATGCCTGTAATCCCAGCACTTTAGGAGGCTAAGGCAGGAGGATCACTTGAGCTCAAGAGTTTGAGACTGGCCTGGGCAACATAGTGAGATCCCATCTCTACAAAAACATTTAAAATTAGCCGGGCACAGTGGTGTACACCCGGAGTCCCAGCTACTTGGAAGGCTGAGGCAAGAGGGTTGCTTAGGCCCAGGAATTCAAGGCTGCAGTGAGCTGTGATCACACCACTGCACTCCAGCCAGAGCAACAGAGTAAGACCTTGCCTTCACAAAAAAAAAAAAAAAAACTCAGGTTCCAACCCTGGAGTTACTAAATCAGGATCTCAGAATGCAGAGATCTGGCATTTCAATAAAACTTCCCCTGGAGATTCTGATCAGCCAGGTTTGGGCCAGATGAACTCTAAGCTCACTTAAACCTTTGACATTTTATGAGTCTATTAAATCGAGTACAAAAAATGCTGAGTCCAAACTGGGCAAACAAATCCCATCTCCCTATGCCCAGCCTCCTTAAATTCAGAAAGCCACACTGCCTAGAGAGTAAGCAGAGAGAGAATTGTCATTAACCCAAAGACCATCTTTGAAAACAGACTGGCTGCGGCTGAGTGCGGTGGCACACGCCTGTCACCCCAGCCCTCTGGAAGGCCGAGGCAGGAGGACCACTTGAGCCCAGGAGTTCGAGACCAGCCTGGGCAACATGGCAAGACCCTGTCTCTATCTTTCTAAGTAAAACAAAATAAAAAGCTCAGACTGGCAGCACATGGTTCTTTCCAGCTGTTCCCATGAGCAGGCTTCAGGACAAGCCCAGGCAAAGGCAGGGAGAAATGGGGTGGGGACCCCCAGGCTCACCCCCTTGTCTGCTGCGTAGGTGGAGTTGGTCACAAAGGTCACAGGCTGGGAGGGGTCCAAGGCTTTGGTGTGAGCAATCACCATCCTGTCCACAAAAGAGAGAAGACACAGGTTCCGTCAGTCCGGGAAAGGCTCAGACACCCTCCCATCCTCTCTGTCCCATCTTCCCCTGCCAGAACACAACTGGGGGCCAGGCATGATGGCTCACATCTGTAATCCCAGCACTTCAGGAGGCTGAGGCAGGCAGATCACTGAGGTCAGGAGTTCAAGAACAGCCTGGCCAACATGGCAAAACCCCATTTCTACTAAATATACAAAAATTAGCCAGGCTTAGTGGCACGCATCTGTAACTCCAGCTACTCGGGAGGCTGAGGCACAAGAATTGCTTGAACCCGGGAGGTGGAGGTTGCAGTGAGCCGAAATCACGCTACTGCACTCCAGCCTGGGCCACAGAGCAAGACCCTGCCCCAAAACAAACAAACAAACAAACAAACAAACAAACAAACAAACAAACAAAAGAAAGAAAAGAAAAAAAAACAAAAAAAAAAACAAAGCACAGAGCCGCTGCTTTCTTCCCTAACTTGAGATGTATTTTACATAAGGGCACGTTCCTCTAGTCCTAGACCAAGCTCTCTAACAACACTCTTTCTCCCCCACCCCTGAATCCAATTCCCCCAGAGGCGTAGCCACCCTGCCAGGTACACAGAGCTGAGGTCACTGGACTGAACACTGCCAAAAATGAGGTTCACTTCCTGAAATAGCCCTTGAACACAGGAGTGAATGGGCTGTGGATTCAGGTGGAATATTTATTAATGCATCAAGCAAACAGGTAGTGCGAGGTGGGAGGTAGGCATGAGGCTGGGTGCTAGGTGCTCAGTAATGACTCAAATCTAAGTCCACAGGTCCTGGGCAGTGGGAGTGGAGATGCATGCACAGAAAAACGGTGCAAGCGCCAGGCGAGGTGGCTCACGCCTAGAACCCCAGCACTTTGGGAGGCTTACTTGAGACCAGGTGCTTGAGACCAGCCTGGGCAACATAGCAAGACCTTGTTTCTACAACAAATTTAAAAATTAGGGCCGGGCATGGTGGCTCAAGCCTGTGAGCACTTTGGGAGGCCAGGGCAGGTGGATCACGAGCTCAAGAGTTCGAGACCAGCCTGGCCAACATGGTGAAACCCCATCTCAACAAAAAATAAAGAAGAAAACTAGCTGGGCATGGTGGCGTGAGCCTGTAATCCCAGCTACTCGGGAGGGTGAGGCAGGAGAACTGTTTGTACCCAGGAGGTAGAGGATGCAGTGAGCCAAGATCGCAACACTGCTCTCCAGCCTGGGAGACAGAGCAAGACTCTGACTCGTGGGGAAAAAAAATATTAAAATTTAGCCTGGCAAGGCAGCGCACGTCTGTGGTCCCAGCTATTTGGGAGGCTGAGAGGGGAGGATCGCTTAAGCCCAGGAGGTCGAGATGGCAACGAGCTATGATTGCACCACTGCACTCCAGCCTGGGCAACAGAGTGAGACCCTGACTCTGAAAAACAAACAATGAAAGAAATGTTGCGAATGGAAATGACAAATGGTGGCAGGAATTGGGCACTCTATGAGACAACAGACACATCCCCGATTGGAGAGTCAGGGACAGGCTCTTAGAAGAAATGGCCTTTATGCTGAGTCAAGTTAACCAGGAGGGATGAAGGGAAGAGGCTCCCAACAGAGGGACCAGTCTGTGCTCAGAGCTCCCAGCATCTGCCCAAGGCCTCCACAGAACAGACTGTTGTGTTTTTGTTTTGTTTTGTTTTTTTGAGATACAGAGTCTCATTCTGTAGCCCAGGCTGGAATGCAGTGGCATTATCTCAGCTCACTGCAATCTCTGCCTCCTGGTTCACCTGAGGCGGTTCTCCTGCCTCAGCCTACCTAGTAGCTGGGATTACAGACGTCCACCACCATGCCCAGCTAATTTTTGTATTTTTAGTAGAGACAGGATTCACTACCTGTTGACCAGGCTGGTCTCGAACTCCTGACCTCAGGTGATCCACCCACCTCAGCCTCCCAAACTGCTGGGATTACAGGCGTGACCCACCGCATCCGGCCTAGACTGTTGTTGAAGCTGGTTTTCTTCTTCTTTCCTCAGTTCTTTTCTTTTACATCTTCCCCCCATCATTGCTCTGCCCATCCGAAGGCTGTGGCTGGCACAGGACAGAACAGAACCTCCTAGCCTCAAGTTCCAAACCCACACTCTCCAATAGCCAGGCTCTCAGATGGGAAGCTTCAAAGCCTTGTGACAGCCTGGCTGAACCTCTCCAGCCTGGGCGCTCCCTCCATTTCCTGCCCCGGAAACAGGCATCTCCTCTGGCCACCTCCCAAAGCCTGTCTGGAAGCCTCAGGCACCCGCTCCTGGAAGCCTGTACGATTCACAACAAAGGGCCTGTCCACCCAGTCGTGCTGAGCACACCCCTATTCCCCCGAGCTCTGAATTGTCCTCTGCCCAGGCTAGGACAACATCTCAGAGCCTTCTGCCTGCTGCAGACTCGGCTCAGCCCAAATCACTCCATGAAACTGGGGTGTGGCATCTGCCTCAAGGAGCATTTCTACAACCTCTGCTGCCTCTACCACAAATGAAACTGGCTCTCACCCACTGGCTCTCGGTGACGGGCACAGTGCGGAGCCCCACAGGGAGTGTGTAGAAGTCAAAGGCCCCAGTGACTTCTGTGCAGTCAGCCGCACCTATGACAGCCAAAGCGCCAGGTGTGAGCGCCCCGACAGCCTGAGCCCCATCTGGCCTGCCCTACAGCAGGAAGACCCCTCGTGCATGCACCCCAGAAGTCGCCTCTGGGCCTGCAGAGAAGCAGCAATCAGAGGCTCTGCCCTTCACTGGCTGGCCCTGGGACCTGCCCTTCAAAATCAGGCCTTCTCCTTGACCAGACGAGGTGGCTCATGCCTGGAATCCCTACACTTTGGGACGCTAAGGCAGGAGGATCACCTGAGTCCAGGAGTTCAAGACCAGCCTGGGCAACCTAGTAAGACCCCCAACTCTATAAAAAGGATTTTTTTTTTTTGAGACAGTCTCACTCTGTCACCCAGGATAGAGTGCAGTGGCATGATCTCAATTCACTGCAGCCCCTGCCTCCTGGGTTCAAGCAATTCCCCTGCCTCAGCCTCCCGAGTAGCTGGGATTACAGACGTGCACCATCATGCCCTGCAAATTTTCATATTTTAGTAGAGACGGGGTTTCACCATGTTGGCCAGGCTGGTCTCCAACTCCTGGCCTAAAGTGATCCGCCCGCGTCAGCCTCCCGAAGTGCTGGGATTACAGGCGTGAGCCACCATGCCCGGCCTACAAAAAAAATGTTTTTAATTAGCCAGGCATGGTGGCATGTGCCTGTAGTCCCAGCTACTCAGGAGGCCAAGGGAGGAGGATTGCAGCTCAAAGCTGCAGTGAGCTGTGATCAGGCCATTGCGTTCCAGCCTGGGTGACACAGTGAGACCATCACAAATAAATAAATAAATAAATAAATAAATAAATAAATAAATAAAAAATCTGGGCCTCCCACCAAGGGTGGGAAACATCAGAAAGCTCAGAAAAGCTCAGAGGACCACACCTGCCCGTTCACCTGTCCTGGGCTCCTGCTGAAGCCAGGGCTACCAGATGGGAGCAAAAGACCTCCCTTAAGCAAGTCCCAAACCACCATTACCTCCCACGAGTACAGGTAGGCGGGGTGTTCGTGCATCAGGTACGGCCACCAGAGGTTGGCACCCAGCACCTTCAGCTGGCCCTGGGTCCCAGCCTGGTTGTCCACGACTTTGTTTTCTGATTTCAAAAGACACACTTCCAACTTGAACTGGTTACTGCACTTGACGGAGATCTGGTAATTCACCAGCCCTGCAGGAGGCAAGAGAGACCAGGGCTTAGGGAGGGACATGACCTGGGTCACACAAACAGGAATGCCCCACAATGACCACTCCCAGGCACTCTCATTTGCTTCTGTTGCTTTTTTTTTTTTTTTTTTTTTTTTGAGATAGAATCTCGCTCTGTCACCCAGGCTGGAGTGCAGTGGCATGATCTGGACTCACTGAAACCTCTGCCTCCCAGGTTCAAGTGATTCTCCTGCCTCAGCCTCTGGAATAGCTGGGATTACAGGCACCTGCCACCACATCCAGCTAATTTTTGTATTGTTAGTAGAGACCGGGTTTCACCACATTAGCCAGGATGGTCTTGATCTCCTGACCTCGTGATCCGCCTGCCTCGGCCTCCCAAAGTGCTGGGATTACAGGCTTGAGCCACCGTGCCCGGCCCTGAACCAATGCGCCCGGCCCGCTTTTTTTTAATTTAATTTTTTAATTTTTTTTTTTTTTTGAGATGGAGTCTCACTCTGTCACCCAGGCTGGAGTGTAGTGCTGCGATCCTGACTCACTGCAACCTCCACCTCTGGAGTTCAGGTGATTCTCCTGCCTCAGCCTTCCGAGTACCTGGGAATACAGGAATGCACCACCATGCCCGGCGAATTTTTGTATTTTTAGTAGAGACGGAGTTTTGCCATGTTGGCCAGGCTGGTCTCGAACTCCTGATCTCAGGTGACCCACCCGCCTCAGTCTCCCAATAGATTAGATATATTATTAACGAATTGCTTCCTTTAACACGCTATTCATTGAATTTTCCAGTAAACCACAATTACTAATTACTCCTGAAATCAGAAAAGAGGTTAAAAAGATTTTATAACAGTATCTTATGAAATCTACTACTTTCAAGTAATAGTAGTTGAATTACCAAAACCCGTCACTCAAGCCAATGACTACAATTAAGATATCAGTAATATTTCCTAGATAAATAAAGTCAATTAATTATATTTGCATCTGGGAAATAGAGAAAGTACATATAAGCCATGATTTTGAAGTCAAAAGAGAGAGAATATTTGGCAAGGAGGGGTGAGTTATAGTATGTAATTATAACATATAGTAGTTTTTTGTATGCTGGTAACTAATTTTAATTTCCTACATTTTTATGTAGATTTCTGCTATTCTTGTCCTATTTTCCTAATCACCTTTCTATATGGATGACTACATAAGTCTGAGAATACCAAAAGAGACAGACACAGAACCAATCGGATTCCTTTCTTCTTGAAGCTTCTGCACAGCAGAAGAAACTATCAACAGAGTGAACAGACAACCTACAGAATAGGAGAAAATTGTTGCAACAATGCATGTGACAAAGATCTAATGTCCAACACTGATAAGGAACTTAAACAAATTTACAAGAAAAAAAAAATCTCATTAGAAAGTGGGCAAAGGACATAAACAGACACTTCAAAAGAAGACACACATGCGGCCAACAAGCATATGAAAAAAAGCCCAATATCACTGATCATTAGAGAAATGCAAATCAAAACCACAATGGCATACCATCTCACACCAGTCAGAATGGTTATTATTAAAAAGTCAACGCCGGGCATGGTGGCTCACGCCTATAATCCCAGCACTTCAGGAGGCCAAGGCAGGCAGATCGCATGAGGTCAGGAGTTCCAGACCAGCCTGGACAACCTGGCGAAATCCCGTCTCTACTAAAAATACAAAAATTAGCCCAGCGTGGTGGCGGGCGCCTGTAATCCCAGCTACTCAGGATGCTGAGGCAGGAGAATCGCTTGAACCCGGGAGGCAGAGGTTGTAGTGAGCCGCGATCATGCCACTGCACTCTCCAGCTTAGGTGACAGAGCGAGACTCTGTCTCAAAAAAAAAAAAAAAAAAAAATATTTGAATTTTGTTTAAATCGCTAACACATACTGGGCATTTAATAACAAAAAAAAGGACATGAGATTGTGATCCTTAGGAGGGTTTGAGAGGCATTTCACTAGGGTTCAACATAGAGCAGTCTGAAACATACTGTAATAATTTAATCCAATGGCTCATCTACAGCACCTAAAAATATTACAGCAGATTCTCATTATTCAGTGTAGTTACGGTCTAGAAAGTTCCATGAACAAATAAAAAGTTAGGTTTCAGCAAGCTACTGGTCACATTTTTGTAAGCTTACCAACACCTACTTTTGTTGTATGTGTGCTTATTTAATATATATATTGTTGGCCAGGCACAGTGGCTAATGCCTGTAATCCCAGCACTTTGGGAAGCCAAGGCGGGCAGATCATTTGAGGTCTGGAGCTCGAGACCAGCCTGGCCAACGTGGTGAAACCCCGTCTCTACTAAAACTACAAAATATATATATATATATATATATATATATATATTAGCCAGGCATGGTGGCGCATGCCTGTAGACTTAGCTACTTGGGAGGCTAAGGCAGGGGAATCGCTTGAACCCAGGAGGCAGAGGTTGCAGTGAGCCAAGACTGCACCACTGCACTCCAGCCTGAGCAACAGAGTGAGACTCTATCTCAAAAAAAATAATAATAATTAATTAAATGAAGAATAAATAAATAATACACATTGTTCATTCATTAACACTGAACTCACAGCCAATGGCACTACAGCACTCACGCCTGAATGGAGTTTATTCAATGCATCTATTTCCTCTGTAAGACACATCACAGACTTCTTGGACTTGTGAATGCTAAGCAGCACTTCAGCACTATGCTTGGGGGTTAATTTAAATGGCAAAACAACCAACAAACAGTACAAAAACAGGAAAAGCATGGCATTAAATAGACCACAAAAAGGATACCTGACTATTGTATGAGAGCTGAAAAAGAAGGCAGAATATCATCCTGTTCAAACTCAAATTCTTTGACACTCTGCGCAAACACATGACTATGAAAGTGCTGTGAGTACTGATTTGGGGGTTACAAAAAATAGTAGGTGAGTTCACAAATACAAAAGCTGAAAACAAGGAGGATCGACTGTATTTTCGTAGACAATCTAATCTCAGAAGATTTCAATTCAGACAAAAATCATGAGAATTACTGTATTACGAAAGGGCACTAGATAGGGGGAAAAGAGTAAAAATCACAATTAAAACAAAGGTTCAAAATTCTGCAGCAACCATATCCAGTTACACTTTAATATGTTTGTGGCAGACTACATTATTGTTCCCAACTCATCACCCCTCCCTATATCTAAAACCTTTCCCCAAGACAATGCAGTTCCTCCTGCTAGAGATCAGGTATATTTATCTATACTATCAATGTTAGCCATGGACAAGGTATGTGCTTTGGCTGACTGAATGTTAGTGGACATGATAGAAGCAATGGCTTAAAATGTACTTCCAGAACTGGAGTTTCCTTGTGATTCTATCACTGTGACAAAAACACATTCTCAGGTAGTCCACTGATCCAAGGGGGAACAAACACACAGAAATCATACCTAGACTCTATCTGCAGCTTGCAGCCTCACCAAGCCAAGAACAGTCAACTCACGGATATGTTAGCAAAAATAAATGTTTTTCGTACCTTAAGTTTTATATAATTATTGACCTATAGTTAACTGATATACAATATACATTAATCTTAAAATATCATTATCCCATTAAAAATATTTACATTAAAAACTGAGACCACTTTCTTTCCTCCTTTTTTTTTTTTTTTTTTTAAATTAAGAGACAGGGTGTCTCAATGTTGCCCAAGCTGGAGTTCAGTGGCTAGTGGCTATTCACAAGAACGATCATCGCACACTACCTCAAACTCCTGGGATCAAGCAATCCTCCTGCCTCAGCTTTCCAAGTCGCTGGGACTATAAGTGTGTACCACAGCATGTCAGCTCTCTCTCTCCTTCTTGACCTAAAGCCTAGCATAAAATTAGCTAAGTAGAATGTTTCCAAAGATGCCTGCATCAGTATCTCCCGTCCCACATAATTTCTGCTTGATTTTGCCATTCACCCATAAAATGGTGGGATCTACCTCCCCTCCTTGCAAATTTGAGCTGGCCCTCTGATCCTGTCTAAGATCTGAAGCCAGATATTAAGGTACTTCATTAATTTCCATGTTTGTCCTCCATGCAACCTAGCAATCAAGCCAGAAGTCAAAACATACTGACATAGTTTGGATGGGTCCCCACCTAAATCTCACCTTGCATTGTAATAATTCCCACGTGTCAAGGGTGGGGCCAGGTGCAGATAACTGAATCATGGGGATGGTTCCCCCCATACTGTTCTCGTGGTAGTGACTAAGTCTCATGAGATCTGATGGTTTTATAAATGGGAGCTCCCCTGCACATGCTCTCTCCTGCCTGCCACTATGTGAGACATGCTTTTGCACCTCCTTGCCTTCCACCATGATTGTGAGGCCTCCCCAGCCATGCAGAACTGTGAGTCAATTCAACCTCTTTCCTTTATAAATTACCCAGTCTCAGGTATGTCTTTATTTGCAGTGTGAGAACAGACTAATACAATAAGTTGATACCAGTAGAGTGGGGTGCTGCTGTAAAGATACCCGAACATGTGGAAGCAACTTTGGAAATGGGTAACAGGGAGAGGCTGGAACAGTTTGGAAGGCTCAGAAGAGGATAGGAAAATGTGGGAAAGTTTGGAACTTCCTAGAGACTTGTTGAATGGCTTTGACCAAAATGTTAATAGTGATATGGACAATAAGGTCCAGGCGGAGGTGGTCTCAGAGGGAGATGAGGAATTTGTTGGGAAATGGAGTAAAGTCACTCTTACTATGCAAAGACACTGCAGGCACTGTGCACCTGTGTTAGAAACGGGCATAAGATAGGCGGGAAAGAGTGAAAATAAGAATTTTTTTCTAGAGTTCCCTAGAGATCTGTGGAACTTTGAACTTGAGAGAGATGATTTAAGGTATCTGACAGAAGAAATTTCTAAGCAGCAAAGCATTCGAGAAGAAGCAGAGCATAAAAGTTCAGAAAATTTGTAGCCTGATGATGCAACAGAAAAGAAAAATCTATTTTCTCAGGAGACTGGGTTGTAGAAATTTGCATAAGTAATGAGGAGCCAAATGTTAATCACCAAGACAATGGGGCAAATGTCTCCAGGGCATGTTAGAGACCCTCACAGCAGACCCTCCCATCACAGGCCAGGAGGCTTAGAAGGAAAAATGCTCTTGTGAGTCCAGAACCCCCTGCTGTGTGCAGCCTAGGAACCTGGTGCCCTGCATCCCAGCTGCTCCTGCCATAGGTAAAAGGGGCCAAGGTACACCTCAGGCCATGGCTTCAGAGGGTGCAAGTTCCAAGCCTTTCAGGTTCTAGGTGGTGTTAAGCCTGCAGATGCACCGAAGTCAAGAATTAACGTTCATGAACCTCCGCCTAGATTTCAGAAGATGTATGAAAATGCCTGGAAATCCAGGCAAAAGTTTGCTGTGCGGGGCAGCGGGGGGCCCTCATGGATAACCTCTGCTAGGGCAGTGTCAAAGGGAAATATGGGGTTGGAGCCCCCACACAGAGTCCCCACTGGGGTACTGCCAAGCAGAGCTGTCACAAAAGGGCCACCATCCTCCAGACCCCAGAATGGTAGATCCACTGACAGCTTGCACTGTGTGCCTGGAAAAGCTGCAGACACTCAATGCAGCCAGAAGGGGGGGCTGTACCCTGCAAAGCCACAGGGGCGGGGCTGCCCAAGACCCTGGGAACCCACTTCTTGCATCACCTAGATGTGACACATGGAGTCAAAGGAGGTCATTTTGGAGCTCTAAGATTTGCCTGCTGGGTTTTGGACTTGCATGGGGCCTGTAGCTCTTTCGCTTTGGCCAATTTCTCCCGTTTGAAACGGGTGTATTTACCCAATGCCTGTATCCCTGTGTATCTAGAAAATAACTAACTTGCTTTTGGTTTTACAGGCTCACAGGTGGAAGGGACTTGCCTTGTCTCAGATGAGACTTTGGACTATGGAATTTTGAGTTAATGCTGAAATAAGAGTTTGGGGGACTTAGGGGAAGGCACGATTGCTTTTGAAATATGAGGACATGAGATTTGGGAGGGGCCGGGGAAGAATTATATGGTTTGGCTCTGTCCCCACCCAAATCTCATCTTGAATTGTAACAATTCCCATGTGTCAAGGGTGGGGCCAGGTGGAGATAACTGAATCATGGAGGCAGTTTCCCCCATGCTGTTCTCATGGTAGTGAATAAGTCTCATGAGGTCTGATGGTTTTATAAATGGATGTTCCCCTGCACATGCTCTCTCCTGCCCACCATGTCTGACTAAATTTTGTATTTTTACTAGAGACGGGGTTTCACTATGTTGGCCAGGCTGGCCTCCAACTCCTGATCTCGTGATCCGTCCACCCCGACCTCCCAAAGTGCTAGGATTATAGGCATAAGCCACCACACCCGGCCTCTTTTTTTTCTTTTTCTTTTTTTTATCTGGAGACTGAGTTTTGCACTCGTTGCCCAGGCTGGAGTGCAATGGTGCGATCTCAGCTCACTGCAGTCTCCACCTCAGCAGGAGAGCAGGAATCTTCAGTGATCCACGGGCAGATCTGCAGCCATTGTGGGCACCTGTTCCTCCCGCGACCTTTGTGCCCACGTCTCTCCCTCCAGTACCTATTGCACGACCCCCCCCACGTCCGCCTCCTGCCATTGCCAGCAAGTGCCTTGCGCGGGTACCTGGCTGCGCTTATTAATCCATTATGGTCGCTCTGTCACTGGTGCCATTATGTGCTCACATGCCCACTCCCTCAGGTTTAGAAGTCGCGTCGCCCGGCAACAGAACAATCTGCTGGCTTAGCCTTTGGCCAAGTTGGCAGCTGGACGAGGACGCTCAGAGCCCAGCTCTCGAGAGTTCAAGTATCCGACAGTTCCCCACTGCTCCCAGGAGCGGTTACCCGGGCACTCTGTGCCCCTCATTCCTGTTTGGGCCAAGGCCGAGGACCTGCGAGTAGGGCTCAGTTGCCTAGAGCCCCTTCAGCCCATCGCCCAGTTCACTTTGCTTGTGGGATCTCCCCGTTGCTCCTGCCCCTGGACTGAGTGGCAGGCCATCCTACAAACACCCGGACACTCAACATCAGTGGTGTCAAGACAACTCTAAGAAGGTTTTCCGTGATCCTGCAAGACCTGTGTTCCATCCTGGTGATTCTGTCTCCAATTTCACTGCACAGGTACCACAGTAAGCCAGTGCTGTGTGCTCCGAATTCCAGGGCATCCCCCAGCTCAGCCACTACACTGAGCACAAGGACTCTGTGGGGCCCAGGAGCAGGTAGTCACCCCTTTGGGGTCCTCAACACCCGGCTGTCCCCAGACTTGTGTCCAGGGAAGATAGTGTTGAGGGCCCTCAAGGAGAGCAGGGCAGGGATGCCTGAGCAGGACAAGGACCCCAGAGTCCAAGAAAATCCTGCTGATCAGAGAACGGTCCCCGAGGTCACCGGGGATGCACGGTCTGCATTTTGGCCCCTGCGGGACAATGGAGGCCTCTCTCCCTTTGTGCCCAGGCCCGGGCCTCTGCAGACAGACCTCGATGCCCAGAGCTCAGAAATCAGATATAACCAGACATCCCAGACATCCTGGACGAGCTCGAGCACAAAACGAAATGCCATCTCCAGCTCCTACAGCTCCACGGGAGGCTTGCCGGGGCTAAAGCAGAGGAGGGGACCAGCCTCATCCCGCTGCCAGCTGACCCTCAGTTACTCAAAGACAGTGAGTGAGGACAGGCCTCAGGCTGTCTCTTCGGGTCACACACGGTGTGAAAAGGCGGCAGATACAGCACCAGGGCAGACACTCGCCCCAAGGGGTGGCTCCCCCAGATCCCAGGCCTCTAGGCCCCGTAGACGCAAGATTCGCCTGCTGCCAAGCAGGCGAGGGGAGCCTTTGATGCTGCCACCTCCCTTAGAGCTGGGGTACCGGGTCACGGCGGAAGACCTGCACCTGGAAAAACAGGCAGCATTCCAGCGCATCAACAGTGCACTGCACGTTGAGGACAAGGCCATCTCGGACTGCAGACCCTCACGGCCTTCCCACACTTTGTCCTCACTTGCAACAGGGGCTTCGGGTGGGCCTCCCCTTTCTAAAGCACCCACTATGGATGCACAGCAGGACAGACCCAAGTCCCAAGACTGCCTGGGCCTAGTGGCCCCCCTAGCATCTGCTGCAGAGGTCTCCTCTACAGCTCCCGTGTCTGGGAAGAAGCAGAGACCACCAGGACCCCTGTTCTCCTCCTCAGATACCCTTCCTGCCACCTCTTCCCACTCCCGGGACTCAGCCCAGGTCACCTCGATGATTCCTGCCCCCTTCACAGCTGCAAGCAGGGATGCCGGCATGAGAAGAACAAGGTCGGCCCCTGCAGCTGCCGCAGCAGCCCCTCCCCCCTCCACATTGAACCCCACGTCGGGGTCACTACTCAATGCAGTGGATGGAGGCCCCTCACATTTCTTGGCCTCAGCCACAGCTGCAGCACGTGCCCAGAGGTCAGAAGTGAGATATAACCAGAGATCCCAGACCACCCGGACCAGATCCTGCCTCAAACGAAATGCCAGCTCCAGCTCCCACAGCTCTACGGAAGGCCTCCCGGAACTAAAGCGGAGGAGGGGGCCAGCCTCATCCCACTGCCAGCTGGCCCACAGTTCCTCAAAGACAGTGAGTGAGGACGGAGCTCAGGCTGTCTCTACGGGTCACCGCTGTGAAAAGAAGGCAGACACAGCACCAGGGCAGACACTCGCCCCCAGGGGTGGCTCCCCCAGATCCCAGGCCTCTAGGCCCCACATCAACAGTGCACTGCACGTTGAGGACAAGGCCATCTCGGACTGCAGACCCTCACGGCCTTCCCACACTTTGTCCTCACTTGCAACAGGGGCTTCGCGTGGGCCTCCCGTTTCTAAAGCACCCACTATGGATGCACAGCAGGACAGACCCAAGTCCCAAGACTGCCTGGGCCTAGTGGCCCCCCTAGCATCTGCTGCAGAGGTCCCCTCTACAGCTCCCGTGTCTGGGAAGAAGCACAGACCACCAGGACCCCTGTTCTCCTCCTCAGATACCCTTCCTGCCACCTCTTCCCACTCCCGGGACTCAGCCCAGGTCACCTCGATGATTCCTGCCCCCTTCACAGCTGCAAGCAGGGATGCCGGCATGAGAAGAACAAGGTCGGCTCCTGCAGCTGCCGCAGCAGCCCCTCCCCCCTCCACATTGAACCCCACGTCGGGGTCACTACTCAATGCAGTGGATGGAGGCCCCTCACATTTCTTGGCCTCAGCCACAGCTGCAGCACGTGCCCAGAGGTCAGAAGTGAGATATAACCAGAGATCCCAGACCTCCCGGACCAGATCCTGCCTCAAACGAAATGCCAGCTCCAGCTCCCACAGCTCTACGGAAGGCCTCCCGGAACTAAAGCGGAGGAGGGGGCCAGCCTCATCCCACTGCCAGCTGGCCCACAGTTCCTCAAAGACAGTGAGTGAGGACGGAGCTCAGGCTGTCTCTACGGGTCACCGCTGTGAAAAGAAGGCAGATACAGCACCAGGGCAGACACTCGCCCCCAGGGGTGGCTCCCCCAGATCCCAGGCCTCTAGGCCCCACATCAACAGTGCACTGCACGTTGAGGACAAGGCCATCTCGGACTGCAGACCCTCACGGCCTTCCCACACTTTGTCCTCACTTGCAACGGGGGCTTCGGGTGGGCCTCCCGTTTCTAAAGCACCCGCTATGGATGCACAGCAGGACAGACCCAAGTCCCAAGACTGCCTGGGCCTAGTGGCCCCCCTAGCATCTGCTGCAGAGGTCTCCTCTACAGCTCCCGTGTCTGGGAAGAAGCACAGACCACCAGGACCCCTGTTCTCCTCCTCAGATCCCCTTCCTGCCACCTCTTCCCACTCCCGGGACTCAGCCCAGGTCACCTCGCTGATTCCTGCCCCCTTCACAGCTGCAAGCAGGGATGCCAGCATGAGAAGAACAAGGCCTGGCACCTCCGCTCCTGCAGCTGCAGCAGCAGCCCCTCCCCCCTCCACATTGAACCCCACGTCGGGGTCACTACTCAATGCAGTGAATGGAGGCCCCTCACATTTCTTGGCCTCAGCCACAGCTGCAGCACGTGCCCAGAGGTCAGAAGTGAGATATAACCAGAGATCCCAGACCTCCCGGACCAGATCCTGCCTCCAAGGAAATGCCAGCTCCAGCTCCCACAGTTCTACGGAAGGCCTCCCGGAACTAAAGCGGAGGAGGGGGCCAGCCTCATGCCACTGCCAGCTGGCCCTCAGTTCCTCAAACACAGTGAGTGAGGACGGACCTCAGGCTGTCTCTTCGGGTCACACCCGCTGTCAAAAGGCAGATACAGCACCAGGGCAGACACTCGCCCCCAGGGGTGGCTCCCCCAGATCCCAGGCCTCTAGGCCCCACATCAACAGTGCACTGCACGTTGAGGGCAAGGCCATCTCGGACTGCAGACCCTCACGGCCTTCCCACACTTTGTCCTCACTTGCAACGGGGGCTTCGCGTGGGCCTCCCCTTTCTAAAGCACCCACTATGGATGCACAGCAGGACAGACCCAAGTCCCAAGACTGCCTAGGCCTAGTGGCCCCCCTAGCATCTGCTGCAGAGGTCTCCTCTACAGCTCCCGTGTCTGGGAAGAAGCACAGACCACCAGGACCCCTGTTCTCCTCCTCAGATCCCCTTCCTGCCACCTCTTCCCACTCCGGGGACTCAGCCCAGGACACCTCGCTGATTCCTGCCCCCCTCACACCTGCAAGCAGGGATGCCGGCGTGAGAAGAATGTTTTGTGTTCGAAATTGTTTGAGGGGTTTGGGTTTATTTTTGTTGGTTTTTTCTTTTTTGTTTTTGCTTACATGGGCATCCTTCAGCTTTTAATAATCTGAAAAGCTCTATTTACCCATTGTCAATGTGTATAAATTAATCTGAGTCAATTTTATACAATAAAAGGTGAACTTTTATGCATGAAACAATAATTTAACAAAAAATGTACCGGAAGAAGAATGTTCATTACAAATATAGGAAACATAAATATTACCAAATATTGGCAAGCACTAAAATGTTCAGAAATATAAGTCTACTACAGTTATAGCTCTCTCAAGCAAAAAAATAGCAGAGAAAAACTTAGTTTACCTTAGGGGCTATTTATTTTCTTAGGGATTTGTTAAAAGGTCAAATGGGGTCACACAGAATACTAAGAAGAGCTGTTCACCCAGGCCTCACTAAGAACTCTTCTTCATTCAGTAGCTATATAGTAACATGACAACTGCTCCTACGACCCAAAGAGGAACTACAGCAACTACTCTTTAGCATCTGTTGCTCCCAACTCTGCTTTGCAATTATATGACTCAAGCATTCTGGCTCCGTTAACTATTACTGCTGTTACTCCCAATTAAATTCCCTCTAAAAAATAAAAATTTTTAAAGCTCTAATTTAAGCTCTCTGCTGCCTCATGACTTCAATTCCATCAGAGTTATGCATTGTTTCCTCTGTACATCTTTGCTCTGCTTCCATTGCTAATTCCCTAGTAAAGTGTTGTATATTCAAAGTTCCAAAGAAACAGAATATCCAAGACATCACCAATCATCCAAAACACAGTGTAGGAGGCCACAGTTAAGAGAAGCAAGACCATTAGCTCTTTTTATAGGCTCGAGAACAACAGGATGCTTTGGTCCTGTATCAGCAGGACGCTTTTCGGGTAGATCCTACTGCCACCCTAGCTATGGGCACATGTCAGAGTCCCATGTAATAAAGGAGACAAAAGGAAACCACCACGAGTATAAACTAAGAAAAGTACTCCAAGGTTTCTAAGGATGGAGCTGTATAACTCACTTTGCCCCATTTGTTACTTCTCCACGGTACTTACCACCACCTATTACATATATTTTGTTTATAGTCAGTCTTCCCTCATTACAATGAAAGTTCCGTGAGGATAGGACTAGACAGTCAGCCCTCAGTATCCATGGAGGACTAGTTTCAGGATCTCCTGAGGATAACAAAGGATACTCAAGTCCCTGATATAAAATGACATAGTATTTGCACATCACCTTTGCACATCCTCCCATATACTTCATATCAACTCTAGATCACTCATAATATCCGATGTAAATGTCATGCAAATAGTTATTGTACTATATTGTGTAAGGAATAAGGACAAGAAAAAAGTCTGTACATGTTCAGTACAGACGCAATTTTTTTTCCCAATATTTCCAATCTTTGGTTGGCTTAACAGATGTAGAACCCAGGAATAAGTTCTGGTGTCCTATTGCATAGTAGGATGAGTATAGTTAACAATAACATATTATATATTTGAAAATAGCCAGAAGAGTAGATTTTGAATTTTCTCCCTACAGAAAAATCATTATGCAAATTACCCTGATTTGATCATTACACATTGAGTACATGTATTAAAACATCACATTGTACCCCATATATATGTACAATTATTATGTGTCAATAAAAATTTAATGTCAATATGTGAAATAAAATGAAAAAATAAAAATTTTTAAAGCTGTAATTATCTCCATCTGGTAGGAATATATATAATCTGAAATAAAAAATATATTTGTAATTGTTAGGACAAAATAGATTATACATTAAGTCTGCAAATTATAAATTATAAAATTCTCACAGAAACTGAAAAATTATTGATACTGTTAAATATTTAAAAAGCTGTCCTTGGAGAGAAAGAAACCTATCAGATTTACATCAACAAGTGTAATATATCAGCCTATTACCATCTGCTACAGACTGCATGATTGTGTTCCCTCAAAATTCATATGATAGGCCAGGCGCGGTGGCTCATGCCTGTAATCCCAGCACTTTGGGAGGCCGAGGTGGGTGGATCACGAGGTCAGGAGATCGAGATCATCCTGGCTAACATGGTAAAACCCCGTCTCTACTAAAAATACAAAAAAATTAGCCGGGCGCAGTGGCGGGCGCCTTAGTCCCAGCTACTGAGGAGGCTGACGCAGGAGAATGGCGTGAACCCAGGAGGCGGAGCTTGTAGAGAGCCGAGATTGTGCCACTGCACTCCAGCCTGGGTGACAGACAGAGCGAGACTCTGTCTCAAAAAAAAAAAAAAAAAAATTCATATGATAAAGCCCTAACCCCCAAGGTGAGGATACTGGGAGGCGTGGCCTTTAGGAGAGAATTACGTTTAGATGAGGTCATGAGAATAGAGCCCCTATGGTGGCATTACTTCCTTTATAAGAAGAGACACTAGAGCTGCTTTTCTCCCTACCATGTGAGGATACTGAGAGAAGATGGCCATTTCCAATCTAGGAAGCAGGCCCTCTTTAAGAAACGTAATTTGCCAACACTTTGATCTTGCACTTCCAGTCTCCACAACTGTGAGAAATATCTGTTTTTTTTGTTTGTTTGTTTTTGTTTTTTTTGAGACAGAGTCTCATTCTGTCATCCAGGCTGGAGTACAGTGGTGCGATCATGGCTCACTGCAACCTCCGCCTCCCAGGTTCAAGCAATTCTCCCACCTCAGCCTCCCAAGTAGCTCAGACTACAGGCGTGCACCACCATGCCCAGCTAATTTTCGTAGAGACAAGGTTTTGCCATGCTGCCCAGGCTAGTCTCAAACTCCTGAGCTCAAGTTATCCACCTGCCTCGGCCTCCCAAAGTGTTAGGAATACAGGCATAAGCCACCATGCCGGGTCAAAATATCTACTGTTTAAGCTACCTAATTTATGGTATTCTGTTTTAGCAGCTGAAGCAGACTTTTTTTTTTTTTTTTTTTTTGAGATGGAGTCTCGCTCTGTCCCCCAGGCTGGAGTGCAGTGGCGCCAATCTCGGCTCACTGCAAACTCTGCCTCCCAGGTTCACGCCATTCTCCTGCCTCAGCCTCCTGAGTAGCTGGGACTGCAGGCGCCCGCCACCACGCCCGGCTAATTTTTTGTATTTTTAATAGAGATGGGGGTTCACCGTCTTAGTAAGGATGGTCTCGATCTCCTGACCTAATGATCTGCCCGCCTCGGCCTCCCAAAGTGCTGGGATTACAGGCGTGAGCCACCACGCCCGGCCAATTTTTATTTTATCTTATTTAAATAACCACATGTGGCTAGTGGCTAATGTATTGAACACTACAGCTGTAGACAATATGAAATAAATATAAAGCAGTCTCAACTTTGGAAAAACAGAAGACTCTTACTGCCTCATAATATAGACGAAAAATGAAATACTAAGTTAAGTAAAATGTTCTTTAAAGAACAAAAACAAAAGAAAACCTAATGAAAGCTATAAAAGTCCATTGGATAATAATGCTACCAGTACTAAGGAAGTACAGCCCCTAAAAGTGACTTGCAGTCACAAATATAAAAATGACTATTCAAGTGAACTCCTAAGGTAAAAATTTCTTATTCACCATGCTCCAAAATGGTCTGTAATATTCTTCAGAGATGGCATGGTGGGAGAGGCAAGTTGGCATCTCTGCCCAGAGAGAATACACAAGCAGAAAGTTCAACACCGCTTACCTGGTGAAACCCTACAAGCGTTTCCACTCCATACTCGCTCTGAATAATGGGATTGTGATGTCTTACACCAGTTCTCAAACTGGGCGGCCAGCTGCAGCTGAATCAACTCCAGGTGCCCGTAGTTGCGATACCAAGAGTAGTAGCTGTTCACACGGATCACATCCACATACAGAGCCTAGGACCAGAGCAGCAGAGCCCGTTCAGCAACCACAAGACCGCATGACTCAGTACTCACATGCTGTGGGGGCTCCTCTGACAGAGAAGGTAAGAAGGGGATGTAATCCCAGCACTCTGGGAGGCTGAGGCAGGAGGGTGGCTTGTGGCCAGGAGTTCGAGACCAGCCTGGGCAACACAGCAAGACCCCAGCTCTACAAAAAATAGTATCAAGAAAATTAGCACGGCACAGTGGCTCATGCCTGTAATCCCAGCACATTGGGAGGCCAAGGTGGGAGGATCACTTGAGCCCAGGAGTTTGAGACCAGCCTGGGCAACATCGTAGGACTCCATTTCTACAAAACAAAACAAAAAGCCTAGAACGGGAAGAGCTGCCTCTCGGGGCTGAGAACATCCAACTGCACCAATTTAGATCCTGAAATTACCCTGCCCCACAAGCAAAAAACATGGTCACAAAGTGGCCCAAAGGAGGCAGGCCTGTGATTGCACACTGACGCTCACGACGTGTGCAGCTGGGAAGGGCTGTGAGAGGCAGAGCAGCTGCCAACACGCAGTCCTCAGCCAAAACCCAGGGCCCCCGCCACTGGAACTGACTCCTCTCCAGGCAGCACTCCCAGCACTGGGCATCCCCTCACCTTGCCCTGGAGAAGCCCTCCCACCCAAGGGGCCAATGCAGTCATTCTCGCAGATAATCTTTTTTCGCTTTATTTGGAAGACAGAGTCTCGCTCTGTTGCCCAGGCTAGAATGGAGTGGCACAATAGTGCAACCTCTGCCTCCCACGATCAAGCGCAGGCGTGGTGGCATGTGCCTGTTATCCCAGCTACTTGGGAGGCTGAGGCAGGAGAATTGCTTGAACCTGGGAGGCGGAGGTTGCAGTGAGCTGAGACTGTGCCACTGCACTCCAGCCTGGGCAACACAGCAAGACTCCATCTTTTAAAAAAAAAAAAAAAAAAAAGAATGCTAGTATCAGCCAGGCACGGTGGCTCATGCCTGTAATCCCAGCACTTTAGGAGGCTAAGGCAGGAGGATCACTTGAGCTCAAGAGTTTGAGACTGGCCTGGGCAACATAGTGAGATCCCATCTCTACAAAAACATTTAAAATTAGCCGGGCACAGTGGTGTACACCCGGAGTCCCAGCTACTTGGAAGGCTGAGGCAAGAGGGTTGCTTAGGCCCAGGAATTCAAGGCTGCAGTGAGCTGTGATCACACCACTGCACTCCAGCCAGAGCAACAGAGTAAGACCTTGCCTTCACAAAAAAAAAAAAAAAAAACTCAGGTTCCAACCCTGGAGTTACTAAATCAGGATCTCAGAATGCAGAGATCTGGCATTTCAATAAAACTTCCCCTGGAGATTCTGATCAGCCAGGTTTGGGCCAGATGAACTCTAAGCTCACTTAAACCTTTGACATTTTATGAGTCTATTAAATCGAGTACAAAAAATGCTGAGTCCAAACTGGGCAAACAAATCCCATCTCCCTATGCCCAGCCTCCTTAAATTCAGAAAGCCACACTGCCTAGAGAGTAAGCAGAGAGAGAATTGTCATTAACCCAAAGACCATCTTTGAAAACAGACTGGCTGCGGCTGAGTGCGGTGGCACACGCCTGTCACCCCAGCCCTCTGGAAGGCCGAGGCAGGAGGACCACTTGAGCCCAGGAGTTCGAGACCAGCCTGGGCAACATGGCAAGACCCTGTCTCTATCTTTCTAAGTAAAACAAAATAAAAAGCTCAGACTGGCAGCACATGGTTCTTTCCAGCTGTTCCCATGAGCAGGCTTCAGGACAAGCCCAGGCAAAGGCAGGGAGAAATGGGGTGGGGACCCCCAGGCTCACCCCCTTGTCTGCTGCGTAGGTGGAGTTGGTCACAAAGGTCACAGGCTGGGAGGGGTCCAAGGCTTTGGTGTGAGCAATCACCATCCTGTCCACAAAAGAGAGAAGACACAGGTTCCGTCAGTCCGGGAAAGGCTCAGACACCCTCCCATCCTCTCTGTCCCATCTTCCCCTGCCAGAACACAACTGGGGGCCAGGCATGATGGCTCACATCTGTAATCCCAGCACTTCAGGAGGCTGAGGCAGGCAGATCACTGAGGTCAGGAGTTCAAGAACAGCCTGGCCAACATGGCAAAACCCCATTTCTACTAAATATACAAAAATTAGCCAGGCTTAGTGGCACGCATCTGTAACTCCAGCTACTCGGGAGGCTGAGGCACAAGAATTGCTTGAACCCGGGAGGTGGAGGTTGCAGTGAGCCGAAATCACGCTACTGCACTCCAGCCTGGGCCACAGAGCAAGACCCTGCCCCAAAAAAACAAACAAACAAACAAACAAACAAACAAACAAACAAACAAACAGAAAGAAAAGAAAAAAAAACAAAAAAAAAAAACAAAGCACAGAGCCGCTGCTTTCTTCCCTAACTTGAGATGTATTTTACATAAGGGCACGTTCCTCTAGTCCTAGACCAAGCTCTCTAACAACACTCTTTCTCCCCCACCCCTGAATCCAATTCCCCCAGAGGCGTAGCCACCCTGCCAGGTACACAGAGCTGAGGTCACTGGACTGAACACTGCCAAAAATGAGGTTCACTTCCTGAAATAGCCCTTGAACACAGGAGTGAATGGGCTGTGGATTCAGGTGGAATATTTATTAATGCATCAAGCAAACAGGTAGTGCGAGGTGGGAGGCAGGCATGAGGCTGGGTGCTAGGTGCTCAGTAATGACTCAAATCTAAGTCCACAGGTCCTGGGCAGTGGGAGTGGAGATGCATGCACAGAAAAACGGTGCAAGCGCCAGGCGAGGTGGCTCACGCCTAGAACCCCAGCACTTTGGGAGGCTTACTTGAGACCAGGTGCTTGAGACCAGCCTGGGCAACATAGCAAGACCTTGTTTCTACAACAAATTTAAAAATTAGGGCCGGGCATGGTGGCTCAAGCCTGTGAGCACTTTGGGAGGCCAGGGCAGGTGGATCACGAGCTCAAGAGTTCGAGACCAGCCTGGCCAACATGGTGAAACCCCATCTCAACAAAAAATAAAGAAGAAAACTAGCTGGGCATGGTGGCGTGAGCCTGTAATCCCAGCTACTCGGGAGGGTGAGGCAGGAGAACTGTTTGTACCCAGGAGGTAGAGGATGCAGTGAGCCAAGATCGCAACACTGCTCTCCAGCCTGGGAGACAGAGCAAGACTCTGACTCGTGGGGAAAAAAAATATTAAAATTTAGCCTGGCAAGGCAGCGCACGTCTGTGGTCCCAGCTATTTGGGAGGCTGAGAGGGGAGGATCGCTTAAGCCCAGGAGGTCGAGATGGCAACGAGCTATGATTGCACCACTGCACTCCAGCCTGGGCAACAGAGTGAGACCCTGACTCTGAAAAACAAACAATGAAAGAAATGTTGCGAATGGAAATGACAAATGGTGGCAGGAATTGGGCACTCTATGAGACAACAGACACATCCCCGATTGGAGAGTCAGGGACAGGCTCTTAGAAGAAATGGCCTTTATGCTGAGTCAAGTTAACCAGGAGGGATGAAGGGAAGAGGCTCCCAACAGAGGGACCAGTCTGTGCTCAGAGCTCCCAGCATCTGCCCAAGGCCTCCACAGAACAGACTGTTGTGTTTTTGTTTTGTTTTGTTTTTTTGAGATACAGAGTCTCATTCTGTAGCCCAGGCTGGAATGCAGTGGCATTATCTCAGCTCACTGCAATCTCTGCCTCCTGGTTCACCTGAGGCGGTTCTCCTGCCTCAGCCTACCTAGTAGCTGGGATTACAGACGTCCACCACCATGCCCAGCTAATTTTTGTATTTTTAGTAGAGACAGGATTCACTACCTGTTGACCAGGCTGGTCTCGAACTCCTGACCTCAGGTGATCCACCCACCTCAGCCTCCCAAACTGCTGGGATTACAGGCGTGACCCACCGCATCCGGCCTAGACTGTTGTTGAAGCTGGTTTTCTTCTTCTTTCCTCAGTTCTTTTCTTTTACATCTTCCCCCCATCATTGCTCTGCCCATCCGAAGGCTGTGGCTGGCACAGGACAGAACAGAACCTCCTAGCCTCAAGTTCCAAACCCACACTCTCCAATAGCCAGGCTCTCAGATGGGAAGCTTCAAAGCCTTGTGACAGCCTGGCTGAACCTCTCCAGCCTGGGCGCTCCCTCCATTTCCTGCCCCGGAAACAGGCATCTCCTCTGGCCACCTCCCAAAGCCTGTCTGGAAGCCTCAGGCACCGGCTCCTGGAAGCCTGTACGATTCACAACAAAGGGCCTGTCCACCCAGTCGTGCTGAGCACACCCCTATTCCCCCGAGCTCTGAATTGTCCTCTGCCCAGGCTAGGACAACATCTCAGAGCCTTCTGCCTGCTGCAGACTCGGCTCAGCCCAAATCACTCCATGAAACTGGGGTGTGGCATCTGCCTCAAGGAGCATTTCTACAACCTCTGCTGCCTCTACCACAAATGAAACTGGCTCTCACCCACTGGCTCTCGGTGACGGGCACAGTGCGGAGCCCCACAGGGAGTGTGTAGAAGTCAAAGGCCCCAGTGACTTCTGTGCAGTCAGCCGCACCTATGACAGCCAAAGCGCCAGGTGTGAGCGCCCCGACAGCCTGAGCCCCATCTGGCCTGCCCTACAGCAGGAAGACCCCTCGTGCATGCACCCCAGAAGTCGCCTCTGGGCCTGCAGAGAAGCAGCAATCAGAGGCTCTGCCCTTCACTGGCTGGCCCTGGGACCTGCCCTTCAAAATCAGGCCTTCTCCTTGACCAGACGAGGTGGCTCATGCCTGGAATCCCTACACTTTGGGACGCTAAGGCAGGAGGATCACCTGAGTCCAGGAGTTCAAGACCAGCCTGGGCAACCTAGTAAGACCCCCAACTCTATAAAAAGGATTTTTTTTTTTTGAGACAGTCTCACTCTGTCACCCAGGATAGAGTGCAGTGGCATGATCTCAATTCACTGCAGCCCCTGCCTCCTGGGTTCAAGCAATTCCCCTGCCTCAGCCTCCCGAGTAGCTGGGATTACAGACGTGCACCATCATGCCCTGCAAATTTTCATATTTTAGTAGAGACGGGGTTTCACCATGTTGGCCAGGCTGGTCTCCAACTCCTGGCCTAAAGTGATCCGCCCGCGTCAGCCTCCCGAAGTGCTGGGATTACAGGCGTGAGCCACCATGCCCGGCCTACAAAAAAAATGTTTTTAATTAGCCAGGCATGGTGGCATGTGCCTGTAGTCCCAGCTACTCAGGAGGCCAAGGGAGGAGGATTGCAGCTCAAAGCTGCAGTGAGCTGTGATCAGGCCATTGCGTTCCAGCCTGGGTGACACAGTGAGACCATCACAAATAAATAAATAAATAAATAAATAAATAAATAAATAAATAAAAAATCTGGGCCTCCCACCAAGGGTGGGAAACATCAGAAAGCTCAGAAAAGCTCAGAGGACCACACCTGCCCGTTCACCTGTCCTGGGCTCCTGCTGAAGCCAGGGCTACCAGATGGGAGCAAAAGACCTCCCTTAAGCAAGTCCCAAACCACCATTACCTCCCACGAGTACAGGTAGGCGGGGTGTTCGTGCATCAGGTACGGCCACCAGAGGTTGGCACCCAGCACCTTCAGCTGGCCCTGGGTCCCAGCCTGGTTGTCCACGACTTTGTTTTCTGATTTCAAAAGACACACTTCCAACTTGAACTGGTTACTGCACTTGACGGAGATCTGGTAATTCACCAGCCCTGCAGGAGGCAAGAGAGACCAGGGCTTAGGGAGGGACATGACCTGGGTCACACAAACAGGAATGCCCCACAATGACCACTCCCAGGCACTCTCATTTGCTTCTGTTGCTTTTTTTTTTTTTTTTTTTTTTTGAGATAGAATCTCGCTCTGTCACCCAGGCTGGAGTGCAGTGGCATGATCTGGACTCACTGAAACCTCTGCCTCCCAGGTTCAAGTGATTCTCCTGCCTCAGCCTCTGGAATAGCTGGGATTACAGGCACCTGCCACCACATCCAGCTAATTTTTGTATTGTTAGTAGAGACCGGGTTTCACCACATTAGCCAGGATGGTCTTGATCTCCTGACCTCGTGATCCGCCTGCCTCGGCCTCCCAAAGTGCTGGGATTACAGGCTTGAGCCACCGTGCCCGGCCCTGAACCAATGCGCCCGGCCCGCTTTTTTTTAATTTAATTTTTTAATTTTTTTTTTTTTTGAGATGGAGTCTCACTCTGTCACCCAGGCTGGAGTGTAGTGCTGCGATCCTGACTCACTGCAACCTCCACCTCTGGAGTTCAGGTGATTCTCCTGCCTCAGCCTTCCGAGTACCTGGGAATACAGGAATGCACCACCATGCCCGGCGAATTTTTGTATTTTTAGTAGAGACGGAGTTTTGCCATGTTGGCCAGGCTGGTCTCGAACTCCTGATCTCAGGTGACCCACCCGCCTCAGTCTCCCAATAGATTAGATATATTATTAACGAATTGCTTCCTTTAACACGCTATTCATTGAATTTTCCAGTAAACCACAATTACTAATTACTCCTGAAATCAGAAAAGAGGTTAAAAAGATTTTATAACAGTATCTTATGAAATCTACTACTTTCAAGTAATAGTAGTTGAATTACCAAAACCCGTCACTCAAGCCAATGACTACAATTAAGATATCAGTAATATTTCCTAGATAAATAAAGTCAATTAATTATATTTGCATCTGGGAAATAGAGAAAGTACATATAAGCCATGATTTTGAAGTCAAAAGAGAGAGAATATTTGGCAAGGAGGGGTGAGTTATAGTATGTAATTATAACATATAGTAGTTTTTTGTATGCTGGTAACTAATTTTAATTTCCTACATTTTTATGTAGATTTCTGCTATTCTTGTCCTATTTTCCTAATCACCTTTCTATATGGATGACTACATAAGTCTGAGAATACCAAAAGAGACAGACACAGAACCAATCGGATTCCTTTCTTCTTGAAGCTTCTGCACAGCAGAAGAAACTATCAACAGAGTGAACAGACAACCTACAGAATAGGAGAAAATTGTTGCAACAATGCATGTGACAAAGATCTAATGTCCAACACTGATAAGGAACTTAAACAAATTTACAAGAAAAAAAAAATCTCATTAGAAAGTGGGCAAAGGACATAAACAGACACTTCAAAAGAAGACACACATGCGGCCAACAAGCATATGAAAAAAAGCCCAATATCACTGATCATTAGAGAAATGCAAATCAAAACCACAATGGCATACCATCTCACACCAGTCAGAATGGTTATTATTAAAAAGTCAACGCCGGGCATGGTGGCTCACGCCTATAATCCCAGCACTTCAGGAGGCCAAGGCAGGCAGATCGCATGAGGTCAGGAGTTCCAGACCAGCCTGGACAACCTGGCGAAATCCCGTCTCTACTAAAAATACAAAAATTAGCCCAGCGTGGTGGCGGGCGCCTGTAATCCCAGCTACTCAGGATGCTGAGGCAGGAGAATCGCTTGAACCCGGGAGGCAGAGGTTGTAGTGAGCCGCGATCATGCCACTGCACTCTCCAGCTTAGGTGACAGAGCGAGACTCTGTCTCAAAAAAAAAAAAAAAAAAAATATTTGAATTTTGTTTAAATCGCTAACACATACTGGGCATTTAATAACAAAAAAAAGGACATGAGATTGTGATCCTTAGGAGGGTTTGAGAGGCATTTCACTAGGGTTCAACATAGAGCAGTCTGAAACATACTGTAATAATTTAATCCAATGGCTCATCTACAGCACCTAAAAATATTACAGCAGATTCTCATTATTCAGTGTAGTTACGGTCTAGAAAGTTCCATGAACAAATAAAAAGTTAGGTTTCAGCAAGCTACTGGTCACATTTTTGTAAGCTTACCAACACCTACTTTTGTTGTATGTGTGCTTATTTAATATATATATTGTTGGCCAGGCACAGTGGCTAATGCCTGTAATCCCAGCACTTTGGGAAGCCAAGGCGGGCAGATCATTTGAGGTCTGGAGCTCGAGACCAGCCTGGCCAACGTGGTGAAACCCCGTCTCTACTAAAACTACAAAATATATATATATATATATATATATATTAGCCAGGCATGGTGGCGCATGCCTGTAGACTTAGCTACTTGGGAGGCTAAGGCAGGGGAATCGCTTGAACCCAGGAGGCAGAGGTTGCAGTGAGCCAAGACTGCACCACTGCACTCCAGCCTGAGCAACAGAGTGAGACTCTATCTCAAAAAAAATAATAATAATTAATTAAATGAAGAATAAATAAATAATACACATTGTTCATTCATTAACACTGAACTCACAGCCAATGGCACTACAGCACTCACGCCTGAATGGAGTTTATTCAATGCATCTATTTCCTCTGTAAGACACATCACAGACTTCTTGGACTTGTGAATGCTAAGCAGCACTTCAGCACTATGCTTGGGGGTTAATTTAAATGGCAAAACAACCAACAAACAGTACAAAAACAGGAAAAGCATGGCATTAAATAGACCACAAAAAGGATACCTGACTATTGTATGAGAGCTGAAAAAGAAGGCAGAATATCATCCTGTTCAAACTCAAATTCTTTGACACTCTGCGCAAACACATGACTATGAAAGTGCTGTGAGTACTGATTTGGGGGTTACAAAAAATAGTAGGTGAGTTCACAAATACAAAAGCTGAAAACAAGGAGGATCGACTGTATTTTCGTAGACAATCTAATCTCAGAAGATTTCAATTCAGACAAAAATCATGAGAATTACTGTATTACGAAAGGGCACTAGATAGGGGGAAAAGAGTAAAAATCACAATTAAAACAAAGGTTCAAAATTCTGCAGCAACCATATCCAGTTACACTTTAATATGTTTGTGGCAGACTACATTATTGTTCCCAACTCATCACCCCTCCCTATATCTAAAACCTTTCCCCAAGACAATGCAGTTCCTCCTGCTAGAGATCAGGTATATTTATCTATACTATCAATGTTAGCCATGGACAAGGTATGTGCTTTGGCTGACTGAATGTTAGTGGACATGATAGAAGCAATGGCTTAAAATGTACTTCCAGAACTGGAGTTTCCTTGTGATTCTATCACTGTGACAAAAACACATTCTCAGGTAGTCCACTGATCCAAGGGGGAACAAACACACAGAAATCATACCTAGACTCTATCTGCAGCTTGCAGCCTCACCAAGCCAAGAACAGTCAACTCACGGATATGTTAGCAAAAATAAATGTTTTTCGTACCTTAAGTTTTATATAATTATTGACCTATAGTTAACTGATATACAATATACATTAATCTTAAAATATCATTATCCCATTAAAAATATTTACATTAAAAACTGAGACCACTTTCTTTCCTCCTTTTTTTTTTTTTTTTTTTTTTTTTAAATTAAGAGACAGGGTGTCTCAATGTTGCCCAAGCTGGAGTTCAGTGGCTAGTGGCTATTCACAAGAACGATCATCGCACACTACCTCAAACTCCTGGGATCAAGCAATCCTCCTGCCTCAGCTTTCCAAGTCGCTGGGACTATAAGTGTGTACCACAGCATGTCAGCTCTCTCTCTCCTTCTTGACCTAAAGCCTAGCATAAAATTAGCTAAGTAGAATGTTTCCAAAGATGCCTGCATCAGTATCTCCCGTCCCACATAATTTCTGCTTGATTTTGCCATTCACCCATAAAATGGTGGGATCTACCTCCCCTCCTTGCAAATTTGAGCTGGCCCTCTGATCCTGTCTAAGATCTGAAGCCAGATATTAAGGTACTTCATTAATTTCCATGTTTGTCCTCCATGCAACCTAGCAATCAAGCCAGAAGTCAAAACATACTGACATAGTTTGGATGGGTCCCCACCTAAATCTCACCTTGCATTGTAATAATTCCCACGTGTCAAGGGTGGGGCCAGGTGCAGATAACTGAATCATGGGGATGGTTCCCCCCATACTGTTCTCGTGGTAGTGACTAAGTCTCATGAGATCTGATGGTTTTATAAATGGGAGCTCCCCTGCACATGCTCTCTCCTGCCTGCCACTATGTGAGACATGCTTTTGCACCTCCTTGCCTTCCACCATGATTGTGAGGCCTCCCCAGCCATGCAGAACTGTGAGTCAATTCAACCTCTTTCCTTTATAAATTACCCAGTCTCAGGTATGTCTTTATTTGCAGTGTGAGAACAGACTAATACAATAAGTTGATACCAGTAGAGTGGGGTGCTGCTGTAAAGATACCCGAACATGTGGAAGCAACTTTGGAAATGGGTAACAGGGAGAGGCTGGAACAGTTTGGAAGGCTCAGAAGAGGATAGGAAAATGTGGGAAAGTTTGGAACTTCCTAGAGACTTGTTGAATGGCTTTGACCAAAATGTTAATAGTGATATGGACAATAAGGTCCAGGCGGAGGTGGTCTCAGAGGGAGATGAGGAATTTGTTGGGAAATGGAGTAAAGTCACTCTTACTATGCAAAGACACTGCAGGCACTGTGCACCTGTGTTAGAAACGGGCATAAGATAGGCGGGAAAGAGTGAAAATAAGAATTTTTTTCTAGAGTTCCCTAGAGATCTGTGGAACTTTGAACTTGAGAGAGATGATTTAAGGTATCTGACAGAAGAAATTTCTAAGCAGCAAAGCATTCGAGAAGAAGCAGAGCATAAAAGTTCAGAAAATTTGTAGCCTGATGATGCAACAGAAAAGAAAAATCTATTTTCTCAGGAGACTGGGTTGTAGAAATTTGCATAAGTAATGAGGAGCCAAATGTTAATCACCAAGACAATGGGGCAAATGTCTCCAGGGCATGTTAGAGACCCTCACAGCAGACCCTCCCATCACAGGCCAGGAGGCTTAGAAGGAAAAATGCTCTTGTGAGTCCAGAACCCCCTGCTGTGTGCAGCCTAGGAACCTGGTGCCCTGCATCCCAGCTGCTCCTGCCATAGGTAAAAGGGGCCAAGGTACACCTCAGGCCATGGCTTCAGAGGGTGCAAGTTCCAAGCCTTTCAGGTTCTAGGTGGTGTTAAGCCTGCAGATGCACCGAAGTCAAGAATTAACGTTCATGAACCTCCGCCTAGATTTCAGAAGATGTATGAAAATGCCTGGAAATCCAGGCAAAAGTTTGCTGTGCGGGGCAGCGGGGGGCCCTCATGGATAACCTCTGCTAGGGCAGTGTCAAAGGGAAATATGGGGTTGGAGCCCCCACACAGAGTCCCCACTGGGGTACTGCCAAGCAGAGCTGTCACAAAAGGGCCACCATCCTCCAGACCCCAGAATGGTAGATCCACTGACAGCTTGCACTGTGTGCCTGGAAAAGCTGCAGACACTCAATGCAGCCAGAAGGGGGGGCTGTACCCTGCAAAGCCACAGGGGCGGGGCTGCCCAAGACCCTGGGAACCCACTTCTTGCATCACCTAGATGTGACACATGGAGTCAAAGGAGGTCATTTTGGAGCTCTAAGATTTGCCTGCTGGGTTTTGGACTTGCATGGGGCCTGTAGCTCTTTCGCTTTGGCCAATTTCTCCCGTTTGAAACGGGTGTATTTACCCAATGCCTGTATCCCTGTGTATCTAGAAAATAACTAACTTGCTTTTGGTTTTACAGGCTCACAGGTGGAAGGGACTTGCCTTGTCTCAGATGAGACTTTGGACTATGGAATTTTGAGTTAATGCTGAAATAAGAGTTTGGGGGACTTAGGGGAAGGCACGATTGCTTTTGAAATATGAGGACATGAGATTTGGGAGGGGCCGGGGAAGAATTATATGGTTTGGCTCTGTCCCCACCCAAATCTCATCTTGAATTGTAACAATTCCCATGTGTCAAGGGTGGGGCCAGGTGGAGATAACTGAATCATGGAGGCAGTTTCCCCCATGCTGTTCTCATGGTAGTGAATAAGTCTCATGAGGTCTGATGGTTTTATAAATGGATGTTCCCCTGCACATGCTCTCTCCTGCCCACCATGTCTGACTAAATTTTGTATTTTTACTAGAGACGGGGTTTCACTATGTTGGCCAGGCTGGCCTCCAACTCCTGATCTCGTGATCCGTCCACCCCGACCTCCCAAAGTGCTAGGATTATAGGCATAAGCCACCACACCCGGCCTCTTTTTTTTCTTTTTCTTTTTTTTATCTGGAGACTGAGTTTTGCACTCGTTGCCCAGGCTGGAGTGCAATGGTGCGATCTCAGCTCACTGCAGTCTCCACCTCAGCAGGAGAGCAGGAATCTTCAGTGATCCACGGGCAGATCTGCAGCCATTGTGGGCACCTGTTCCTCCCGCGACCTTTGTGCCCACGTCTCTCCCTCCAGTACCTATTGCACGACCCCCCCCACGTCCGCCTCCTGCCATTGCCAGCAAGTGCCTTGCGCGGGTACCTGGCTGCGCTTATTAATCCATTATGGTCGCTCTGTCACTGGTGCCATTATGTGCTCACATGCCCACTCCCTCAGGTTTAGAAGTCGCGTCGCCCGGCAACAGAACAATCTGCTGGCTTAGCCTTTGGCCAAGTTGGCAGCTGGACGAGGACGCTCAGAGCCCAGCTCTCGAGAGTTCAAGTATCCGACAGTTCCCCACTGCTCCCAGGAGCGGTTACCCGGGCACTCTGTGCCCCTCATTCCTGTTTGGGCCAAGGCCGAGGACCTGCGAGTAGGGCTCAGTTGCCTAGAGCCCCTTCAGCCCATCGCCCAGTTCACTTTGCTTGTGGGATCTCCCCGTTGCTCCTGCCCCTGGACTGAGTGGCAGGCCATCCTACAAACACCCGGACACTCAACATCAGTGGTGTCAAGACAACTCTAAGAAGGTTTTCCGTGATCCTGCAAGACCTGTGTTCCATCCTGGTGATTCTGTCTCCAATTTCACTGCACAGGTACCACAGTAAGCCAGTGCTGTGTGCTCCGAATTCCAGGGCATCCCCCAGCTCAGCCACTACACTGAGCACAAGGACTCTGTGGGGCCCAGGAGCAGGTAGTCACCCCTTTGGGGTCCTCAACACCCGGCTGTCCCCAGACTTGTGTCCAGGGAAGATAGTGTTGAGGGCCCTCAAGGAGAGCAGGGCAGGGATGCCTGAGCAGGACAAGGACCCCAGAGTCCAAGAAAATCCTGCTGATCAGAGAACGGTCCCCGAGGTCACCGGGGATGCACGGTCTGCATTTTGGCCCCTGCGGGACAATGGAGGCCTCTCTCCCTTTGTGCCCAGGCCCGGGCCTCTGCAGACAGACCTCGATGCCCAGAGCTCAGAAATCAGATATAACCAGACATCCCAGACATCCTGGACGAGCTCGAGCACAAAACGAAATGCCATCTCCAGCTCCTACAGCTCCACGGGAGGCTTGCCGGGGCTAAAGCAGAGGAGGGGACCAGCCTCATCCCGCTGCCAGCTGACCCTCAGTTACTCAAAGACAGTGAGTGAGGACAGGCCTCAGGCTGTCTCTTCGGGTCACACACGGTGTGAAAAGGCGGCAGATACAGCACCAGGGCAGACACTCGCCCCAAGGGGTGGCTCCCCCAGATCCCAGGCCTCTAGGCCCCGTAGACGCAAGATTCCCCTGCTGCCAAGCAGGCGAGGGGAGCCTTTGATGCTGCCACCTCCCTTAGAGCTGGGGTACCGGGTCACGGCGGAAGACCTGCACCTGGAAAAACAGGCAGCATTCCAGCGCATCAACAGTGCACTGCACGTTGAGGACAAGGCCATCTCGGACTGCAGACCCTCACGGCCTTCCCACACTTTGTCCTCACTTGCAACAGGGGCTTCGGGTGGGCCTCCCCTTTCTAAAGCACCCACTATGGATGCACAGCAGGACAGACCCAAGTCCCAAGACTGCCTGGGCCTAGTGGCCCCCCTAGCATCTGCTGCAGAGGTCTCCTCTACAGCTCCCGTGTCTGGGAAGAAGCAGAGACCACCAGGACCCCTGTTCTCCTCCTCAGATACCCTTCCTGCCACCTCTTCCCACTCCCGGGACTCAGCCCAGGTCACCTCGATGATTCCTGCCCCCTTCACAGCTGCAAGCAGGGATGCCGGCATGAGAAGAACAAGGTCGGCCCCTGCAGCTGCCGCAGCAGCCCCTCCCCCCTCCACATTGAACCCCACGTCGGGGTCACTACTCAATGCAGTGGATGGAGGCCCCTCACATTTCTTGGCCTCAGCCACAGCTGCAGCACGTGCCCAGAGGTCAGAAGTGAGATATAACCAGAGATCCCAGACCTCCCGGACCAGATCCTGCCTCAAACGAAATGCCAGCTCCAGCTCCCACAGCTCTACGGAAGGCCTCCCGGAACTAAAGCGGAGGAGGGGGCCAGCCTCATCCCACTGCCAGCTGGCCCACAGTTCCTCAAAGACAGTGAGTGAGGACGGAGCTCAGGCTGTCTCTACGGGTCACCGCTGTGAAAAGAAGGCAGATACAGCACCAGGGCAGACACTCGCCCCCAGGGGTGGCTCCCCCAGATCCCAGGCCTCTAGGCCCCACATCAACAGTGCACTGCACGTTGAGGACAAGGCCATCTCGGACTGCAGACCCTCACGGCCTTCCCACACTTTGTCCTCACTTGCAACGGGGGCTTCGGGTGGGCCTCCCGTTTCTAAAGCACCCACTATGGATGCACAGCAGGACAGACCCAAGTCCCAAGACTGCCTGGGCCTAGTGGCCCCCCTAGCATCTGCTGCAGAGGTCTCCTCTACAGCTCCCGTGTCTGGGAAGAAGCACAGACCACCAGGACCCCTGTTCTCCTCCTCAGATCCCCTTCCTGCCACCTCTTCCCACTCCCGGGACTCAGCCCAGGTCACCTCGCTGATTCCTGCCCCCTTCACAGCTGCAAGCAGGGATGCCAGCATGAGAAGAACAAGGCCTGGCACCTCCGCTCCTGCAGCTGCAGCAGCAGCCCCTCCCCCCTCCACATTGAACCCCACGTCGGGGTCACTACTCAATGCAGTGAATGGAGGCCCCTCACATTTCTTGGCCTCAGCCACAGCTGCAGCACGTGCCCAGAGGTCAGAAGTGAGATATAACCAGAGATCCCAGACCTCCCGGACCAGATCCTGCCTCCAAGGAAATGCCAGCTCCAGCTCCCACAGTTCTACGGAAGGCCTCCCGGAACTAAAGCGGAGGAGGGGGCCAGCCTCATGCCACTGCCAGCTGGCCCTCAGTTCCTCAAACACAGTGAGTGAGGACGGACCTCAGGCTGTCTCTTCGGGTCACACCCGCTGTCAAAAGGCAGATACAGCACCAGGGCAGACACTCGCCCCCAGGGGTGGCTCCCCCAGATCCCAGGCCTCTAGGCCCCACATCAACAGTGCACTGCACGTTGAGGGCAAGGCCATCTCGGACTGCAGACCCTCACGGCCTTCCCACACTTTGTCCTCACTTGCAACGGGGGCTTCGCGTGGGCCTCCCCTTTCTAAAGCACCCACTGTGGATGCACAGCAGGACAGACCCAAGTCCCAAGACTGCCTAGGCCTAGTGGCCCCCCTAGCATCTGCTGCAGAGGTCTCCTCTACAGCTCCCGTGTCTGGGAAGAAGCACAGACCACCAGGACCCCTGTTCTCCTCCTCAGATCCCCTTCCTGCCACCTCTTCCCACTCCGGGGACTCAGCCCAGGACACCTCGCTGATTCCTGCCCCCCTCACACCTGCAAGCAGGGATGCCGGCGTGAGAAGAATGTTTTGTGTTCGAAATTGTTTGAGGGGTTTGGGTTTATTTTTGTTGGTTTTTTCTTTTTTGTTTTTGCTTACATGGGCATCCTTCAGCTTTTAATAATCTGAAAAGCTCTATTTACCCATTGTCAATGTGTATAAATTAATCTGAGTCAATTTTATACAATAAAAGGTGAACTTTTATGCATGAAACAATAATTTAACAAAAAATGTACCGGAAGAAGAATGTTCATTACAAATATAGGAAACATAAATATTACCAAATATTGGCAAGCACTAAAATGTTCAGAAATATAAGTCTACTACAGTTATAGCTCTCTCAAGCAAAAAAATAGCAGAGAAAAACTTAGTTTACCTTAGGGGCTATTTATTTTCTTAGGGATTTGTTAAAAGGTCAAATGGGGTCACACAGAATACTAAGAAGAGCTGTTCACCCAGGCCTCACTAAGAACTCTTCTTCATTCAGTAGCTATATAGTAACATGACAACTGCTCCTACGACCCAAAGAGGAACTACAGCAACTACTCTTTAGCATCTGTTGCTCCCAACTCTGCTTTGCAATTATATGACTCAAGCATTCTGGCTCCGTTAACTATTACTGCTGTTACTCCCAATTAAATTCCCTCTAAAAAATAAAAATTTTTAAAGCTCTAATTTAAGCTCTCTGCTGCCTCATGACTTCAATTCCATCAGAGTTATGCATTGTTTCCTCTGTACATCTTTGCTCTGCTTCCATTGCTAATTCCCTAGTAAAGTGTTGTATATTCAAAGTTCCAAAGAAACAGAATATCCAAGACATCACCAATCATCCAAAACACAGTGTAGGAGGCCACAGTTAAGAGAAGCAAGACCATTAGCTCTTTTTATAGGCTCGAGAACAACAGGATGCTTTGGTCCTGTATCAGCAGGACGCTTTTCGGGTAGATCCTACTGCCACCCTAGCTATGGGCACATGTCAGAGTCCCATGTAATAAAGGAGACAAAAGGAAACCACCACGAGTATAAACTAAGAAAAGTACTCCAAGGTTTCTAAGGATGGAGCTGTATAACTCACTTTGCCCCATTTGTTACTTCTCCACGGTACTTACCACCACCTATTACATATATTTTGTTTATAGTCAGTCTTCCCTCATTACAATGAAAGTTCCGTGAGGATAGGACTAGACAGTCAGCCCTCAGTATCCATGGAGGACTAGTTTCAGGATCTCCTGAGGATAACAAAGGATACTCAAGTCCCTGATATAAAATGACATAGTATTTGCACATCACCTTTGCACATCCTCCCATATACTTCATATCAACTCTAGATCACTCATAATATCCGATGTAAATGTCATGCAAATAGTTATTGTACTATATTGTGTAAGGAATAAGGACAAGAAAAAAGTCTGTACATGTTCAGTACAGACGCAATTTTTTTTCCCAATATTTCCAATCTTTGGTTGGCTTAACAGATGTAGAACCCAGGAATAAGTTCTGGTGTCCTATTGCATAGTAGGATGAGTATAGTTAACAATAACATATTATATATTTGAAAATAGCCAGAAGAGTAGATTTTGAATTTTCTCCCTACAGAAAAATCATTATGCAAATTACCCTGATTTGATCATTACACATTGAGTACATGTATTAAAACATCACATTGTACCCCATATATATGTACAATTATTATGTGTCAATAAAAATTTAATGTCAATATGTGAAATAAAATGAAAAAATAAAAATTTTTAAAGCTGTAATTATCTCCATCTGGTAGGAATATATATAATCTGAAATAAAAAATATATTTGTAATTGTTAGGACAAAATAGATTATACATTAAGTCTGCAAATTATAAATTATAAAATTCTCACAGAAACTGAAAAATTATTGATACTGTTAAATATTTAAAAAGCTGTCCTTGGAGAGAAAGAAACCTATCAGATTTACATCAACAAGTGTAATATATCAGCCTATTACCATCTGCTACAGACTGCATGATTGTGTTCCCTCAAAATTCATATGATAGGCCAGGCGCGGTGGCTCATGCCTGTAATCCCAGCACTTTGGGAGGCCGAGGTGGGTGGATCACGAGGTCAGGAGATCGAGATCATCCTGGCTAACATGGTAAAACCCCGTCTCTACTAAAAATACAAAAAAATTAGCCGGGCGCAGTGGCGGGCGCCTTAGTCCCAGCTACTGAGGAGGCTGACGCAGGAGAATGGCGTGAACCCAGGAGGCGGAGCTTGTAGAGAGCCGAGATTGTGCCACTGCACTCCAGCCTGGGTGACAGACAGAGCGAGACTCTGTCTCAAAAAAAAAAAAAAAAAAAATTCATATGATAAAGCCCTAACCCCCAAGGTGAGGATACTGGGAGGCGTGGCCTTTAGGAGAGAATTACGTTTAGATGAGGTCATGAGAATAGAGCCCCTATGGTGGCATTACTTCCTTTATAAGAAGAGACACTAGAGCTGCTTTTCTCCCTACCATGTGAGGATACTGAGAGAAGATGGCCATTTCCAATCTAGGAAGCAGGCCCTCTTTAAGAAACGTAATTTGCCAACACTTTGATCTTGCACTTCCAGTCTCCACAACTGTGAGAAATATCTGTTTTTTTTGTTTGTTTGTTTTTGTTTTTTTTGAGACAGAGTCTCATTCTGTCATCCAGGCTGGAGTACAGTGGTGCGATCATGGCTCACTGCAACCTCCGCCTCCCAGGTTCAAGCAATTCTCCCACCTCAGCCTCCCAAGTAGCTCAGACTACAGGCGTGCACCACCATGCCCAGCTAATTTTCGTAGAGACAAGGTTTTGCCATGCTGCCCAGGCTAGTCTCAAACTCCTGAGCTCAAGTTATCCACCTGCCTCGGCCTCCCAAAGTGTTAGGAATACAGGCATAAGCCACCACGCCGGGTCAAAATATCTACTGTTTAAGCTACCTAATTTATGGTATTCTGTTTTAGCAGCTGAAGCAGACTAAGATACCATCCTATAAGCTACCTAATTTATGGTATTCTGTTTTAGCAGCTGAAGCAGACTAAGATACCATCCTATAAGCTACAGACCAGCACTATCCAATAGAACTTTATATGTCGAGGAAATGTTTTATATCTGTGCTATCCCTTATGTTAGCCACTAGTCACATGTATCCATCAAGTATTTGAAATATGGCTAGTGCAACTAAAGAACTTAATTTTTAATTTTTTTTTTTTTTTTTTTTTTTGAGATGGAGTCTCGCTCTGTCCCCCAGGCTGCAGTGCAGTGGCTCCATCTCGGCTCACTGCAAACTCTGCCTCCCAGGTTCACGCCATTCTCCTGCCTCAGCCTCCTGAGTAGCTGGGACTGCAGGCGCCCGCCACCACGCCTGGCTAATTTTTTGTATTTTTAATAGAGATGAGATCTCACCGTCTTAGTAAGGATGGTCTCGATCTCCTGACCTCATGATCTGCCCGCCTCGGCCTCCCAAAGTGCTGGGATTACAAGCGTGAGCCACCACGCCTGGCTAATTTTTATTTTATCGTATTTATATAACCATATGTGGCTAGTGGCTAATGTATTGAACACTACAGCTGTAGACAATATGAAATAAATATAAAGCAGTCTCAACTTTGGAAAAACAGAAGACTCTTACTGCCTCATAATATGGATGAAAAATGAAATACTAAGATAAGTAAAATGTTCTTTAAAGAACAAAAACAAAAGAAAACCTAATGAAAGCTATAAAAGTCCATTGGATAATAATGCTACCAGTACTAAGGAAGTACAGCCCCTAAAAGTGACTTGCAGTCACAAATATAAAAATGACTATTCAAGTGAACTCTTAAGGTAAAAATTTGTTATTCACCATGCTCCAAAATGGTCTGTAATATTCTTCAGAGATGGCATGGTAAAGTACGATACAAGGGTAATATTAACAGTATGCTGTCACAGGTGCCATTCTCCTAAAAAAGAAATCCCAAAATAAATATAAATGGAAAGCAAATAATTAAATACACTAAATACAGATTATTACAAAAATCCATAAGGAATTCTGGTGGAGAAACAACTTAATAATCAAAATCCCAAATATAAAATTTATCTATCAAAAATGAAAATGCTGACAGTTTCTTGCAAAAAAAATTTTATAAATTTTTTTAATATAAATAAATAAGAACATCTTTTTAAACAAAATCTTAGGCTGTTGAGTCCCGTTTATTTTCTACACCTCTAATTCCAAAGCTGAGAAACAAATGGATACTTCAGAAAAGAAAATAAATAACTCATGACAATTTGTCTTTTGGACACAGAATATAAAGGAAAAATAAAATTTATGTCTATCTGGCCAGACCTCAATTGAATTTTTCATCCTAGCTGGTTCCTAAATCCAAATCAGATACTTATCAATAAAACTGTTTTTCTGCACAGCTACTACTAGCTAGAAACCGCTTCTCCAAATTTATACTGACCATTTCTTCTAAAATATTGAAATTCTAGCTGATAGTTTTTAAAAAACCATTCTTAATGTACTGATTCCAGAGTACTAATTCCAATGGCCAAGAAAATTCAAAAAGATTTGGAGTGGTCTCTGAGATTAGAATGTGTGACAATGTGAAGCATTTCACTACAATGTCCAAGATTAAAGTGTCAAAGCAGATGAGGAAATGAAGCTCCCAAAACAGATGCCCATGAGAAAGGAGCCCAGAAAAGCAAAAGGGGCCACAGCCCAGGACCTTACAATAAAGAAAAGTGGCTCTGGCCCCACGGTATCCTTCCTGAAACACTGGGAAAAATTGAAGTCCTCAGCAAAATTCTGACCAGGATCCCAAATTTAAATGTAAGCTTGTAAGGAAAACACCTATGGACTTGTGTTTAATTTGTCCATCTAAGATATAAAATTACAAGTTTGACCAAATGTGCCAGTTGTCCACTTATTGTCTCTCAGCTCCGAATTCAACCTTTCATGTCTGCTCTGCAGAAATGAACTTGGACCCTTTAAACATTTTTCCTTTGCTAGCTGGCATGATGTTAGATTGACATTGTAAGAGGAGATTTTCCTCTTCTTTCCAAGAGTCTTGTGTGCTCCTCTTGGCAGGCTTCTGTACTGCAACACAGCTTCTCCAGTGTCCAGATCCAGAACCCATGCAGTTTGCTCCATTGTCAGGCCCCTGAAGTGCACAGCAGTCAGCAGCACCGAGTATCTTCCACCAGTACCTCCACAAGGCAGTATTATAGCAGAGTGATTCTGATGAGACAGATTTCTACCACAGCAACTTCTCTTCATTCAGTGAGCGACAGCCATGCCCCCTCAAACAGAGTCTGGATCTTAATCCCAGAGGCCCTGGACGTTGTATCTCAACCCCAGGGGTTGATGCTCCTTTTATCTGTTATTCTTATATTCCTTAGAGTTCTCTTTACTTTTTACTAGCCAATCCTTATTGCTCCAAAACCCTGTTATAGCTAGCAATTCTTCGTATTAATCTTTCCTTGTTCAAATTACATGTGATTTCTCTATTCTAATCAAACACTGACTGACACATCAAATTTCAGGCAATTAATCAAACTGAGAAAATTATAGGGCATTATGTCTAATTTGTTATTTTATATATTAGCAAACACATAAGATCTGATAATCAGAAAGTTCAGAGCGCTAAACCAAAGTCTCTAAAGAAATAATGGAAGGAATCAGTAACGGTCTTTGCTGTGACTTATTATTGTCTATTGGTTAGAATCTAACACAGCCATGTGAGGGTCCCTGGTATTATAACACACACAACACTGACAGCAATGCCCATGAATCTTATCTGGTGTTGACACAAAGGAACAATGCCCCGTGGACTTGGAAAGGACCGCAGCGCAAGCATCAGGGTGTCCTTGTATGACTGAATGACCTTCTTCCAAGGCTTCTGCGACCTCTTTCTGCACTCTGTCCCCATGCTGCTGCAGCCTCACTGTCTTGCTGGCTGTCTCATTGCATTAGAGAAATACATCTTTGACATATGCTCTGTATGTGTTTCTATGAAAGTCATATTTTTAACTTTTTAAAAATGATACTTGGACAGAAATTTGGCAAATATATATCAAGGTTCTCAAGTGAATATCTCTTCTCTGCAACAGGAATGTCGCTTCTAGAAATTTTCCCTCTGAATAAAATTAGATAGAAGTTGAGGCCAGGAGTGGTGGCTCATGCCTGTAATCCCAGCACTTTGGGAGGCCAAGGTGGGCGGATCATGAGGTCAGGAGATCGAGACTATCCTGGCTAACATGGTGAAACCCCGTCTCTACTAAAAACACAAAAAAAATTAGCCAGGTGTGGTGGCGGGCGCCTGTAATCTCAGCTACTCAGGAGGCTGAGGCAGGAGAATGGTGTGAACCTGGGAGGCGGAGCTTGCAGTGAGCCGAGATCATGCCACTGCACTCCAGCCTGGGCGACAGAGCAAGACTCTGTCTCAAAAAAAAAAAAAAAAAAAAAAAAAAAAAAAGAAGTGAAGAGACATCAGCAAGGAAGTTCAGGTGGCTTTGTCTTACAATGATAGTTTAAAAAAAAATGCCATTGGTTCTCAACCTAGGGTGATTTTGTCCTCCAGGGGACATTTGGCAATGTCTAGTGACAGTGTTGATTACCACAGCTAAGGGGAAGGGATGTTTCTGGCATCCAGTGGGCAGAGACCAGAATGTGAAGCCACATCCTGCAGTGTCCAGGGCAGTGTCTCTGAAAAGGATGGGCTAACCCAAACTGCCCATGGTACCGAGGCTGAGAAACCCTCACTTAACGTACCACTCTAGGGATTAGGAGGAATAAATTAAAGTGGAATGTTTCACAACCATTTTAATTATGATTAAAAAAAAAACTATGATATTGTCCATGTATATTCATGTTTAAGAGTTATTGTTAGGTAAAAAAATTATAAAATTATATTTGTGGTGTTCATATGATCAGAAAAAATACATTAATTAAAATTTCATATGTAAAGAATATTACATCTTTCATGTTTTCCATAGAATGAATACATTTTTGTATGTATGTGTATATACACAGAGAGGGAGAAAGACAAAGTAGCACATAAATAAAAATACATACATTTTATTACCTATTACAGTATTTATTCTTCTACACACTTCTCAGTTCATGTATATACGGGAGCTTTCTTACGTCCTGCACGGATGCCTGAGGTTCCACCACTAAGGAGTCTTGTCTCTAAGTGAAGAAGTCATTAAAGCTGTTTATGTAAAGCCTGTGTCTTGGAGACAGGGCGTTATCTCTTTATCAGTCACATGCATTGGATATGAAATTGCCGATTGGATTGGCTGGCATGCCTGTCACTCAGCACCGCCCTGGGACCAGACAGCTTTGGTGACCGAGCTGGAGAGGGGCTCCAGAGCTGGACTGACCCTGAGAAGGCTCCACCTCAGAGCAGCACAGGGAGGAGATGAGGCCCCACTGGTTTCCCTGGGGCCAGGCCTCATGTCAAATTGCAGAAACAGCCTGAGGACAGAGCCATGGAGAGCCAAGGAGAGGGCAGGCTTGTCCATTCCAACTTCCATCTCTGCCTCTGACCCACATCTGTGGAATCAGGGCGGTGAACCAGAAGCCTCTGGAGTTTCTCAGTGCTCTGATCCCGTGAATTCCTCCTCTGTCCCCGCGATTTCACAATGAATGGATGCTTCCCATTCTCACCAAGTGCCTGTTGAAACTTTCCTCAGCCTGACAACTTTCTTCTGTTACTTTCAAATGATCACAGGCTCCCAGGAGGAAAGTTTAGGTAAACCTCTCTTCAAGTGCTGCATCCCAGAAGTCCCAAAGAACTGTCTACCTATGAGGCGCTCTCAGGACCCGGGACGTGTGATCACGGTATCTGGGGATCAGCCAGCGCTGCGCCCTGGGGAGGAGGTGGCGCCGGGTTACTGGCTCCGGGCTGCGTCCCCTCGTCTGGGTCTGTGCTGTTCCTGCACTTCATAACGTAATTTTCCTCTTATTCCTTAAGGCTCAACAAGTCTTCTACTGCTCTCAGTCACTTTATCCTGGGAGTCGGATGTTTGCCTGGTTTTTTAGTGCAGGTGAATACCTACCCAAAATTGCTATGTGATTTTCAAAATGCTAAATTCCGTAGATTCTTTGAGACCAGTGACTTTCACTCTTTCAATCCATTTCCATTGGGTTGAACTGTGAAGTATCATGGGGAGAGAAAAGGACACCTTTGTAAACAGCAAAAAAAAAAAAAAAAAAAAAAAAAAAACAAAACAAAACAAGAAAAACCTCCACAATGTCTTGAACTTCACAGACTTGTGCAAGGTTGGAGCCAGTGTTCTTAACCCTGGCACTATTGACGTTTTAGGCTGGACAATTCTTTGTGGTCAGAGACTGTCCTCCCTGTGGAAGAGTATTTAGCAACGTCCCTAGGCTATACCTACCAGATGCCTGTAGCTCTGCCCTTAACCCCCACTACAGGGTGAAAAGTCAAAAATGTAAAAATGTCATATCTAGGGCAACACAGGGATCCATGTGCCCCGTTGAGCCTTCACTGTGAAGGTGCAGAAGGAGCCCAGAGCTCGTCTCTCTTCTGTGGAGATGGATGCCTCCTCTTGGTGGCCTGCAAGAATGTGGTTGATCCCAGACCATACGTCTGAAGAGTCATCAGTCCCATTGAGCAGCAGACCATAGCTGGGATGGTTTATAAAAACTGGTCCAGTACATGCATGCAAGTGTTACAAGTGATCATGTTTGTGGTAGAAATTGTGATAATTAGGAATGATAATATGTTCTTTGTATTCATTCATGCAACCTAAATTGTCTATGTTTATTCGTTTAGTAATTTTTTAAAAGCTCAAGAAATGGAAGAAATGAGAGAGATGTTTCATGTACTCTTAGGTGATGTGGCCAACACACCCTAAGGTCACCCCTCCCCGGTGATCTATGTTTTGGATAATCCACTCCCCTGAGCATAAAGGGGCTTGTGACATAATTCTAGATAATAGAATACAGCAAATGTGATGGTTACATCTGATGTGAGATTCTGCCTTAGCAAGTGGGGGCAAGAGAGACTCCCTCTTGCTGACTTGTGTAAGAAGGGCTGCCGTCCGTCCTATAGGAAGGACTGTGAGAGGCCATGTGGCAGGAACCATGGCAGCCCCTGGATGCTGAGAGTGGTCCCCCGCTGATAGGTTTGGCTGTGTCTCCACCCAAATCTCATCTTGAATTGTAGCTCCCATATTTCCCACATGTTGTGGGAACTGGTGGAAGATAATTGATTCACGGGGGCAGTTTCCCCCATACTGTTCTCATGGTAGTGAATAAGTCTCATGAGATCTGATGGTTTTATAAGGGGAAACCCCTTTTGCTTGGCTCTCATTCTCTCTTGCCTGCTGCCATGTAAGGTGGGCCTTTTGCCTTCCACCATGATGGTGAGGCCTCCCCAGCCACATGGAACTGTGAGTCCATTAAATCTCTTTTTTTTTTTAAAATAAAGTACCCAGTCTCAGGTATGTCTTGATCACTAGTGTGAAAATAGACTAATACACCAGCTGACTACCCCCCAAAAACAGGAACTTCAGTCCTACAACCACCAACAACCTGAGAGAGCCTCTGACAGGACCACAGCCCTGATTGAGCCCTGATTGTAGCCTGCTGAGACTCAGAGTGGAGGCCACAGCTGGTCTATGCCTGAACTTCTGACCTACTGAGAGCGGAGGTAACTGGTGTGTGATGTTTCGAGTCACTAGGCTGTGGTCATTTGTTATGCAGCCGCAGGTAACAAACACAGACAGCTTCCCTCTCCTTTGAAAACACATCAGCCAAATGCCTTTCATTATTGCAGCCACCTCTAGGCTAAGAGAATGTGAACCCTTGAGTATTCAGTATCTGCCAGATCAGAACTTACAGGATATTGAGTGGGACATGCAGCCTGGAAGAGCTGGAAGCTGACCTGCCTTGCCGCTCTGCCGCTCTGCCTTGATGGACTCCTATGGACACAAGCCAATGCCACACAGCACCAACACTGGACAGGGACACACTGTGATGGTGGGGGCGGGGGCAAGGCAAATCAATACCCCTCTGTAATCTGGCCTGGTCACAAACAAAAACAAGAACGTGGTCAATACCACAAATACGCCTAGGCAGCCCCCACCCCGGCTTATGTGAGCAGCTGCTGCTTTTACATCAATTGTAGCACCAGCCTCATTCCATTTCTCCCACCTTCCAGGACAATTAAGACATTCAACCACAGAATTACTCCCATTTCCAGACAGCACTCCATCTGAGCATGGCCTGTGTATCAGTCAGGGTTCTCTAAACGGACAGAACTAATAGGATAGATGTATATATGAAGGTGAGTTTATCAGGAGAATTGGCTCACATGATCACAAGGGGAAGTCTCACAATAGGCCGACTGCAAGCTGAGGAGCCAAGAAGCCAGTCTGAGTCCCAAACTTCAAAGGTAGGGAGGCTCACAGTGCAGCCTTCAGTCTGCGGCTAGAGGCCTGGGAGCCCCTGGCAAACCAATGGTGTAAGTCCAAGAGTCCAAAAAAAAAAAAAGCTGAAGAACTTGGAGTCTGACATTCGAGGGCAGGAAGCATCCAGCATGGGAGAAAGATGAAGGCTGGAACACTCAGCAAGTCTGCTCATTCCAACTTCTGCCTGCTTTATTTTAGCTGCTGTGGCAGCTGATTAGATGATGCCCACCCAGATTGAGGGTGGGTGTGCCTCTCCCAGTCCACTGATTAAAATGTTAATCTCCTTTGGCCACACTCTCACATATACACCCAGTAACAATCCTTTGCATCCTTCAATCCAATCAAGTTGACACTCAATATTAACCATCACAGCCTGTTTCCTTGACCCTCCCTAAGATCACCTTGTATAAGCCAAACCCTCCGAGTCTTTCCCAAGGCCCTTTCACTGCTGCTGCTGAGCTGCTGCTGGGTCCCAGTGGTGCACAGCCTTCCTTGTTGTGATGAGCCAGTTGATGGCCTCAACTTTGCTGGGCTACAGGTGTGTTCCTGGTGGCCTTTAGACGACATCATTGACAAGATTATGACCAAGATAATTTTGACGCATCCTAGTTTCAGCTTAAAATTTGGGAAAACATTCATTTAAAAATAACCCATACCAAGGTTTTCACAAAATACAATCAAAATCAGGGCATATTAGTAGGTAGCTCATATGTGTACCTGCTCGGTATGTGCTGTTGTCATTGATGTCTGGAATGAAGTAATGAATTAGAAAGTCTTCAAACGCCAAAGAATGATTTAATGAACTATATTTACATAGTGTATATAACACATATAACATAATTACTTTTTCCTAAAGATAAGAAATTATAATTGTGCATTTTAGAAAGATTTGGTTAAAAGAGGAGGAGGTATGAGGATTTTATCATGATTCCCAATTTCACAAGCATTTCTGTAAATTAGGAGCCTACTGTACTACCTAGAAATGGTGAATGGGTTTTTAACTTCAATTCCATCCATCACATCCCATCTAAATGCTCTGAGGTGGTAACAACAAACTGTGTCCTAGATCTTCTTCAAGCTGAAATGCTTTGGGATGATCGCATGTTCCAACAATGCCCCCTGGAGGCCAGTTGGCCAGGGCCAGTGGACACTTGTCCCCACAGAAGCAGGTCTGTGCCACTTCTCAGCTGTCAGGATTTGGATTTCCACCCTGATCCAGCTGCTGAACTGTCCCTACCACGTGTCCCTCACCCACTACCAGCCAGTGACTCCTACCTCATGCAATTTCCGGTGCTCACCTCTTGCTGTCCCCCACCTGGCCCTATCGTTTGTGTCCATGTTGCATTCAGTGCATGAGACACTGAGAGCGGTCCCCAGCTGACAGCCACCCATGATTCATTGACAGAAGAGAAAGGGAACACAGGGAAGAAATCTGTTACACCAGCGAGACAGAAGCCGCCCCTTTACAAAGGTGCATGGTGGGAAAGGCAGAGACATTCCAGCTGTACTGCAAAAAGACCACATTTTGAAAGATGGTTTCAAGGCCAGGCATGGTGGCTTATGCCTGTAATTCCAGCACTTTGGGAGGCCGAGGCAGGTGGATCACGAGGTCAGGAGTTCGAGGCCAGCCTGGGCAACATGGTGAAACCCCATCTCTACTAAAAATGCACAAATTAGCCGGGCGTGGTGGCAGGTGCCTGTAGTCCCAGCTTACTCTGGAGGCTGAGGCAGGAGAATGGCATGAACCCGGGAGGCAGAACCTGCAGTGAGTGGAGATGGCGCCACTGCACTCCAGCCTGGGCAACAGAGCAAGACTCCGTCTCAAAAAAAAAAAAAAAAAAAAAGAAAATAATGGGCCTGAAGCCAGGCGTGATGGTTAACACCTGTAATCCTTGCACTTTGAGAGGCCGAGGCGGGTGGCTTGCATGAGCTCAGGAGTTCGAGAGCAGCCTGGGCAATATGGTGAAACCCTGTCTCTACTAAAATACAAAAAATTAGCCAGGTGTGGCGGTGTGCACCTGTAGTCCCAGCTACTCAGGACACTGAGGCAGGAGAATCGCTTGAACCCGGAAGGTAAAAAAAAAAAAAGAATGGGCCTGCTTAGCTCCTAGTTCACCCTGTTTTTTCAGCCAATTCCTCCAGACCTCGGGGGGTGGCAGCAGCATTTGTACTCTAGGCTCATCTTCTCCCTCAGGTCTTACAGTCAATTATATTACTAATCAGGAAAAGATATTGAGGCTGCCTACTCAGCTGCCATTTCCCTCTTTTTTACTATTATTTTTTTTAATAGACACGGGGTCTCACTATGTTGCCCAGGCTGGTCTTGAACTCCTGGGCTCAAGCAATCCTCCTGCCTCAAGATTTACAAATGTGAGCCACCACACCATGCCAGTCCTCCCTCTTTTTCCCTTAGTTTTTCTTTTTTTTTTTTTTTTTTTGGAAGAGAAAAAAGTAACAGATTTATTTAATCCAAGTTTTATGTGACACAGGAGCCTTTGGACAAGAAGACCCAAAGACCCAGGGAAAACTGTCTATTTTTATGCTCAGGTTCAGTGAAGAATGGACAGGCATGTAAAAAGGTATCGGACAAAAAGGGAATGACCTGATGTCATAGACTGAGGGGGACACCCAGAAAGGCCTGTCCAGCCAGATTCTTCCTGGCCTCTCCGTGCTGCATTTCTTCCTCCAGGGTATAGGGCAGAACCCCTCCGGAATGAGGGTCTTATGACCCACAGTCAGATAAGGTAGGTCAGAGACTTTCTTTATGGCCAGCGCTTACACAGAAAGGCTGGGGAAAGTTCGAGTACTAGTTCTGGATTTTATGATTGGCTTTGGGAAAGAGCGGTTCTTAGTTACTATGACCCACCTTGGGGAAGAGGAGTTCTGGTTTTTTTTTTTTTTTTTAATTTTTTTTTTTAATTATACTTTAAGTTTTAGGGTACATGTGCACATTGTGCAGGTTAGTTACATATGTATACATGTGCCATGCTGGTGCGCTGCACCCACTAACGTGTCATCTAGCATTAGGTATATCTCCCAATGCTATCCCTCCCCCCTCCCCCGACCCCACCACAGTCCCCCAGAGTGTGATATTCCCCTTCCTGTGTCCATGTGATCTCATTGTTCAATTCCCACCTATGAGTGAGAATATGCGGTGTTTGGTTTTTTGTTCTTGCGATAGTTTACTGAGAATGATGGTTTCCAATTTCATCCATGTCCCTACAAAGGACATGAACTCATCATTTTTTATGGCTGCATAGTATTCCATGGTGTATATGTGCCACATTTTCTTAATCCAGTCTATCATTGTTGGACATTTGGGCTTTTTGTTTTTGTTTTGAGACAGAGTCTCACTCTGTCGCCAGGTGTCAGTGCAGTGGCACAATCTCAGCTCACTGCAACCTTCACCTCCTAGGTTCAAGCAATTCTCCTGCCTAAGCCTCCCGAGCAGCTGGGATTATAGACGCCAGTCACCATGCCCACCTAATTTTTGTATTTTTAGTAGAGATGGGGTTTCACCATGTTGGCCAGGCTGGTCTCCAACTCCTGGCCTCAAGCAATCCACCTGCCTCAGCCTCACAAAGTGTACTAGGATTACAGACATGAGCCACTGTCCCCAGCCTAGTATAACACTTCTAAAAAAAAAAAAAAGTCTGTATTTCAGCTGGGCGCGGTGGCTCACGCCTGTAATCCCAACACTTTGGGAGGCTGCGGCAGGCAGATCACGAGGTCAGGAGTTCGAGACCGGCCTGGCCAGCATGGTGAAACCCCGTCTCTACTAGAAATACAACAAATTATCCGGGCATGGTGGTGCACGCCTGTAATCCCAGCTACTCAGGGGGCTGAGGAAGAATTCCTTGAACCTGGGAGGCGGAGGTTGCAGTGAGCTGAGATCGTCCCACTGCACTCTAGCCTAGGCGACAGAGAGAGACTCTGTCTCAAGAAAGAGAAAAAAAATCTGTATTTCATATGTCCTACACATACTTATAGCTTTCAAGAACATAAAAAACATTAAAAAAAATTTGTACCATTATCATTTCCAGACCCTTCACAGCACATATTTTATCGGGGTTTTATAGTAATTCATCCTTTCCACTAGTGCACTTAGCAACCAAGACAGCTCATACCCCCACATACAGACAAACTTGCTATTAAAAGGGTCAAAGTCTTAGTTTCCTCAAGTGTACTATGAATACCCAGGGAAAGACTCCAATACCAAGCATGAGATAAATAATGCCCATATGAGAATTTTCAACTTTTAAAGAAAAGTAAGTCAAACTGTCTCACGGTAGGAAACTAGGGTTCCCGCAACCCGTTCTCTCTCTCTTCAATTTCATAATTTGCTAGGAGAGCTCACAGGGAATCACTTTTAATTCCACAGTCTAAATGTAATCTAATTGCCAAGTCTGGAAGAACACTAAAAAAAAAAAAAAATCTCTTATGAGTAACTTCCCATATAATGATGAATACTACTTCCATAAATTATTCCAATGTTATTTTCTATTTACATGCTAAAGCTAAGTAGATCTTTCAAAGAGATAATCAATTTAGATTCATGTGTTTAGATCAGAGGTAGAAACTGCAGTCCAAAGATGTAATAGTAAATCAAGAAAGTTCAATAATTTGTCCACAAAAATCAAAGGAGATCATAGTCTTGAGACAATTTTTCAATAATTTAAAAATTTAATAACTCCCTAAGTTCCTCTTAGGTAAAATGTATACATGCTTTACTAAGAAAAATTGCAAGAATTTAAAATAATATTTATAAAGTACTTTGCTGTTTATAAGCTACTACACCCAAAATCTTAATCTCTTCAAGAAACGTCCAAGGTAGATGATACACACACAACAGGGTTATGAAGGATCAGAAATTGGAAAACCCATCCAATGTTCCTCATCTAGTAGACTGTGGGGCTGGGCCTTAAACCTAGGTCCCCCAATTCCAAATCCCAAGCTCTTTCCAACAGATTGTGCCCATTTTTTTTTTTTTAGACAGAGTTTTGCTCTCGTCGCCCAGGCTGGAGTGCAATGGCACGATCTAGGCTCACTGCAACCTCCGCCTCCCAGGTTCAAGCGATTCTCCTGCCTCAGCCTCCCGAGTAACTGGGACTACAGGTGCCCGCCACCCACACCGGGTTAATTTTTGTATCTTTAGTAGAGACAGGGTTTCATCACGTTGGCCAGGCTGATCTCAAACTCCTGATCTCAGGTGACCCACCAACCTCAGGCTCCCAAAGTGCTGGGATTACAGGCGTGAGCCACCGTGCCCAGCCCAGATTGTGCCATTTTAAAACATTCTCCAAAGCAGCAAGATTTCATTTTTTAACAAGACAGTATTACAGGTCTAAATTCAATTTAATATTCTCAAAATATTACTGAGAACCTATTTTACAAAGTAAAGTACTAGGGGCTATAAAACTTACATACCCACAAATATATACATCTACTATGTACCCACAAAAATTGAAAATAAAAAAATTAAAAATAAAAAGCTTCACTTTGGGAGGTTGAGGCAGGCGGATCACTTGACTTCAAGAGTTTGAGATCAGCCTGGCCAACATGGTGAAACCCTGTCTCTACAAAAAATACAAAAGTTAGTCAGGTGATGGTGGCACATACCTATAATCCCAGCTACTGGGGAGGCTGAGGCAGGAGAATTGCTTGAACCAGGAGGCAGAGGTTGCAGTGAGCCTAGATTGCACCATTGCCCTCCAGCCTGGGCAACTCAAAAAAATAAATAAGTAAATAACAACAAAAAGCCGACATAGCCAAATAAGACAATCCTTGTTCAAAACATGTTGTATTATATGCTTAAAATGGTAAATACAAGGTACCTATACTGTGATAGTACAAACATTCACTAAATTGTTTAAAACATTTGTAAATGCCTCAGATAGCATGTCTTTGTCTACTGTTTGAGGATATTAAAATTGTTTCTTGATGTGATGATACTGTGGTATAATATGAAATATATTTGGCCAGGTGCGGTGGCTCACTCCTGTAATCCCAGCACTTTGGGAGGCTGAGGGGGGCGGATCATGAGGGCAGGAGATCGAGACCATCCTGGCTAACAGGGTGAAACCCTGTCTCTACTAAAAATACAAAAAAAAAAAAAAAAATTAGCCAGGCATGGTGCCCGGTGCCTATAGTCCCAGCTACTCAGGAGGCTGAGACAGGAGAATGGCGTGCACCCGGGAGGCAGAGCTTGCAGTGAATCGAGATCACACCACTGCACTCCAGTCTGGGCGACAGAGTGAGACTCTGTCTCAAAAAAATATATATATATTTGGTCTTTGTTTCAGGTTCCTGCCACAGAGCTTCTGAAATACTTGGAATTTCCTGAGTGATAGGAGCTGTCTTTTGTTATTCATTAGAAGCCCCTTTGGATCCCACCTAAGTTTATGCTATTGAAGTGACTTAGTGTGGGATCCCTAGGCCTCAGGATGGGACTGCTGCTCACTAAAAAAACTGACAGGTTAGATAATTGGAACTTTCATCCCCACCCACCAATCTCTGGGGAAGCTGGAAATTAAGATCTATAGAAATTTTTTTTTTTTTTTTTTGAGACAGGCTCTTGCTTTTTTACTCAGGCTGTGATGCAGTGGCATGATCATAGCTCACTGCAGCCTCAACCTCTGGGCTCAAGTGACCCTCTCATCTCAGCCTCCCAAGTAGTTGGGACTACAGGTGTGCACCGCCATGCCCAGCTAATTTTTATAAGATTTTTTGAATGGGATCTCACTGTGTTAGCCCAGGTTTGTCTCAAACTCCTGGGCTCAAGTGATCCTCCTACCTTGGTCCCCCAAATTGCTGGGATTATAGGTGTGAGCCACTGCACCCAGCCTAGACACTCCTGAACCACTAGATGTGATTAGCTTCAGGGTAGTTGAACACAGGGGGATGCTGGGGAGTTGGTGCACCCAGAGAGGGCACAGAAGCTCTGCACCTCTCCCACCGCATACCTTGCCCAATGCATTACTTCATCTGGCTGTTCATCTGTATCATTTATAATATTCTTTATAATAAACTGTTAAACATAAGTAAAGTGTTTCCCTGTGAGCCGTCCTAGCTAATTATCAAAGCAAAAAGAGTGGTCATGGGAACCCTGATTTATAGCCAGTAGATTAGAAGCACTGGTCACAACCTGTGAATTGAGATTAGTGTCTGAGTGAAGGCAGTCTTGTGGTAGTCTCCAGGCAGACGGTGTCAGAATTAAGGTGAGTTACCGGATACCCAGTTGGAGAACTGGTTGATGTGTGGGGGAAAACTCCTACATATCTGGTGTCAGAAATAAAGTACTGGTTCACACCTGTAATCCTAGCACTTTGGGAGGCCGAGGCAGGCGGATCACCTGAGGTCACAAGTTCGAAACCAGCCTGGCCAACATGGCGAAACCCCGTCTCCACTAAAAATACAAAAAATTTAGCCAGGCGTGGTGGTGGTCACCTGTAATCCCAGCTACTCAGGAGGCTGAGGCAAGAGAATCACTTGAACCCAAGGGGCGGAGGTCACAGTGAGCTGAGATCGCGCCATTGCACTCCAGCCTGGGTGACAGAGCAGGCCTCCGTCTCAAATAAAACAAATAATGAAGGGTTTTTTCAAAAAATAGTACATGTAGATGGCTTTCTATTCACCACAAAAAAGTTTTCTTCCAAAGACTGAAAATATTTTTTGTCAGGTACACTGCCAAATACTGGATATTGCTGCTGTACAACATTTTATTTTTTATTTCAGTTATTTTGTTTTATACTTTATATTTTATTTTATCTTATTTTATTTTAAGATGGAGTTTTGCCCTTGTCGCCCATTTTATTTTATTTTATTTTATTTATTTTGAGATGGAGTTTTGCTCTTGACGCCCAGGCTGGAGTGCAATGGTGCAATCTCAGCTCACCACAACCTCTGCCTCCCAGGTACAAGCGATTCTCCTGCCTCAGCCTCCCTAGTAGCTGGGATTACAGGTGCCCACCATCACACCCGGATAGTTTTTCTATTTTCAGTCAAGACGTGGTTTCACCATGTTGGCCAGGCTGGTCTCGAACTCCTGACCTTAGGTGATTCACCCACCTCAGCCTCCCAAAATGCTGGGATTACAGGCATGAGCCACTACAACTGGCCCATTGTTGGTTTTAAAATGATAAATTGGGCTGGGTGCGGTGGCTCACACCTGTAATCCCAGCACTTTAGGAGGCAGGCAGATCACAAGATCAAGAGATCAAGACCATCCTGGCCAACATGGTGAAACCCCATCTCTACTAAAAATACAAAAATTAGCTGGGCGTGGTGGCATACACCTGTTGTCCCAGCTACTTGGGGGGCTGAGGCAGGAAAATTGCTTGAATCGGGGAGGTAGAAGTTGCAGTGAGCTAAGATCGCACCCCTGCACTCCAGCCCAGCAATAAAGCGAGACTCCATCTCAAAAAAAAAAAAAAAAAACCCAAAAAACAAAAAGCAGGGCACGGTGGTTCACGTTTGTAATCCCAGCACTTTGGGAGGCCAAGGTAGGCAGATCACAAGGTCAGGAGTTCAAAACCAGCCTGGCCAACACAGTGAAACCCCATCTCTACTAAAAATACAAAAAATTAGCCGGGCATGGTGGCATGTGCCTGTAGTCCCAGCTATTCGGGAGGCAGAGGCAGGAGAATCGCTTCAACTGGGGAGGTGGAGGCTGCAGTGAGCCGAGATCATGCCATTGCACTCCAGCCTGGGCAACAGGGCGACACTCCATCTCAAAAAAAAAAAAAAAAACCAACAGTGACAAGTAGCATAACAACATTCTTTTTTTTCTTTGTTCTCTGAGATGGAATTTCACTCTTGTCCCCCAGGCTGGAGTGCAATGGGGGGATATCAGCTCACTGCAACCTCCGCCTCCCGACTTCAACCGAAGCTACTGCCTCAGCCGCACGACTAGCTGGGATTACAGGCCCCTGTACCATGCCCAACTAATTATTGTATTTTTAGTTGAGATGGGGTTTCACCATGTTGGCCAGGCTGGTCTCAAACTTCTGACCTCAGGTGATCTGCCTGCCTTGGCCTCCCTAAGTGCTGGGATTACAGGCGTGAGCCACGGCGCCCAGCCAACATTCTTTTCTCTTTTTTAATATACTTACATGAGGTATACATAGTACTTAAACCAATAAAACGACAAATATCTGAACTTCTTACCCAGTGTTTTGCAACTTCTTTCCACAGCTGTTCTTCGAGTTTGTTCAAACATTGCTTCCAAGTCAAATGTGCGAGCTTTTTTACCTAAAAGATGAACAAATGGGAGACTGTGATTGTCTTGCAGTAAGCTGGCCAAACTTTAGGCGATCAATACTGATCAATAAACACTTACTTTGTCTAGTTTATAGCTTGGCTCCAATATAACCATAAAATATCAGAGAAGGAGTTTGAGTCACAGAAAACTTCTGATGACAATCCCTTCACTAAGTACTATTAACCAGGCAACTTTCCCATCCTCCTCTAGATCCCTACCCTATGAAACAACAACACTAATGTGGGAGGCAGAATGGAGAATGTCCCAAAAGTTACCCTTTGCAAATGTAATTAAGGTTATGGACTTTTAAATAGGGAAACTATCCTAGCTGGCCCTTAAAGGCAAAGATGCACAACAGCTATGGCGGAAGAAGTCAGAGAGATCCAACGTTTGAGAAGAATTTGAGGCGTTATAGTTGGCTTGAAGACGAAAGGGGCAACATGAGAAGTAATGCAGGTACTTTAAGGAGCTAAGAGGGAAACAGAAATCTCAGCCCTATAACAAGGAACTGTTGAGCATGGAAACATTCTCCTCCTCCCCCAGTAACTTTATCAAAACTCTTAAAATTTTCCCCTATTTGGCACAAACATATGGACACCTTTCTCACTCCTGAGTAAAGGAATGATGTACTAAAATGAAGGATTTATACCGGGTGGGGTGGCTCATGCCTGTAATCACTTTGAGAGGCTCAGGTGGGCGGATTGCTTGAGCTCAGGAGATCGATCAGCCTGGGCAACACGGTGAAACCTCGTCTCTACCAAAAGTATAAAAAATTAGCCAGGTGTGGTGGCACATATCTGTGGTCCCAGCTACTCAGGAGACTAAGGTGGGAGGATGGCTTAAGCCTGGGAGGAGGAGGCTGCAGTGAGCCAAGATCGCACTAGTACACTCCAGCCTGGGTGACAGAGCGAGCCTCCATCTCAAAAAATAAAAAAATAGAAAAGGCTGGGCGCGGTGGCTCACGCCTGTAATCCCAGCACTTTCGGAGGCCGAGACAGGCGGATCACGAGGTCAGGAGATCGAGATCATCCTGGCTAACACGGTGAAACCCCATCTCTACTAAAAATACAAAAAAAATTAGCCAGGCGAGGTGGCGGGCGCCTGTAGTCCCAGCTACTCGGGAGGCTGAGGCGGGAAAATGGCGTGAATCCAGGAGGCAGAGCTCGCAGTGAGCCGAGATCTTGCCACTGCACTCCAGCCTGGGCGACTGAGCGAGACTCCGTCTCCCAAAAAAAAAAAAATGAATAGAAAAACTACAGAACTAGTATGTGTGAACAGAACCCAAGGCCAATATGTGTAAGTCTACTGTTTAATTACTATCATAGAATTAATACACGCTGGTCAAAAGAGAACAAGAAGACCTTGAGAAAAGGTTCAAGGAAGTTAGAATCCCAATGTTTGGATGAACAGCATTTATAATTTTAAAATGCAAAATAAAAAGAAATCATTTTTCATGTATCAGTCTACTAAAGTTTTGTTTTCATTTTTAAAATAATTTTCTTTTTAAATAATAATACCTACTCTGTGTTGGTACGGATATGGTAAAAATGGCATTCTTAAATTCTGTTAACTTTGGTATAACCTGAAACAAGTTTTTTGATGGGTATTACGGCAGTAAGTATCAAGAAGCTTTAAAAGGCACATACCCAATTTTTCAGCTTTTTAAGTATTTATACTTCTGAATAAACTAGGCTCTCTTTTAGAAATCTACCCTACAGAATTACATATTTTTAAAAATCCTCGTACAAATGCTGTTATTTACAAAAATGTTCATTTTAGCATTATTGGTGACTTAAAATTAGAAAAATCCTTTCTCTTCCTCTCTCTCCAGGACTCTCATAACTGTCACCTGAGTTGGTTCCAACGGATACGCAGAATAGAAGACAAATGGGAGAAGAATATTGACAAACTGCAAGGTATGCACCCGAGCTACAGTAATTCCGAGTTGACAGCTCGATCTCCCCTCCCACTCTGCGGCTCTTCAAACCTCTGCAAAAGGAAGAGGGTCTCTGCCTGGGGCAGTCACTCACCGAACCCCGTGAAGCCCATGGTGACCGCAAGCTGCGGGTCCGGTCCCGATGCGTCTGAGCCTGTCACTGGAGCAAGAAAAGAGAGGCGGCCTAGTTAGTGCGGCGCCCCAGCTCCCCCGACACGGCCCACCCCGCCAGGACTCGCTTCATGAAACCCACCTTCGCTGGGCCCAGAGCGCTCCATGGCTGGCCGCACGCCGCAGAACCAGCCACAGAGACAGCCCAAACTGCAGGGGAACTTGCCAATAACTCGCGGCAAATGCTGGAGGAAGTACCGCCTCCAAGCTACAGCGGCGCCGCCGAAGCCAAGAGCGGCGCCTTCCGCAGAGGGACTGCGGCTTTCTGCGCGGCGCCCCCTACCGGACAGGCGGGAAAGCGCCGCGCAACTCAGACCACTGAAGGGGAGTAGTATCTGGAGTTTCTGTAACATCCTTTCCCTTTTTTTTTTTTTTAAGCCAGAGCCTCTGTCGCCCAGGCTGCAGTACAGTGGCGTAATCTCAGCTCACTGCAACCTCTGCCTCCCGGGATCAAGCGATTCTCCTTCCTCAGCCTCCCGAGTAGCTGGGATTACAGGTGCCCGCCGGCTAATTTTTGTTTTTGTTTGTTTTTGTTTTTGTTTTGAAACGGAGTCTCTGTCGCCCAGGCTGGAGTGCAACGGTGTGATCTCGGCTCACTGCAACCTCCGCCTCCCGGGTTCAAGCGATTCTTCTGTCTCGGCCTCCCAAGTAGCTGGGATTACAGGCGTCCACCACCACGCGCAGCTAATTTTTTGTATTTTTAGTAGACACGAGGTTTTGCCATGTTGGCCAGGCTGGTTTCGAACTCCTGGCCTCAAGTGATCCGCCTGCCTCGGCCTCCCAAAGTGCTGGGATTACAGGCGACACCCTTTGCTTTTTTTTTTTTTTTGAGGCGGAGTATCACTCTGTTGCCCAGGCTGGAGTGCAATGGCGTGATCTCGGCTCACTGCAACCTCTGCCTCCCAGTTTCAAGAGTTTCTTCTGCCTCAGCCTCCCAAGTAGCTGGCACTGCAGACACGCACCACCACACCCAGGTAATTTTTTGTATTTTTAGTAGAAACAGGGTTTAACCATATTGACCAGGCTGGTCTCAAACTCCTGACCTCCTGATTCACTCATCTCGGCCTCCCAAAGTGCTGGGATCACAAGCGTGAGCCATCGCAAATACAAATATTCATTAAACGTATAGGCTGTCTACTTACTCGATGACCTTTCTACCTAGACTAAAGCCAAAAAACTCTGACACCCTAAAAGATTCATAAATTATTTACTACATAAGGTTTAGATGCATCATTACCAATATTGCACATAGAAATTTAATGTTGTTAGTTGAGCAAACAGATGCCATGACTATTTCTTCTCTTTATAAATCTTGGTGGCTTATGGCAGCAGAAGCCTACTCCACTATTTAGGCTCCTATGACAGCTACTTTTCCCCTATTGAGCAAGTTTCACCTTAAGTTACTACCAAAAAAATTATACAATTAATATATTTTGTACCTCCTGAAAATAACTGTTTATATTATCATCTCAAGTAAAATAAAATATTTTCACAGAGAGATGGAGAGATGTGTAGAAAATTTATCAAATATTAACCTCTTCCTAAACATGGGGTTGAATTCCTCCAGTAACATTGTAACGTTGTTAGAATTATGTGAAAGGGGGCTTTGTCTCAACTATCCTGCTAGTCATTCATTCAACAGCACTCTATTTATGTTGTATGTTTCCCTAAATGTTTCCATTTTTGCCTCCAAACACTGCTAATTTGGTTTGGTTGCTATTTATTTTATACTGTCTTATAAATCCCCTGGAAAGTGTATTGCCCCATGCCTGCACACACTGCAGTACAAGAGTGTACTGAAGTACATAATGGAAGAGTTGGTTTTTTCTGCCACTCCATCACTTGAGTTTAAATAATAAGGAAACACAGAAATCTAAAACATTTTGAACAGTTAAGAATTATTAAAAGAAAGTAGAATGACAAACAGGAAAATTATCTATCCATATCTATATATGTATATCTTTCTAGAAATGTCCAAAAGGACAAAAGAGGAAAAAATGAAGGGAAAATCATGAACCCTTGAATATGAGTCCTTCTGAGCAAAACTCTGTTCTTAGCATTTCTCCACTATTATCAAGTTTCTAGTATCCTCCAAGAAAATACCATATTATCATCCTGGAACTTTGGTAGTATATACCTGTCCTTTCTATCCCTATCTACAGAGACCTGTCTGATTTAGATTCTAAACTGACCTTCCTCATTTTTTTTTTTTTGAGACAATATTGCTCTGTTGCCTATGGTGGAGTTTAGTGGTGTAATCTAGCCTCACTGCAACCTTTGCCTCCAGGATTCAAGTAATTCTCATGCCTCAGCCACCTGAGTAGGTGGAATTAGAAGTGTTCCTCATTTTTAAAACTCTAGAACACAGAAATTTTATTTGTCTCCCAAAGTCCAAAAATTTAAGAATAAAAGAAAAATTAAGAGTCAGCTTTGATATCCTGACATACAGTCTTCTTTGAGATATTAATACCTTTTATAATAAAAATGAATGGGTATTTTTGTGACTTTTTAGTAAGAAAATAGTGAACCAAACCTGCTTGCACACATTTATATTTACATAATTCTCAAAGACAAATATTTAATTATAGAAACGGTATATATACATATGTACACACATACATACATTAGTGACTCATATTCAAGGACTCATATTCTAGGGTTCATAGTTTTCCCATATATATATATATACACACACACACACATATATATATACATACACACACACGTATATACACATATAAAATACTAAAAAATGTTTAAAAGTTAACTTGTAAATCTTACATTCAGATATTCTGATTTACCGTGTCTATATCAAGACTCAATGTGGTTTTGTAAAAGTAAACACTCCAAGTAGTTTTGATGCAAGTCATCTAAATCACTCATTAAAAAAATTGTGGCTCATAAGTGTTCATTAACAAATAAATGGATAAAGAAAATATGGTATATATACACAAAGGAATACTACAGAGCCATAAAAAGAATCAAATCATGTTATTTGCAGAAACATGAATGAAACAATAGGTCCTTATGTTAAGTGAAACAAGCCAAGCATAGAAAGACAAATATTGCATATTCTCACTCATTTGTGGGAGCTAAAAAGTCTGATCTCAGGAAGGTAGAGAGTAGAATGATGGTTAACAGAGGCTGGGAAGGAGGCAGGATGAAGATAGATATTGGCTAATGGGTGCACATATAGAGTTATATAGAAGCGATAAGTTCTAGTGTTCAATAGCACACAAGAGTGATTATACTTAGCAATAATTTATTGCCTATTTCAAAATATTTAGAAGAAAAGACTTAAAATGTCCCCAACACATACACACGAAATAAATGTTGGAGGTAGTGGATATACTAATTAACACGATTTGGCCATTATGCATTGTATGCATGCGTCGAAACATCACATGAACCCCTTAAATATGTACAATCAATATGTATCAATTCACAAAGACGGAAAGATGGAAATGTTTTCGTTTATAAAAACAAGGATGGAAAAAAACATCCTTACCTAAATACTGTCCACAATGTCACCGGTGCTTTGCATCATTCAGGTGAGCGATGTTAGTGTCCCTTCTACTTATCCCCGGGGTTTAATTTGCACCAAGATTGTTGTCTGCACAAAGATTCAATAATATACAGAAAATCTTATGGTGACCCAGAGAAGATGTGAAATGATTATAGTTTTATGCCTTAGATGACGTTGCATTTCTAGCCATGGCAACACATCCCCAGAAACTTTTCTGTAATTAAAATGGAAATACTATATGATTTATCATTTCATTATAAAAGTAGTTACTCTATATGTGGAAGGTTTTGGTGGTGTAATTTCCCCAGATATGTATATCAATATGTGCGAGCAAATGCTTGTAAGTAAAAACAGATAAGATAATTTTATATTCTATATGATGTTAAGAGTGTTAAGCCAGAGCAAAATTTCATTTTGAATATGGTAACCCTGGATTTGTTGTTTCAGTCTGGATTTTATATTTTAGATAGGGTTAATTAATCAGAAAATAGCTCACTCTTACTGCCTCTTCTGAAATTTTAACAAATAGTTTTGTTATCTGTTAAATATCAGCACCTTTAAAGTCTTTGGAGAGACTCTTTTCAGTTTCAGTAAAGCATTAGTGTTTGTACACTAATGTATGTTTGTCAGGTTTACTTATTTATTTATTGACCTCAGTGCAGGAAAATTTCACCCCAGGGGGTCTTACATTATTTTTCTACTCCAAAATACATAGGCTACACAGAACAACATCATTAGCAACATTGTTTCAGCAAGGAAATAATCCTTATTGGCAAAGGGAAACCAAGGAAAGAAAACTATTGTTTTCTTCAGCTACATGCTGTCTGCAAAGCACCCCATGGATTCAATTTCTCATCAGTTCAGAATGGAATACTAACGTGCTGCCTAGAGATACAGAAGTGGGATGAACGCAGGGCCTTACTCAGCATTCAGAACAAAACTGTGAGTAAACTTTCAGGCATGACATGCTTAGAGTCAGTCATAGAGGAAAAATAGAAGCCTCAAGTTCTATTCAGAGACATCAACTTACCAAAGTTTAGGCTAGTATATTCCTCATTTGCACGGGTGCTTTCCAAAGACCCGGATGCGACGTTAGCAAAGTCTTCTCATGACCATTCGTGTGCAATAAATTCATAAAGGTAAAATATGTGTATTTATTCTCCATATATTTTTTAATTGTATAAGCTTCAGGCTCGGAGGTGGCTTGGAAAAGATGTCCCTGACTGCATCTCCCTTCACTGCATCTTTGTTCAGCAAAATCTTAATTAAGAGCAAATCATCCTTCACTGATATCGGTGAATACGGTAACATGAAAAAAATAATAAGATGATGGTAGAGAGAACATGGAAGGGGAGGTGAATAATGAACTGGAATGTCCAGTTGGAAAAACCATCTAGAAAGTATTGAGAAGGTATAATGATTGATACTATCATAGTAAAGTAAGAAGACATAGAGAAGTAGTGTTGACACATCCCATGTTTTGCTAGTCTCAGAATTAAAACTTAAAGAAATAATAGTCAATAATTTTTAATGGTTAAATAAAAATGATGAAAAGACAATGGATTAAAATAAAACAAACAAAACTGCCTCTACATTATCGATGTTAATGTTAAGGAAGTTAAAGACAAAAAAATAAGCTTCCAGACAGAAAAAAACTTAACTACAAAGAAGTCAAGTGGAGATGAACATAAAGTATGAAAAAAATCTTTCTATACAACATGCAATTAGACGTATCTAATAACTTAATATATAATATAGTATAATACATCTTGTTAATAAGAATAATTTAGAATGCATTAAGTTTACCTATAATTTATAGGTTGATTAGCCATAGTAAACATGATAATACATAAATGTAGTTCTGTAATTTCAGTATGTAATGACTCCCTACAATAACTTTTGGAAGAAGTATACATATGGGGGGAATCAATAAGACATACTCCATCAATCAGCTATTGTTGAGTAAAAACCACATCAAAACTCAGCAGATTAAAACAATAATTATTTATTATTTCTCATGATTGAGCCAAATCTGGCTGATCTATGCTTATATATCTGAGAACTCAGTTAACAATAGGTTAGTGGAAGTCAGTCTGTACTGAGACTACTGGTATCTGCTCTGTTGTAATTAACCTTGTGGGGCGAACATCGCTCATGACATTGACAGGGCTCCAAAAGCAACAACAGAAACAAGAAAGCTGTTTGAAGCCTAAGCTCATGGATGACACATTCTCAATTCTGCCGCATTTATTGGTAAAATGTTATCCCAGAATCAAAAGGTGGGGACACAGACTATAGTTGTCTGGAGAAGGTGCAAAGTCATAATGCAGAGACTGGATACAAAGAGAGATAAAAGCTTGCTGCCATTTTTGTAATCAATCAACAACAAATGATAAACTGGAGTGACTAAAGACATTAGTAAATTTAGATTGCCTGGACCAACAGAAAGCACCTGCTATGGCCTGAATTGTGTTTCTCCAAAATTCATACATTAAAGCCTTAATATTCATGTGATGATATTTGGAGACAGAGTCTTTAGAAAGTAATGGAGTTAGATGAGGTCATGAGGATGGGGCTGTTATGATGAGATTAAGGCCCTCATAAGATGAGGAAGAGACAGCAGAGTTTTCTCTTTCTGAGCAAATACATCGAGAAAAAGCCACGTGAAGACATAGTGACAGTCAACAATTCACAACCCAAAGAGAAACCACTCAACAGGCCCTGGTCCTGTTGCCACCTTAATTTTGAACTTCCAGTCTCCAGAACTGTGAGAAAAGCAATTTCAGTTGCTTATGCCACCAGTTCATGGTATTTCGTTATGGCAACCTAAGCAGACTAAGAGAGCATCTCTTTGGAATGGCTTTGAAATATTTAAACAGCTCTCACTTTCTTCCATACTTTCAATTATTCGTGCTAAGCCAAGAATCTTCAGGTGTTTACAGGCCTTTTGGGATATTGATTTTAGAATGCTGACACTCCAAAAGAGTTTTATATCCATGCCTTTGGTAAACTCAACAATGCACTACTAAATAGTTAATGGCAGATATACATTTTGGGATATTTTAGGTTTCTAAACTCAAGTGTGCTCAAAAATCAGGGGAAAAAAAATGGCTCTTAAAAAAAAAAAGAAGTCCAAAAGTAAGTTAAGATTTACATTTAGCTGGTCATTTTCCTCCATATTTCCCTCAAGCTAGATTCTATTTGTCTTGTGCTTCTGCTATCTACTTATGGTGGGAAATTTATGCTCAGCTGAACAAAATTTGATTTCTTGTGACTCCTGGTTGAGAGCCAGACAGGTCCTTTCACAGATGCTCTCAACAATCTGCTCCTTCATTAAATGAGCTTAAGGATGCTCATCTCTGAACCAATGACAAGGTTACAAGGAGGAGAGGAGGATGCCTGAACACCACCAGGGTCTGTGAAGGAACGTGGACTAGGAAATTGATTTTTGGCAGGCAACCAACTATGCCCTTGGGATGAGATTTGTGCCCAGATTGCCAAAGGATTGTGCAATGACTACAAGGTCGTAACAGTGAAGATGGTCATGGAAACAATGAATCTGAGTGTCAGAGCACTGAAGAGATGGCAAAGACCTATGGATGCATGAAAACATTCCTATGCTGAACACCCCAGAAATATTTACCAATGTTACCCATAATTATAGACATAATTATGGGTAGACTTCTTAGAAAAAAATAGAGTTGCATGTAATTTCATGTTAGATGTCTTTCTCAGAATACACCATGAGCACATGAAGAATAAGAAGCAGAGACCACAGGAAAGTAAGCAAGCTGTGCAAGTTACAGGGAACTCTCTCTATATATAATATATATATATGTGTGTGTATGTGTGTGTGTGTGTGTGTGTGTGTGTATGTATATATAACATTTATATATAAATTTATATATTTATTATATATAACATATAAATATTATATATAAATGTTATATATTTTATATATATATATAAAACATTTTCTTTGGTTGATGGGCATTTGGGCTTGTTCCATACGTTTGCAATTGCAAATTATGCTGCTATAAACATGCCTGTGCAAGTGTCTTTTACATATAATGACTTCTTTTCCTCTGGGTAGATACCCAATAGTGGAATTGCTGGATCAAATGGTAGATCGACTTTTCAGTTATTTAAGGAATCTCCCTACTATTTTTTAAAATGGTTGTACAAGTTTACATTTTCACCAGCAGTGTAAAAGCGTTCCCTTTTCACCATATCCATGCCAACATCTGTTATTTTCTTATTTTTAAATTGTGTCCATTCTTGTAGGAGTAAGGTTATATCCCATTGTGGTTCTGATTTGCATTTTCCTGATAATTAGTGATATTGAGCACCTTTTTATATGTTTGTTGGCCATTTGTATATCTTCTTCTGACAATAGTCTATTCATTTCCTTTGCCCACTTTTTGATGGGATTATTTGTTTTTTTTTCTTGCCGATTTGTTTGAGTTCCATGTAGATGCTGGATGTTAGTCCCATGTCAGATGCATAGTTTATGAATATTTTCTCCCACTCTGTGGGTTGTCTGTTTACTCTGCTGATTGTTTCTTTTGCTGTGCAGAAGTCTTTTGGTTTAATTAAGTCGCATCAATTTATCTTTGCTTTTGTTGTATTTGCTTTTGGGTTCTTGGTCATGAAGTCTTTGCCTTTGCCTAAGCCAAAGTCTAGAGGGTTTTTCTGATGTCATCTTCTAGAATTTTTTTTTTTATGGCTTCAGGTCTTAGGTGTAAATCTTTGATCCAACTTGAGTTGATTTTTGTATAAGGTGAGAGATAAAGATCCAGTTTTATTCTTCTACATGTGCTTTGACAATTATCTCAGCACCATTTGTATAACAGAGTGTCCTTTCCCCCACTTTATGTTTTTGTCTGCTTTGTCAAAGATCAGTTGGCCGTACGTATTTAGCTATATTTCTGCATTCTCTATTCTGGTCCATTGGTCTATGTGCTTATTTTTATACTAGTACCATGCTGTTTCAATAACTATAGGCTTATAGTATAGTTTGAAGTTGGGTAATGTGATGCCTCCAACTTTTTTCTTAGTCCTGCTTTTGCTATGTGAGCTCTTTTTTTGTTTTCCATGAATTTTAGGACTGATGTTTCTAGTTCTGTGGAGAATGCTGGTGGTATTTTGATTGGAATTGCATTGAATGTGTAGATTGCTTTCAGCAGTATGATCGTTTTTACAATATTGATTCTATCCATCCATGAGCATGGGATTTGTTTCTATGTGTTTGTGTCACCTATGATTTTTTTTTTTCAGGAGTGTTTTGTAGTTTTCATTTTTAAGGCCTTTTACCCCCTTAGTTAGGTATATTTCTAAGTATTTTTGTTTGTTTTTGCAGCTGTTGTAAAAGTGATTGAGTTCTTGATTGGATTCTCAGCTTGGATGTTGTTGGTGCATAGCAATGCTATTGATTTGTGTACATTGATTTTGTATTCTGAAACTTTACTGAATTC